>NC_000005.10:98594655-98897685 GCF_000001405.40 Homo sapiens | reverse complement strand
TTCAGAAATTGAACGGTAAGCTAAGCCAGTTTTATGGTTTGTAGCTTAAGGCTGGAGTGATGGTTTTGAACAATTTAACGTAGGTTTTGCTTGTGAAATACATGAGACTCATATTTTGGCAGGAAGTTAATTTTCTCTATACATTTTTGTTTAAAAAAGAAGGCAAAATATTTCACTGTTCATTTTTGTAGAGTAGTAGAAAACAGTATTGACTGAATCCTCAGGTACATTTTGAGTAATGGAATCTCTGAGCTTGATGATTAGAGATGAAATTTAAGAATTTATGGTAAAGCTGAGGCTTTCATCTTTTAGTATAATTTCTTATATTTAATAACTCTACATAATAATGTTTATTTCTACTAAAGGTATTAAAACAAAGGCCAAGGTTTGTAGCCCTGAAGAAGCAGCCATCCTATATTGGAGGACATGAGGGCTTAGAATTAAGAGATTATCAACTGAATGGTTTAAATTGGCTTGCTCATTCTTGGTGCAAGTAAGTATATTTTGAATCATCTATTTAATTTGACAGAGTAAGAATTTACCAATACAGGATTCAGAAAAGATTTCCATTTACATAAAGAATAAGACTCTTTGGCAGTTTATATGCTAGTCTTTGTATTTCCTAGTTTGTATAAACAATACTTACTACATACTAGGAAGAAAATCCAGTGGAGTTGGAGTTTAACTTGATTGTTGCCTTTTTAAAATATGTTTTTATTCAGTTTAAAAATCAAAATGCATATCTGTTCTCATCCCATGCTATTCCTGGAATATTTCTCTTTTTCCTAGTTATTTTAATATCCATTTACTCTTCTACATTTTTTTTCTATCTTCTATGGCCCCCACTCTACTTTTGTGAATCTCGGTTGCAATTTAGCTATAGTTTTTTTTTTTAATCTGTGTTCTTCCTATATACTTTTTACTTATTTAATATATCTGGACTCTACTACTAGTAGATGAATTGCATTATTGGCTTCATAATTGATTAAACATAATACTATTAATCTTTAAGCCTCTTCTGGCCCAAAACGGTCATCTCCTTTTACTTTTCTTACAGCATTAGTGATTAAGTCTTTAGCCAGATACCTTTACATTTATTATTTGTAGTTAATAAAAGTGGTATATTCTATATAATACCTATCAATTTTATTTAACTTCATAAAAACATATACACATGATGTAAAAAGGTTTCTTTGTATATTTGAATATTTCCTTGCATGCTAATTTTTTTTTAACTTTGTAGAGGAAATAGTTGCATACTCGCTGATGAAATGGGCCTTGGAAAAACAATACAGACGATCTCATTTCTGAATTATTTGTTTCATGAACATCAATTATATGGACCTTTTTTATTGGTAGTACCGCTCTCCACTCTTACTTCCTGGCAAAGGGAAATTCAGACTTGGGCTTCTCAAATGAATGCTGTGGTTTATTTAGGTGACATTAACAGCAGAAACATGGTAAGTTGTTTCCCTGTAAATGTAGAAATCAAAATGTACTTGTCTTTGAGATCAAGTGTTTTTGTTGTTTTGAGATGGGGTTTCACTCTGTCTCCCAGGCTGGAGTGCAGTGGTATGATCTTGGCTCACTGCAACTGGGACCACAGGAGCACGCCACCACTCCTGGCTAATTTTTTATATTTTTTAGTGGAGACAGGGTTTTACTGTGTTGCCAGGCTGGTCTTGAACTGAGCTCAAGTGATCTGCCTCCCTTGGCCTCCCAAAGTGCTGAGATTACAGGCATGAACCACCGTTCTTGGCCTAACAAGGATGAGAGGTTTTGTTTTGTTTTGGTCTGTATAACAGTCTTTGTTTCTGGTATAGAACTTGCCACAAATAAGTTCTCAGTACATGTTTAATTGACTGTAACAAAGTCAGTTTTGGTTTAGTGTTACTTAGTATATATATTTGACTGTTTTTTTGGTGGGTTTTTTTTTTTTTGTTTTCACTCTGTCATCCAGACTGGAGTACAGTGGTGTGATCTCGGCTCATTGCAACCTCCACCTCCCAGGTTCAAGTGATTCTTCTGCCTCACCCTTCCAAGTAGCTGGCATTACAAGCGCCTGCCACCAGGCCCGGCTAATTTTCATATTTTTAGTAGAGATGGGGTTTCACTATGTTGCCCAGGCTGGTCTCAAACTCCTGACCTCAAGTGATCCACCTGCCTTGGCCTCCCAAAGTGCTGGGATTTACAGGCGTGAGCCACCATACCAGCCTATTTTACATTTTTAATGGAAAATTTCAAATATGCATGAGAACAGACAGAAGAATGTAATAAACACTCATGTTCTTAAGTTTCACAAATTTACTGCTAGTTTTGTTTTGTCTATACCTCTACACACGACTTTCCTAGTTACTGTGAAGCAAACCCCAGACATCATATTTCATCCATAAACATTACATTATTAAATGAATTAATCACTTATGTTTTCTTAAATAAGACCTTTTCGTTTGTGAAAGATGTGCTTTAAAATTGTGTTTACTTCGTTTTTTAAGAAATGCTGTGGTATTTATGTTTTATTTATAAGATTTACATAGCATTTTGGACTATATAAAGAATAACTCTGGCCGGGCATGCCGGCTCATGCCTGTAATCCCAGCGCTTTGGGAGGCCAAGGTAGGTGGATCATCTGAGGCTGGGAGTTCGAGACCAGTCTGACCAACATGGAGATACCCTGTCTCTACTAAAAATACAAAATTAGCTGGGCGTGGTGGTGCATTCCTGTAATCCTAGCTACTCGGGAGGCTGAGGCAGGAGGATCACTTGAACCCGGGAGGTGGAGGTTGTGGTGAGCCGAGATCACGCCATTGCACTCCACCCTGGACAACAAGAGCAAAACTCTGTCTCAAAAAAAAAAAACCACAAAAACTCTTTTATTACATAAACATATATTAATAGTTACTTACATATTTGAATGGATTTTAATTTTTAGATATGTAAGTAAAAGTATAATTTGCTTGATGTTTGTCTTAAAAATTGTCCTTCAAATTTCTTAATAGATAAGAACTCATGAATGGACGCATCATCAGACCAAACGGTTAAAATTTAATATATTGTTAACAACTTATGAAATTTTATTAAAAGATAAGGTATGTATTTATTTCTCACGTGTTTTGGTCTCTTGTATATCAGTTTTTTCTTTATCATATGCTGTGGACAAGATGAGAGAATAGCCTAAATCGTGAGTCAGCAAGCTATAGCCTGTGGTCTTATTTTTTTAATGGTGCTTGAACTAAGAATGGTTTTTACCTTTTTGAAAGGTTACATTTAAAGGGTCTTAGAAAGAATATGTAACAGAGACCATATATTTATCTGCAAAGTCTGAAATATTTACTATCTGGCTCTTCTTAGAAAAAGCTTGCCAACTCAATCGAATGAAACCAGTTTGTTATAGTGTGTATTGATTTGTAAGCTCTTTAAAGAAGAGGAAGATACCTAACAGGATTAAGCTACCACTGTGTGAAGCAGTGAAGGCTTTATAGATACTGTCTTATTTAATTCCTCCATCTACTTTATATTCACTTTCTCTACTTTATGGAAAAGAAAATCAGTCTCAAAAATGTCTCAAAGAATTTAATGAACTTGGCTGTGGTAACACAGCTCTTAAGTAGCGGAATCAGGCCTGCTCTAACTCAGAGACCTAAGTTTAAGAGAGTTCTACAGTTCATAAAAGTTGTACAAAGAATTGTACCTACACTTGGAATAAGACACTGTTCTGAATTTGTGTCATAGTTTTTTTTTCATATTGACATTAATAGAGGCTTCTATTGGGGTTAGGCTAAAAATCTTTTGTAAAAATTTTAAATGACACTGCTGATTTTTCTCCGTTAATTATCAGTTTATAAGCTAATAAAAACTTTGGCTTGATATTACATTCTAGTGGTTAAATTTGTCATAGAAGGAATATGTGCTGAGTTACTTATGTATTGTAATCTTGAGATTACGATTTTTTATTTGAAAATTAGACAAAGTTTGTTTTTAATTTTTATTTCATTTTAATAATTGAGTTCAGATTAAATGGGAAGGCTAAATTTGAATTCCGTTTTTCTCTCAAAATACTGTTTTTCTATTATTTTAAGGCATTCCTTGGAGGTCTAAATTGGGCATTTATAGGTGTTGATGAAGCACACCGATTAAAGAATGATGACTCCCTTCTGTATAAAACTTTAATAGATTTTAAATCCAATCATCGTCTCCTTATCACTGGAACTCCTCTACAGAATTCCCTCAAAGAGCTCTGGTCTTTGCTACATTTCATTATGCCAGAAAAGTAAGACAACTTTACAATTTTAATCATATTGTGTGGATATTATGTTTAGTGGGAATAAACCCAGGTAATAAGGTCAGTAAGAGTTTTTATTGCCCTAAAAGATTAGATCACAGATTACTAAGAATTTTTTAAAAAGGAAAATGAGGTCAGGTAGTTTGTAATACTATTTGAATTTTTCAATTTTGTTAATAAACTTAAGCCATGTGTAATAAATCACGACAGTTGATTTTGCACATTTTCAAAATATACCTTGTTTGAAAAACTAACACAGTACCATTCTTTGTATTTAACAGTAGGAGTAACAACAATGAGGTGCTGGTAATCCCTTTTTCTAAATGAGGAAAACTAGACTAGACAAGGCTAAATAAGTTCCCAAAGGTCACTACTTGTTCTCTTTCAGTAGGTCCAGAACTTTAAAAGTATATTTTTTTGAGAAATATTTTAGTGATAATTACTCCCATACTTCAAAATACTTCATATTCACTTGATTCAAGAATCATAACTTATAAAACAACTAATTATATTTCATCATGCATCTTCTTGGGAGGGAGATTTTTAGAGGTAACTAAGTTTAGCTAATTTTTTTTTCTAAAAATCTGTAGTATTTTGTTTATAAATGACTCCCCTAAAAAAAAAAGTTCATACACAACATACACAATTTGATTTTTTCTAGTAATTGTTCCAATTTCTTAAATTTTAAAGGTTTTCTTCCTGGGAAGATTTTGAAGAAGAACATGGCAAAGGGAGAGAATATGGTTATGCAAGCCTTCACAAGGAGCTTGAGCCATTTCTGTTACGCCGAGTTAAGAAAGATGTGGAAAAATCTCTTCCTGCCAAGGTTGAGCAGATTTTAAGAATGGAAATGAGTGCTTTACAGAAACAATATTACAAGTAAGCTGTACACAGAACACAGTTCTGAACTTCTAATTCTGAAAACCTTCCATGTCTGTGTCCTGCTTTTGGTGCCCCCACCTTCTCTACAATAGTGTCTTAGAGCAGTTGCAATTCTCGAGTTTCAGAATAAGTTTATTCTGTGTCGTTAGGAGGCAAAAGGAGATTTAATGACATATCCAAAATTATGAGTGACAACACTGAGTAATTCATCTTCTGACACATAATTAATTGCTTTCCTATATATCATACTGTTATCTTATAAAGAGTTTAAGTGTTAGGATTTCCACAATAATAAAGGTATTATATGATTATGACAATTAACAGAGGCCAAAAAAAGAAACTTAGAAAAAAATTTTAGGCTCTGCTGCTTTTTGAAGAGTATTAACAAATCATAGCTGGTATAAATTTTGTATGTCAAGATCTATACAGTAGGACTTTTCAAAGAATCAGAAAGGAAAATCTGTTCTAATATCTGTTTAAACATTTAATTGCATAAAAGGAAATATATTGCTACATGCATTTGGAGTTTCAGAAACATTTATATTCTATGGTAAATCTATAGGTGCCATACATTTGAAAGAATATACTTAATTGCATAATTATTTTTATTATGGAAGATGTCAGACATATACAAAAATAGGATAATTTAATGAACTCTTATACCCATGACTCAGCTTCACTTTCTTTCTTTTTTTTGTTTGTTTGTTTTTTGAGACGGAGTCTCCCTTTGTACTCCAGGCTGGAGTACAGTGGCACAATCTTGGCTCACTGCAACCTCCACCTTCTGGTTTCAAATGATTCTGGTGCCTCAGCCTCCCAAGTAGCTGGGTTTACAGGTGTGCCCCACAATGCCCTGCTGATTTTTTTATTTTTAGTAGAGACAGGGTTTTGCCATGCTGGCCAGGCTGATCCTGAACTCCTGGCCCCAAGCGATCCACACGCCTCAGCCTTCCAAAGTGCTGGGATTACAGGTATGAGCCACTGTGCCCAGCCCCAGCTTCCCTTTCAACTCATGCCAGTCTTTTTATGTATCTCTGGTCATCCCCATTTCCCTCAGTACCTGTCCTTTTGAAGCAGATTGGAAATTTTTCCATAAATATTTTTCTGTGTATTTCTAATAATTGATTTTTAAAAATACTAGTATCACCTGGGCCCAGTGGCTCATGCCTGTAATCCCAGTACTTTGGGAGGCTGAGGCAGACAGATCACTTGAGCCTCAAGAGTTTGAGACCAGCCTAGGCAACATGGCAAAACCCTGTCTCTACTCAAGATACAAAAAACTTAGCCAGGAGTGGTGGTGGGTGCATGTGGTCCCAGCTGCTTGGTAGGCTGAGGTGGGAGGATCGCTTGAGCCCATGAGGCAGAGGTTGCAGTGAACCGAGGTCATGCCACTGCACTCCAGCCTGGGTGACAGAGTGAGACCCCATCTTAAGTAAATAAATAACCCACTTTAAAATTTTCACAATTTAGGAAATTATTGCTCTCTCAGCAGAATCAATTTCTTGATACCAATATTCAGTATCAGTGTTCAAGTTTTCTCTGTTGTCTCAAAAAATTTTTTTACGTTTACTCGAATTGGGATTGAGATAGGTTCATATATGGCAATTGATTTGTCTCTGAGTTTATTATCTATAGGTACTTCTTTTTTGTTAAAATGTATACGATGGGGAAAACAGTTATTCTGTAGAATTTTTCCACAATCTAGATTTTGCATAGTACTTCCCTCTAAAATAGTTTAACAGTATCCTCTGTATTTCCTACAGATTGGTAGGTAGATGTAGGTGCTTGATAATATTCAAATTAATAATTATGAGAAGAGTATATTTTGTAGTACACAATGGCGATTATCTAATTTTGTTATGGGGTTCTTTAAAAAAAGTAATGCATTTTGTAGAATATTTAGAAAGAAAAGTCAAAGTAGGAAGAAGACACATTCACCTGTAATTCTCTTAGTGCTAGTCATATATCATGGATGTTGAACTTAAACTCTTCAAGGTACTTTTTGGCAACTAAGGTAATAAGATACTGCCATAAATTTCTGGAAAAATTCTTAGAATTTTTACCTCTAGAGAAATTAATAATAAATTTTTTCTGGATAAGGAAAAATATTCTTTATTCTTGATTACCTCTTAGGGCATTGAGCATTGTCCATGGGTTTCGTTTTGCTTTTCATTCCAGTTTTGGGGAACTGCCTGTATAACTAGTGGTAAAGAATGGTAATAAAAGAGTATGTACACTAGATATTTGAGACTTTCAAGTCCCTTCAAAAACTGACCTTGTAAAAAGGAAGAAAATAAAAGGTGGAAAAGGTCATGGTGAGAGGAAATTTTTCTTTTCTTTTTTAAATTCAGCTTTTATTTTAGATACTGGAGGTATATGTGCAGGTTTGTTACATGGGTAATATTGCATCCAGGTAGTGAGCATGGTACGCAGTGGGTAGTTTTCAACCCATGTTCCCCTCCTTCCCCCCTCTAGTAGTCGACAGTGTTGTTACATGTTTATGTCCATGTGTGCTCAGTGTTTAACTTGCACTTGTAAGTGAGAACATGCGGTGTTTGGTTTTCTGTTTCTGTGTTAATTCACTTAGATTATGGTCTACAGCTCCATCCATGGATATTATTTTATTTGAAGGGCATTATTTCATCCTTTTTTTTCTGTGGCTGTGTAGTATTCATGGGATATATATACAAAAATATGGAGTGTTCATGGATTTGCATGTCATCCTTGTATGGGGACCATTCTAATCTCTGTATTGGTCCAGTTTTAGTATAAATGCTGCCGAAGTGAGCACAGGAATTGTTACATGTAGTTTGGAGTAGTAAAATATCACCAAGATGTTTTCTATAAGTTACATATGTATTGTGTAATTGCAATCTAGAGAAGGCAGTCGTGGCTAAAACCAGGTATCCTCAGGTTTCTTTTAGGTCCATGCAAAATAATTCAGTTTCATTAGCTGTCTAATGCAGTAAAAGTTGTAAGAAGATTCAGATAAATAATGCAGCTGACCATCTTTTTAGCAAATTTGAGGGGAAAGGATTAATACACTGTAATAATTATGTTACATTAGCCTGTTCTGTGTATAGCTAATGGTTCAGAAAACAAGTTGTGTTCTCATGAGTATTATGAAAGAGGTTTGGTCCGTTGTATATACAGCTGTGAATTTTATAACGGTACAGTTTTACTTTGGTACTATCGTTGGCTTTTTTTGTTTGTTTTAATGCTTTTAGAATTTATCCTGGTAATTGTTCTGCTAAACATCGTTTTCATAATTTTTTTTTTTAAGATGGATTTTAACTAGGAATTACAAAGCCCTCAGCAAAGGTTCCAAGGGCAGTACCTCAGGCTTTTTGAACATTATGATGGAGCTAAAGAAATGTTGTAACCATTGCTACCTCATTAAACCACCAGATAATAATGAATTCTATAATAAACAGGAGGCCTTACAAGTAAGAATTTTTAAATGTTGTTTCTTTGTGATAAAGTTCTAGAAATGTTGATTTCACTTACAATCGAAAATGGCTCAATGCTTTAACTTATTGGATAAAAGTTCTCTTTAGTTAATGGTGCCTTTCTATAATGGTCTCAGTTATTAATCTTTGTAGAAAAGACTTTAAAATTCTAATTTATGTAATTATTTTGATGAATTTTCTAAAAATAGGTCTCTCAAACCATGGCCTATAATAACTTATCCAGCAAGAAAATCCCACAGTATGTTCATAATTATGAAAAAATCGTTAATAGTAATTGTGCTGCATTTGTGATTTGGTAAATGGTAATCTAAAGGACATCTTGACCTCACATCTTAACCCTTCCTGGTACTTCTGGAAGATAAGTCAGAAGTGCGAAGGCACAGCTGCAATCCAGCCACTGTAGTGCATTGAAGGGCTAGGATCAGCATCTAGAATTAATACATTAGAATGCATTTGCTTACTCTTTTTAAACCTTTGGTTGCTTAGTTGCTGCTGCTTCTGATGTCATTGTTCTTCAGCTAAGATTTTTGGAGAAACACTGTGGTATAGTAACTAGCAAACAGAGTGAACAGTACTTTTTTCCTCCCCGATAGTATAACAAAACCTAGGTGTGATATGGCAAAGGGTATTTTAGCTTCAGTCATAGAGTGAAATGGTAAAGGTCTTAGAAAATTTTGAAAAGTGAAATAAGTTGTTTTCTAACATGAAAATTTAAAATCTCAATTTAAAATAATTCAGGCAACTAAAGTGTTACGTGGACAACTTACCATTTATGTCTTTTAACATATAACAACTTGAATTGTTTCTGTAGCACTTAATTCGTAGTAGCGGAAAATTGATTCTTCTTGACAAGCTATTAATTCGCCTAAGAGAACGAGGCAATCGAGTTCTTATTTTTTCACAAATGGTGCGGATGTTAGATATACTTGCAGAATATTTGAAATATCGTCAATTCCCCTTTCAAGTAAGCATTTAATTGTATTTGTTGTTTTAAATTTTATCTAATTCCTGTGCATATTTTACAGAATTAACTGAAATTATTTTATAAGTGTTTAGGTTTTTATATAAACTGTACTTTTTCTTTAAAAAGATGTATCTGCTTTAAAAAATATTTGTCATTCCCGGTTTTTCTTGACTTTACATATTGCAACAAAACAATTTTTCTTCCTTTCCTGTGATTTTTATTTTCTTTTAATTCTGTCTTTTTCTTCTATGCTTGCTTTAGATTTTAAAAACTGAACTAAGGCAGAATTTTCTTGATTGGATAGATCTAAAAGCAGGGGAGCCTTTAGTCTTCAATCTGAATGAGGAAAACAGCCAGTAGTCTCTGAATGTGAATGCTGCCAAGATTCTGATGATTGGTGTGCTCATAGTTATCTGACACAGGGTTTGTTGAGTAAAACTAGACAACTTTACAGAAGAAACTAAAGACCAAAATTCCCTTCCATCTATTCAAAATTTATATTGAAGTTCATTCAATATAACTAAAGCTAATATTGATGAGTATTTAAAGTCAGGTGCTGTTTTCAGTACTTCAGATCTAATTACTTAATTCTCAAAGCAATTTTATGAACAGTACTAGGAACATAGCAGACATTATGTAGATACAGCTAGTAAATGCTGTATATTTAGTGCAGATAGTAAAATAGCAGTAAAATTATAATAATGGGACTGAACACACAATCCCTGCTTTGTCAGAGCTTATCATCTCTTACAGGAGACAGACATCAAGCAGGTGATTACAAATAAATGTAACATTACAATTCTGGTAAGTGTTGTGAAGAAGGACAGGTATTTGGTGATAGGAATATCATTGAGAAATAATTGCAGTCATTTAGGGGAAAACGTAGAAGAGTACCATTAGTTGAGGTTTTTGAAAACACCTTTATTGATACGTAATTCCCATATCATACAGTTTACTCATTTAAAGTATACAATTCAGTGGTTTTTACTATGTTCACAGATGTGTATAATTGTTCGACAGGTGGTTTTAGAACATTTTCATCAGAAAGAACCTGTAGCCTTTAGCTATTCCTCTTGTCCTTCCATTTGCCTTCCTCTTCTGCCCTGTGTTGATTTGTTTTTAAACAAATTATTGTGTACATAGTCAAACAAAAAATTAGTTTGACTAATTTTGAGTGTTAATAAGCGCCACTTCTCTGTTGCTAATTCCTTCTCATTCCTAGGTCACTTCCTGGAGAGAATAATTTTTAATTTTATTTGGTTTAGGTCATGCCACAGTAATGAGATGCCACTATTCTTAAAATTTGTACTAATATGTATTTTAGTGGAAAAGAAAAATTATTTTAATTTTTTAAAACTTTAATAGACATGTTTTCCTACTTTGAGTAGGTGATAATTAAGAGCACTTCATTTAAACCACTTAGAATACATCATTTAAAATGTTTATATTTTTTCTTCGCAGAGTTAAAATTCATATAGTAACAAAGCAAAGGTAGGCATATGGCTTCCCAAAATACTAGTTTAATTCGTCGGTTAAATGCATGGATCATAGTAGACAAGTTATTTCTAGTCTATAACCAGTTAATAATTATAAAATCATTGCCATTTCTAAAGTGAAATAGCAGCTAATGTTTAATAAGCGTTCAGTATGTTGTAGGCACTGTGCTACATGTTTTCCTGTGTTCTCTCACTGAGTTCTCTATAGTCTATGAAGGAGGGACTACTATTATGTCTGTTTTGTTTAAAGCGGAACTGACATGGTGAAAAAGTTTGTGGAGAAAAGTCAAATCACTTGCTCAAGATACCAAGTGAATAAAATACTCATTTGCTGGCTGTTGACTAGAACCCATGATGCTTCACATCAATAATTTTCAAACTTTAGTGTGCATCAGAATTAACTGGATGGCCTTTGCTAAACACCTTCAGTAGGTCTGGGGTAGGACTCAATAATTTGCTTATCTATGTTCTCAGGTGACACTAATGCTGTTCTAGTAACCACGCTGGACTTAATCAGTGTTTTTAAAACTGAATTGTAACCTGTTAATGGATCTGTGAATCAGTTTAATGGGTTGCACCAACATTTTGAAAGTAAAATGATAAAACATGAGAGTATAACATAGTATATCATGTCATGATATGAAACTGTTTCAGGTGTTTGCAAACAGCTATGTACTCAATCACATACTTTTAGAATGGGGACTCAGGCAGAATAGTATGACAGCCTATGCTGTATTTACTCTTGAGGGTGCAGTCTTAGTGATTTGGAGCACAGACTAAAGACAGAATGCCTGAGCATTATTTTACTGTCTAGTAAGTACTTTCTATTATAGTTTTAGCAAAGGACATGCTTCACATTTCTACTTAATTTTATAATTGATTTTAATTGCTTTGTAATACTTTGATTCTGTTTATGCAGTATTTTAATGTGTTTTTTTCTAGAGATTAGATGGATCAATAAAAGGAGAACTGAGGAAACAAGCTCTAGATCATTTTAATGCTGAGGGATCAGAGGTATGTATTAGTGCTTTTAAAATTATAAATAATTTTGATTTAGTATCAGTATATTACATTATTATATTCAGACATTTTTAATCTTCATATCTAGTTTGATAAAAAAAGAGTGGTGTTAGCCACCTTTGATTAGCAAATGAGGTTTTAAAGTCACTATTCTAGTTTAAACCTAAGGATTTTATCTTTGAGACAGAGTCTCACTCTGTGGCCCAGGCTGGAGTGCAGTGGCACAATCTCAACTCACTGCAACCTCTGCCTCCCAGGTTCAAGCTATTCTCCTGCCTCAGCCTCACAAGTAGCTGGGATTACAGGCGCGTGCCACTGTGCCCAGCTAGTTTTTGTAGTTTTAGTAGAGATGGGGCTTCACCATGTTGGCTAGGCCGGTCTTGAACTCCTGACCTCAGGTGATCCACCTGCCTCAGCCTCCCAAAGTGCTAGGATTACAGGCATGAAGCCACCGCGCCCAGCCAAGAATTTTACTCTTTATTATCAATAATGTTTCAGCATGGAACAGTTATTTTAATTTGCTTCAAAATAAATTAGCCAGATTGGGCACAGTAGCTCACCCCTGTAATCCCAGCACTTTGGGAGGCCAATGCAGGAGAATCGCTTCAGACCAGGAGTTTGAGACCACCCTGGGAAACAGTGAGACTGCTGTCTGTACAAAAAAAAATAAAAATAAAAAGTAAAAAAAATAAACTGGGCATAGTGGCACTCGGTTGTAGTCCCAGTTACTTGGGAGGCTGAGTTGAGTGGATCACTTAGCTCAGGAGTTTGAGGCTGCGGTGAGCCATGATCATGTCACTAGACTCTAGCCCAGGCAATAGAGTGAGACTCTGTCTCAAAAAAAAAAAAAGGGAAAGAAAAAACCCAAAAACAACAAAGTAGCCCACTTTCCTTTAAAAAAAATTTTTTTTATTTCCGTGGATTTTTGGGAAACAGGTGATATTTGGTTAAATGAGTAAGCTCTGTAGTGGTGGTTTGTGAGATTTTGGTGCACCCTTCACCTGAGCAGTATACACTGAACCAAATTTGTAGTCTTTTATCGCTCACCCCCTCCTACCCTTTCCCTCTGAGTCCCCAGAGTCCTTTGTATCATTCTTATTACTTTGCATCCTCATAGCTTAGTTCCCTCTTACAAGTGAGAACATACAATGTTTGGTTTTCCATTCCTGAGTTACTTCACTCAGAATAGTAGTCTCCAGGCTGGGCGTGGTGGCTCACGCTTGTAATCCCAGCACTTTGGGAGGCTGAGACGGGCGGATCATGAGGTCAGGAGATCGAGACCATTCTGGCTAACACAGTGAAACCCCATCTCTACTAAAAATACAAAAAAATTAGCTGGGCGTAGTGGCGGGCGCCTGTAGTCCCAGCTACTCGGGAGGCTGAAGCAGGAGAATGGTGTGAACCCGGGAGGCGGAGCTTGCAGTGAACCGAGATCGCGCCACTGCACTCCAGCCTGGGTGACAGAGCGAGACTCCGTCTCAAAAAAAAAAAAACAAAAAACAAAGAGTTAGAGACCAGCCTGGCCAACATGGTGAAACCGCATCTCTACTAAAAATACAAAAATTAGCTGGGTGTGGTAGTGCCTGCCTGTAATCCCAGCTACTCGGGAGGCTGAGGCAGGAGAATTGCTTGAACCTAGGAGGTGGAGGTTGCAGTGAGCCAAGATAAAAAGAGTGAGACTCTGTCAAAAAAAAAAAAAAAAAAAAAAAATATATATATATATATATATATATATATATATATATTTAGTCTCCAATCCCATCTAGGTTGCTGCAAATGCCATTATTTCATTCTTCTTTATGGCTGAGTAGTTTTCCACTGTGTATGTATACCACAGTTTATCTTCTTGTTGATTGATGGGCGTTTGGGCTGGTTCCACATTGTTGCAGTTGCAAATTGTGCTGCTGTAATCGTGTGTACAAGTATCTTTTTCATGTAATGACTTTTTTGCTCTGGGCAGATACTCAGTAGTGGGATTCCTGGGATCAAGTGGTAGTTCTACTTTTAGTTCCTTTAAGGAATTTCCACGCTGTTTTCCATAGAGTTCTTTTTTTGGTATATGCCTTTTATTTTTTAAGGAAATAAAATTTACAGTTAGAGTTGAAGTGTCATTCCTTTCCTATCCCGTTTTCTTTCTTTTTCACCAGAAGTAAACACTGTATTGAATTTGGTGTTAATAACATATATATTTGATTTTGGAGTCTTTTTGTTGATTGGTCTTGCTAGATGTTTATTAGTTTTAAAAACTGCCTTTCTGTTTAATTAGTACCATACTGCTTACGTTCAGAAAATCAATTGAAAAATTTTTCATTTTGATTATTCAATTTCTTACAGGATTTTTGCTTTTTGCTGTCCACAAGAGCTGGAGGTCTAGGGATTAATTTAGCCTCTGCTGACACTGTTGTTATATTTGATTCCGATTGGAATCCACAGAATGATCTTCAGGCACAGGCTAGAGCCCATCGAATTGGGCAAAAGAAACAGGTATTTTTAATTTTAATTTATATTATATTGCTGTTTTAGAATTCTTTTTTTTTTTTTGGAAGTGATTTCAGTTTATCCTCTAGAGGATAAGATCACTGTAACAGTCATACTACTGTTTAACCGATAGGATACTGAGGAGCTTGGTTTACCAAAATCACCTGGAGAGTCTGACAGAATTGAGATAACTATGCATATATAGGATCATGTATTCTGTTTTGATCCCGTATTCTAGTCGTAACTATAAAATGCAGTGTTTTTCATTTTATAATAAAAACTTTAAAACGTCTTTACTTGCTTATTTTAACTTGAAAGGGAGTTTGAGTAGCATATGCTACCTTTCTGTTAGTCTATATTTTGTCCATGTGCTTACAAGATTCTCCACATGTAAACGTGACCCCATTTTATAATTGTAACAACATACCCTTAAATGGTGGTACTGAACCTTTACCTAGAGAAATAGGGAAAATTTACTGCAGAATCTTTGACCTAGAGAAATAGGGAAAATTTACTACACCAATTCTTTTCAATTTTGGAGAGTTTGTTTTATGGTGGGTTTCTTATTAACTTGGGGAGTAGTTCATAGAATTTTGCATTATATAGAGTGATGAAACATTAGAATCAAGGCAACGAGTATAAGAAGGCTATCAGAAGTTTACATGCCCCCCCCCCATTTTCCCCAGCTAAATCATAACATAAAAATTACTGTCATTCCTTTAAAAAAAAATAAGCAAATGCAATCTCCTTATCAAAATATTAAGAAGGAAGGAAGGATATAGTTTCAAAATAGTCCCTTAAGTTGAGGAACTCTAGCTTTAAACATGTTTTTTAAATTTTCATTTTGCTTTTAACCAGTGAAAACTTCATATAGAATGAGCTTCAATTTGTGTGCCAGTGTTTAGGCACTTGAGGTTAGCAAAACAAATCCTTTATACTGCAATTTGTTTCCTCATGTGTATTTTTACAGGTGAATATTTATCGTCTAGTTACAAAGGGATCAGTTGAAGAAGATATTCTTGAAAGGGCGAAAAAGAAGATGGTTTTAGATCATCTTGTAATTCAAAGAATGGACACAACTGGGAAGACAGTACTACATACAGGTTCTGCCCCATCAAGGTGGTTACTTGATTATTAAAAAAATGTCATTTTAGAGTCAGTAAACTCATATTTTTGATATGTTACATCACTGTAGATCATTGAGGAAATGTATTCAGAGTTGTACTTTTTATATTTTGGAAGACTTTGGACTAATTTCTAGTTAGAAGACATACTTCAAATACCTGGTTTCATCGCTACAGATTTGTAATTTTAGGGGTAATCTCTTTCACTTCTATGCTTCAAGTTCCTTATTTTAAAATAAATATACTGCACTAGGCAACATAGTGAAACCCCACCTCTGCAAAAAATAAAAAACTTAGCTGGGCATGGTGACACACAACTGTAGTCCCAGCTACTCAGGAGGCTGAGGTGGGAGGATCAGTTGAGCCCGGGAGGCGGAGGTTGCAGTGAGCTAAGATTGTGCCAGTGCACTTCAGCCTGGGTGACAGAAGGAGACACTGTCTCCAAAAAAAAAAAAAAGGATTCTAATACTTGATTTGTCTAACTTCTTCATGTAACTGTTGTAAAGGTGAAAATGTCAGTAATTAATAAAAGTGCTGTGTAACTGTTATATTTTTAACTGTTAATGTTAAGCATTTTTGTTTTTCCTGTTTTAGTTCTACTCCTTTCAATAAAGAAGAGTTATCAGCCATTTTAAAGTTTGGTGCTGAAGAACTTTTTAAGGAACCTGAAGGAGAAGAACAAGAGCCCCAGGTAAAAAAAAAAAAAAAAAAAAAAAAGGCCTGCCTCAGAATATGTGTCATATATTTGACAGGATGAAAGGATTCAAGTATATTTAAATATTGTCTTTTTAATTATAGGAAATGGATATAGATGAAATCTTGAAGAGAGCTGAAACTCATGAAAATGAACCAGGTCCTTTAACTGTAGGAGATGAATTGCTTTCCCAGTTCAAGGTAGATTTAAACAAAATTTTCCTTGTAATTACATAAATTGAGAGGAATTGAGTTATGTCATTTAGTGGTTTGTTAATCTTTCTTTAAGCATAATCAGGAAGATTGCTGTGTTATGTAAAAACTACTCTCTCTTGTTCAGACAAACCAGTAGCAAACTGATTTGAAAGAGACCAAACCCATTTATGAAGTTACATTTAGTTGGGTGGAAAGAGCTGTTGTTTCCTAATTAGCAACTAGAATAGTGTTTGGCAAATAGCATGTCCTTAAATACTTAGGTAAATAAATGAATCAGTGTGATCTCTTACTTAGATTTCCATGACTGAAAGCTTTCAGCTGATATTTTTTTGAAGCAGTTTTTGACATTAACTTATCACAAATAAGAAAACTCAAGTAAATCAGTCAAAGTAAGCAATAAGCTACTATATATTGATACTTAATATCCCTGGTTTGTTGAGGGTCAATGAGTTGAAAGGAGTCCTAAAACAACGTAAGTCAACTGACCTCATGGAGTAAGTTAAGTGCCATTTGTTTGAAGAAACAGGTTTCTCTACATCTTAGCTGTTTTCTCTGAACTGTGGTTTTTAAAGATCAATTCATTTCATGTGTTCATTTGACAAATATTTATGGAACACCTACAGTGTACCCCACACAGTGAATAAAAAACTTTTATAATTTTAATGAATCATTCTGACTACTTTGTGGTTGATTGACTGTAGTGAGGAAAGAGCTATAGCAGGGGGAGATAAGACAGAATGTTGAGTAATCCTGGTTAAGAGGTGAAGGTTTCTGGAATCACAGGCGTGAGCCACTTCGCCCGGCTGTGATAGTTAGCCTTAATGGGTGCTTTCTGTATACCAGACCTTGCATAGTACCTTAAATGTGCTATCTTATGTAATCCTCACAGAAATTAGTGTGCTCTCAAAGAGCTCTATGTCTCTGCCAGTAGCTCTTTAGATAGTGTTTTTGTGACCATAAAAATGATATTAGATTGTTCTACAATACTTGATAGGTGGACTGGTCTGAGAATTTCTGCAGATTATTTAGCATGTTAATAGTATAAATTACTTTTTTGTTGTTCTGTTAACTGCTCTTAGTTCTGTGATGCTACTAATTTTGTTGAGCAGTAGGGCAAAATAAAATCATTCCTAGAGGATTATTAGATGTCATTTGGTTTGATCTGCTTTGCCCTAATGAAGAAATGAATCTAGGTTGTTTAGAAGTTATATTTGGTTTAGTCCACAGCCATGTTCATTATCCTAAGGAGCATGCCAGTTCTTCCCCTTAAAAAAAACTTTTAGGGATCAATTTTTCTGTAACAGTTACTCTTAAAATTCTGAAATTTATCAGGTTGCCAACTTCTCAAATATGGATGAGGATGACATTGAGTTGGAACCTGAAAGAAATTCAAAGAATTGGGAGGAAATTATTCCAGAAGATCAAAGAAGACGATTAGAAGAAGAAGAAAGACAAAAGGAACTTGAAGAAATTTATATGCTCCCAAGAATGAGAAATTGTGCAAAACAGGTGATTTTGCAATTTTAAAGATATTTCTATAAAGTAAGAGTATTCAACCTGGGCTGATTTTGTTTGTTTCTACGAGGTATCAGTCCATAGTTTTCTTTTCTTGTAATGGCCTTGATTTGATAATGTTTGCCTCATGAAATGAGTTGAGAAGTGTTTCTTCCTCTTTTATTCATCTTTTCAAAGAACCTGCTCCTGGTTTCATTGATTTTTGTGTGTGTGTGTGTTTTTAATTTCATGAGTTTCCACAATTTATTATTTCTTCCTTTCTGCTTTTGATTTAATTTGCTGTTTTCTTTCTTTTCTTTTCTTTTTTCTTTGGTGACAGCATCTTGCTCTATTGCCAAGGCTGGAGTGCAGTGGCACAATTCTGGCTCACTGCAACCTTAACCTCCCGGCCTCAGATGATCCTCCCACTTCAGCCTCCCAAATAGCTGGGACTACAGGTGTGTCCCACCACACCCAGCTGATTTTTGTATTCTTTTTGTAGAGATGGAGTTTTACCATGTTGTCCAGGCTGGTCTGGAACTTCTGGGCTTAAGTGATCCATCTGCCTTGGCCTACCAAAATGTTGGGACTATAGCACGAGCCACTGCACCTGGCCTCTTTTATTCAGTTTCTTAAGGTGCAAGCTTAGATATAGAAATGTAATCTCTCTTTTCTAATATCGGCATTTAATGCTACAAATTTTTCTTTAAGCGTTACTTTTTCTGAATCTTCCAAATCTATTTTTATATTTTCCTTAATTTAAAAACATTTTAAAATTTCCCATATGACTTATCTTTGACCCACAGGTTTTTTTAGAAGTATGTTTTAAAATGTTCAGATATTTAGGAAATTTTTCAACTATGTTTGTTAATCATTGGTAGTTTAATTCTGTCATGTTCAGAAAGCATATTTTATGTAATTTTAATTTTTAAAAATTTGTTGGTGTTTATTCAGTGGCCTAAGTAAACAAATACCAAAATTTTGAATAACTGTAATAGTGCCATGCCAAGCTATATTGCCAAAAAGGAAAAAAATTCTAAGACTAATTTCTTTTTCTAGTATCCTTTGGTTTTTAGGATATAAGATTTTTTGTCTTGATTGCTGAGTTTTTTCGTGCTTCCTTAAATTTTAAGCCTGGGGCAAATGAGGGGCTTGCCCCACTCTAGTCCCTGCCCTGCTACCATTCCCCGAAGGGTAGAGCTTTTTGTTTTTTCTTTTCTTGCAACCGTATTAGATCTTATTCTGTTCCCTCAGTTGAGCAGATGGGAAAGGTCTGGCAAGGCTTCCTTCCTGTTTCCACAAAGGTGACTGCTCACTTTCTCCAAGGCTGTACCATGGAGGAAAGTTTTCTCCAGTCTTCCTTCTCATGAGCACCTGGTGGAAGTTCGTGGCAAAGTGCTTGAGAGTGGGTGCAGGTCCTCCGAGTTTTGGCTGTTAGGTCCTGTGATCTCACAATAGCGTACACTCAGCCATTAGCAGATTTTAGCTGATCTCCTCTTACCTGCTTGTATGGTACTTGATTTCTGTCACCTGTGTTCTTCACAAATGAGCCACTGTTCAAGTCCTCTTTTTCTCTTTTTGTAATCTCCTGTATATCCTTACATTTAGATGTGTAGGTTGCCGTGTGATTTCATCTCTCTGATGTTAAACAGAAAAATTATGATTTTGTACATCAGATTTGTTGTTAGAGTAGGAGCAGTGCCCCTACCAAGTTTCTACATAACAGCCAGAAGTAGAGCCAAAAATAATGCTTTTGGCCTGAAAGTAACCATGCATGTTATTTCTTGTTTCTGTTTATTTCTCCAAACCCCTAAGTAGTTTTGTTTTAGAGTGTGTGAGAATGCAGCATTGCATTAGATCTTGTGAAAGGATCAAGGGAGGTTAGAAAAAAAAGGTCTAAATACCATTTTTTACTTCATTTAACTTTCAGCATATTAGAGGTTCGGAATATGTGCCAAGGCTTTGGAAAAACTCCCAAGACTTACAGAATATATGTTTTGATGTATCTTATTAAAATTAATGGATGTTACAAATAGCCTTTTATGTGGGTTCAACTGGCATTTTTTTCTTTCAAATATCTGATTTGTCTAGTTAGAATAGCAATATGTGGATATTAAGCAGAACGGAAAAAAAGACAGCTAATCAATCTGTTCATCCAGAGATAGGACTGATAACATTATCACAGTGTACATCATTCTAATTTTTAAAAATTCATTATCATTTGCCAAATTAAGTTGGAGTTGTATTAATTTGGAACTTTTTCTTCTTTTTGACAGTATGTCATGAATGTTAATTATTCTACAACCCCATTTTTAATGGTGTCTCAGCATTCTATCGTATAGATTTGTCTGGTCTCTCTTTGATGAATATTTAGATTATTTGCTTTTTGTTTTTGAGACAGGATCTCACTGTGTTGCTCAGGCTGAAATGCCATGGTATGGTCATGGCTCACTGCAGCCTCAGCTTCCTGGGGTCAAATGATCCTCCCACCTCAGCCTCTCATGTAGCTGGAACTACGGGTGCATGCTACAAAAATACCTGGCTAATATTTTAAATTTTTGGTAGAGACAAGGTCTCACTATGTTGCCTAAGCTGGTCTTGAACTCCTGGGCTCAAGTTATCTTCCTGCCTTGGCCTCCCAGTCATGCTGGGATTACAGGCATGAGCTGCTGCACTCAGCCACATTTTTCTTTTATGATGTAAATTACTTTATTGATCAATGTTTCTTCACAGTTCTGATCTCCTCAGGAAAAATGCCTAGAGGTTATGTTGCTGCGTCAGTAGAATAACTTTTGGAGGCTTTTGATATAATGTCTGATTACCTTTTAAATCAAAATATCCACCAGAGGTATATATTTTTCTCTGTTTGCTCTTTAATTTTGTTTATGGAATGTTTTTGATACATTTAATAACATTTTTAAGATTCCGACCATCTTTTATAATGGTTTTTGCTCTTAAGATACAAGCTGTTTTTACACTAAGGTTGGGTAAATATTTTCCAATTCCAGATTAGTTTCAATGGAAGTGAAGGGAGGCGCAGTAGAAGTAGGAGATACTCTGGATCTGATAGTGATTCCATCTCAGAAGGGAAAAGGCCAAAGAAACGTGGAAGACCACGGACTATTCCTCGGGAGAATATTAAAGGATTTAGTGATGCAGAAATTAGGCGGTAAGGTGTTATAAGACAATCGCTTCAACTTGGTTTTAGTAGAGTGTGAAACTAAAATGTAAAAACGCCGTAATTTTCAAAAATTGTGATGAAGTTTTAGAAGAGGCAAATCTGTTATTTGAGTAGGAATTGGGTGGTTCTGCTTTTGGGTATTTGTTATAACTGAACAAAACAAGTTTGGTGTCTAATCTTTGCATGTTATTTATTTATCGCTAAACTGCTTAGACTACACAATTTTTTTTATTAATTTGACTCAATAGTGATCCTTTCGAATAATAAAAGTAGTTTTGATGCATTTGATTTTTAAAAATTCTCACGGTGTTTATGACTCCCAAAGTTACTAATTTTTTGTGGAAATTCTGTATTTTTCTAGTTTCTTAACAACAGGGTAATTTCCTTTTTGAAAGTAACCCTGTTAAAAGCATTTCTGATATGTTCAAGTAGGAATTGAGATGAGGTAAGATTGGCCAGGCAGGATATATTTATTGTAGTGTCCATTCAGAATATGTTTATATATACACATTTATTTAAGAGGAATGGGATAACAGCTTACTTTTGTTTATGTAATAGTTTTGGATATGACATTTATTAAAATCTTATTCAGTTTTGTATTTTGAAAGTTTCTTTGAAGCCATTGTAACTTTTTTCTTTTAAAATCTTAGACCTGACAAAATTCTTCCTTATTCTTTCTACCAGAAAATTTAATACATTGTTAGTCTTTTTAAAAGGCACTTTCATGACCACCTGAATTGCTGTACTTTTCGTCTTTAGTTGAGGAAGCATTTCGACTTCTACTTTACCTGGATATTTTTCCTCATTTATTAACCACTTACGTAGCTTTCTTAAGTAAAATTTTAATTTTGCATTGTTGGTGTAATACACATCTGAATTAAAGCTATTCAGTGAATTTTTATCAGCACTTGGAATGTGAGGAAGTGTAATATAATTGATAATTATTGTGGAGACACTTCCTGTGGTAGCTTCAGACCTTCTTTTGGTCTTATGAAAATAATGAAGTAATTTTTAAAACAAAATTTAGCTTCTATTGTTTTATTTATACTGATATCTAAACATCATCTTGGATGTTAATTTACCTTGTCTTACCTGGTGTATCTTAATGTTTTAACATTTTTGTTTTTAGCATAGTTTATTCATTCTTCTTAGATAACAGTGCCTTGAATTTTTATACTAACAAGTATTTTCTTATATCTGTAAATATCAGAAATACGTATAATTTTAGTGAATACTGAAGCTCACATTTACCAAACAATTATTTTCTCTTAGGTTTATCAAGAGCTATAAGAAATTTGGTGGTCCTCTGGAAAGGTAAATACGTTTATTATTCTCATAGAATAATGGAATGTGTTACATGCTGTCACCTTTATTTATTTGTATTAACATTCAGTTTAGCTACTTTGTTAAATTTGCTTTTAATCGGCATTTACAAAATTAATGTACAAGGGAAATTTCAGATTGTTTTTAAAAATGTTTTTATACTGTGTTTAATTTCCAGTCTCAAATTTCTTTCCTGTAAATTATCTATACATGTTTAAATTGCACTTTTATGACGGTAAGGCACTTTTTACAATCTTTATCTCATTTTTCATCAATAACTTAAAAGTAGCACGAGCAGATTTATCCATAGAGGGGCTGAGTTGCTAACCCAGCCTTTTTTTTTTTTCTTTTTAAATGGAGTCTCTCACTGTCTCCCAGGCTGGAGTGCAGTGGCGCGATCTTGGCTCACTGTAACCTCCACCTCATGGGTTCATGTGATCCTCCTGCTTCAGCCTCTCGAGCAGCTGGGACTACAGGCGCATGCCACCACACCCAGCTAATTTTTTTTTTTTTTTTTTTTTTTTTAGTAGAGACGGGGTTTCACCATATTGGCCAGGTTGGTCTAGAACTCCTGAATTCAGGTGATCCGCCTGCCTCAGCCTCCCAAAGGCTAACCCAGCCTTTTAACCAGCTCTGCTTTCCCTAAGTAGAGATATTTTCTTAAGTTTCTCAAATTCATTCTCTTATTATACAAACTGTATTAAAATTCAAATTAAGATAGTTTTTTTGAAGTTATCAGATAATCTCAGTAATTATTGTGATTTGGATATTCTTTGCCCTTTGTTGTGGCCAACCCACTGTCTGAATATAGATCAGCAAAGACTCAAATTAGTTTATTTTTTTACTCTTAAAAAATCCCTTCAAAAATAGATATATTTTGTTTTATTTTGAGATGGCATACTTAAAATATAATGAAATACTTGCATAATTATTTTAGATGAAAAAATGTCTTGAGTATTAATCATTCATATCTATTTGGTGCACAGTAATAAAAAGTTACAGAACTTTACTCAGCTTTTGTGTTTACAATTATAAAGCTTTACCACTTCATTCTGAACATCTTAAAATTTGATCAGTTATTAAAAGGTTTTACAGAATTGGTATATAATCTTCCATTTGCTCTATAATGAATTAAACTCATTATTATTGAATATATAAATGAATTGTTTGTCTACCACATTGTCCTGGTTTTTATGTGTTTCCTGCCATTTATGTGAACAAGAATATATAGAGCATGCAGTAGAGTGATATTCAGATCTTGAAATAGAGTGAAACTTAATCTTAAATGGCACCACTTCATTTAACATATTTACCTGAAAATTGGATTATTTTGTTACAGATTAGATGCAATTGCTCGAGATGCTGAGTTAGTTGATAAGTCAGAAACAGACCTTAGACGACTGGGAGAATTGGTACATAATGGTTGCATTAAAGCATTAAAGGATAGTTCTTCAGGAACAGAACGAACAGGTAACATTAAACTGAGAGTGATTTAAAAGAGAAGTAAATGAAAGCTTCAAAATATGCTTTATTGAGCTAGATATTATATCTTAAATTATTTATTCATCAGTCTCAAAAGGTTATTTATAAAACAAAGTAAAGCTATTCTGGGTAATAGGAAATGGAGAACAGAATTGCAATTCGAAGGCAGTAGAATCTGTTTTTAATTCCCCTGACATTTTCTGTCTGGGAGGTAAGGTCAGAAATTACTGTTTTATACACACACATATGTACATTCATAGATATATGTGTATATATACACACACACAGTACAATATGTATAGTATCTATAGGTTTTTTAGTATAGATGACTGGGAAAATATAATGCAAATATACACATATGATATTGGTTTGGGACATAATTATTTTATTATTATGCTTATTTTGCTGTTCATTTACCTGAATAAAAATTATTTAGATAAAATTTAATAAGCAGACCAGGCATAGTGGCTCACACCTGTAATCCTAGCACTTTTGGAGGCTGAGATGGGAGTTTAGCTTGAACCCAGGAGTTTGAGACCAGCCTGGGCAACATTGTGAGACCCTGTCTCTAAGAAAAATGAAAACATAAAAATTAGCAGGGTGTGATTGTGCGTGCTTGTAGTCTCAGTTACTTGTGAATTGAGGTGGGAGGGTTGCTTGAGCCCAGGAGGTCAAGACTGCAGTGAGCAATGATTGCACCACTGCACTTCCAGCCTGGGCGACAGAGTGAACCCTGAGTCATCATCCTATAATTCTTTATTTAGAGGCTGACGGTATTAGTAGATTGATCCATCTTATGTAATTGGTAAAACACTTAGAGAAATACTTTTCGTGAATTTGCATCTGCAAGATTATTATCACTTGTTCATATGTAATGAAGTTCAAGGTTTTCCAGTAATCTCTTAATAATATAAATAAGGAATACTTATTGTTAAATAACATAAGTAATAGCATCAGTTGCTTGGTGTTTTGTAGAATTATGTTTTATACTTTTAAAAATACTGGTTTTTTTAAAAAAAATCAAGGTGGTAGACTCGGAAAAGTGAAGGGTCCAACATTCCGAATATCAGGAGTACAGGTGAATGCCAAACTAGTCATCTCCCATGAAGAAGAATTAATACCTTTGCACAAATCCATTCCTTCTGATCCAGAAGAAAGAAAGCAGTGAGTGATTTATTTTCTCCATTGTAAGATTTTTGTTATTCAATAATTGCAAAATGAATGTGCTGAATTTTTATGGTGTTATTGGCTAGTTTTGAAAAAAAAAAGGAAGAAATAAAGCATATTATTTTGAAGTTCTAATGACTCACGTTTTTCAAAATTAATTTTTCAGTTAAGGCAATTACAAACTTATCATTAGTTATTAACTTTGATGCCAGGTATACTATCCCATGCCACACAAAGGCAGCTCATTTTGATATAGACTGGGGCAAAGAAGATGATTCCAATTTGTTAATTGGCATCTATGAATATGGATATGGAAGCTGGGAAATGATTAAAATGGATCCTGACCTCAGTCTAACACACAAGGTATTTATCTATTTCTGATTCTGTTAACCATTCATGTTGAATTTAATTTATTCTAATTCTTGCTTTTAAATTATGTTGGAAATAATGGAAATCTGGAAACCAAGGCACTAGCTGGTTGTGTGACCTTGGTGCGTTTAGAAGATGCTTTGCATGAAAGGATCAAATTTAAATGATTTCTGAGATTTTGCGTTACTGTGAAATTATATGTTATTAAGGCATTAGGTGTATTATTTTTCAAATTACGAGGTTAAAAGTCTTATTCCATCATTAGCTTTAAAAAAATTTTTGATGCATAATAGATGTACATATTTTTGGATGCATGTGATAATTTGATACAATCATATAATATATAAAGATGCAATCAGGGTAACTGGAACATTTATCACCTTAAATATTTATCTTTAGGAACATTTAAGTGATTCTTTTCTAGCTATTTTATAATGTATAGATTATTGCTAACTGTAGTCACCCTACTCACCTATCAAACACTAGGTCTTATTTCTTCCATCTAACTATATATTTGTACCCATTCATCATTAATTTTATTATTCCAGTAAGACAAAATCCTTAAAATCTTTTATATTTATTTTTAAAAAACATCGGCATTGTAGTATTTTTGGTCATTTGGTTGCACTGTGCTAGCTGAAATCCTTTTTTTTTTTTTTTTTTTTTTTTTTTTTTGCCTAAAATGGGAAACACTGGGAGAACTTCCTTATTGTTTATCCTGTGTGTTGGGAACCTTTAGATATTGGTGCTTTGTCATTTGTTACTGTGAAGAAAAAATTAAGTAGTCTAGATTCCCCTGTAAAACTTTCCTCCCAGTGTATGCTTTAGGTCTTCTTCTAGAAGGATGACATCTTGTAGTCTAGGAATTTCTGTGTACATTATATATAAGTACACTTTTACTGAGAAGGGAAGGTGTTTAAGGATTATATAACATTTAATAGTGGATGTTAAGTACACTTTTGTATATTTGAAGGAAATTTACAACCTTATGCTTTCTATTTTCATTTTGAAAGATAATCTGAGGGTTTTTGAAGTTTAGAATTCATTCTCAGAAAAATTAAATTTTTGGCTCTGGCATACGTATAAAAAATACATTTTGCATTGAGTTTATTCCTACAAATATTAATAATTGAAACTTGTTGGTGAACTATATATATATTTAAATGGTTAAGCATTTTTTAGCCAGTACATTTCTCATGTTATTTATTAAGACAATCTGAAAAAATTTATTGCTTTTTCAGATTCTTCCAGATGATCCCGATAAAAAACCACAAGCAAAACAGTTGCAGACCCGTGCAGACTACCTCATCAAATTACTTAGTAGAGATCTTGCAAAAAAAGAAGCTCTTTCTGGTGCGGTAAGTTAAAGCCCACATGCCTAAGACCAGTTTACTTTTTAGTAAGGTAAATTTTGTTTACTTCACCATGCTAAACATCTGAAGTCAATATGAGCTTATATAAATGGATTTTTCTGTAATTAAGTAGTTTTATTTGATGTTGCCATATTTAAATTTTACCTTAAATTATCTCAGCATACATGTTAAAACTGATGAATCATAGCTTTCAGAAGTAGGATTCTGTTTTTTTTTTCTAGTTTTAGAGAGGGATAGAGAAAACTCGTTTAGCGTGCGGAGTACTTTTTGAGAAGTCAAGCCTTACATAGCCTACATGACTGTTTTACTTGGAGTCATTAGAATGCTTAAGGGACAGCGTCATAGGTTGCCAAGCTTACTGAAAAAGAAGGAAAAAGACACCAAAAAGGAGGTGATTGGAAACTTAGAGCAACTGTTAGAAGTTTACCTGTGACCATAATGTCAATAACTACCTGTGTAGCGTTAAAAATCATTCCTAATGCAGTCTCTTGTGCTATAGAATTAAGCTGAAGGCCATAATAATCTCAGAGGGTAAAAAATTTGTTTCTACTTCTCTCTGATCCTTTTTTTAAAGGAATAATAATGGCTAGTATTTATTATTTACATTAATATTATATTTGACTCATTAAGTTATATCACCTTTATTGAGTTTCTGATGTTGGTACAGCTTATTACCAATAGACTAAGGATCAGGTAGGAATATGTGTTCTAGCCCTTGGATTTAATGTTTATGAAGTTTTTAAAAATGAAATCTGTAGAATTGGTTAAAATTAAAATAATGATTTTTAGGGAAGTTCAAAGAGGAGAAAAGCAAGAGCTAAGAAGAATAAAGCAATGAAGTCTATAAAAGTGAAAGAGGAAATAAAGAGTGATTCTTCTCCTCTGCCTTCAGAGAAGTCTGATGAAGATGATGATAAAGTAAGAATGTGTTTTAGAACAACAACCTTTTCTATGGAAAGGGAATATGGCATGTTTTTGTGTACTTTACATTTAAAATTTATATTTTAGGTACCGAAGTCTGTGTGTGTGTGTGTGTGTGTGTGTGTGTGCGCGCGCACGTGCGCACGCACTTATAGTTCATAACAGTCTCAATTATAGAACAGAATTCTAACTGTCCAGTAGATATTATATAGCACTAGAGGCATAGAGCAAAGGTCCTTCCTTTTCAAACATTTGCCAATTTGATGAGCTTCTGTCTCTTTTAATTGTATTATGAACTTGAATGGGACTGGCTTACTTTAGTTTATAGGAAGGTAAACATTGCATGTATCATTATTAGGGGGATTCTGGGCTCTTTCAGAATCCACATACATGCAATCTGTAGTCATATGAAGAAAAATTAGTCGTTGTTAAAATTTGGTTAGTAATACATTGGCCATACTTGCACTTTCCAGGATGAGATCAGTTCTGTGAAACATCCAAATAAAAAAATTAAAACAGAAAGAGACAGTGAAGAAAAACCTGAGCCAGATGTTTATATAAAGAAGGAACCAGAAGAAAAGAGGGAAGCAAAAGAAAAGGAGAATAAAAAAGAACTTAAAAGGGAGATAAAAGAAAAAGAGGATAAGAAAGATATAAAGGAAAAAGATTTTAAAGAAAAAAGAGAAAACAAAGTAAAAGAAGCTATACAGAAAGAAAAAGACATAAAGGAAGAAAAGGTATGCAAATCATAATAAAAAATGTAGAAAGTAAAAACAATCAGCATATTTACATTTTAGGAGACTAAATTGCATATCAGCCCTTATTAGTCTCAATAACTGAGTTCTTCAGAAGCATGTTTGGGTATGCAGTAGAGGAGAATAGTAGGTCTGAACACTCTTTAATGCTTTACCTTCAGAGTAACATTACAGAGTAGCTTTGATTGTTTCCCCAAATAAAATTGGGGAAAAAAACAAATTAAAATAGATGAGGATATTCAATGAGAATGAGCACTTGTAGAATAAAATGAGACAGTAATTATTTTCTGGAAGTGTTAGTCATTTTGCCTTTGTTGCTATTGGGGTTTTGTTTTTGTTTTCTTTTCACTTTTTCTTTAGTTGAGTGAATCCAAGTCTGATGGTAGGGAAAGATCCAAGAAATCTTCAGTGTCAGATGCTCCAGTTCATATCACGGCAAGTGGTGAACCAGTTCCCATTTCTGAAGAATCTGAAGAGCTGGATCAGAAGACATTCAGCATTGTAAGCCTTAGACTTTCTGATTATTAGTATTAACTCATAAAACATTTAAGTTGAAGTTTGTCATTTATAGCATTTAATTTAGAACTGCATTTGAATTTATTGTAGATTGATAAAAGCAATGTATTTGAAATTTGAAGGGTGTCTTTTTTTTTTTTTTTTTTTTCTTTTTTGAGTTAGCATCTCACTGTCGCCCAGGCTGGAGTTCAGTGGTGCAGTCACGGCCCATTGCGGCTTCAACCTCCTGGGCTCAAGTGCCCCTCCTGCCTCAGCCTCTCGAGTAGCTGGGACTAGAGGCATGTGCCATATACCCAGCTAATTTTTAGTTTTTTGTAAAGATGGGGATTTTTTATGTCACCCAGGCTGGTCTCGAACTCCTTGGCGTAAAAGGGAGATAAGCCTGGGCATGGTGGCTCACACCTGTAAACCCAGCACTTTGGAAGGCCGAGGCAGTGGATCACCTGAGGTTAGGAGTTTGAGATCAACCTGGCCAACATGGTGACACTCTACTAAGAAAAAAAACAAAAATTAACTGGGTGTGTTGGCGAGCACCTGTAATCTCAGCTACTCGGGAGGCTGAGGCAGGAGAATTGCTGGAACCTGGAAGGCTGAGGTTGCTGTGAGCTGAGATTGCACCATTGCACTCCAGCCCGGGCCGACAACAGTGAGACTCTATCTCAAAAAAAAAAAAAAAAAAAAAAACAAGGAAGATAAAAGGAGGCCAAGGTGGGCCCAGGTGCTGGGATTACAGGCATGAGCTATCGCACCCAGCTGGTGTCTTAAATTTAGAAGCAACTCGGAAAGACTTTTTAATAAAGACTTTTAAGAAGAGGGGTTTAACAAGTACTTTGAGTGAATTTGTTTTCCTCCAGCTCGTATTTCAAATTTTTAAATTCCCAATGCCATTAAAAAATAAATATGTACACACACACACACACATGTGTAATAGTGCTTCTTATTTATGGTGAAGGACTAGTTTTTTTCCCAGTTTTTTGCAGACCAATATATTTTTTAAAAAATACAAGAAGAATGAAATGTTTCACTAGAAAAGTGAAATAAGAAAAAATTATGTACAAAATATGAGCCTAATGTTTTGTTAGTAGATGCAGTAGCTATAAAGTTGCATTGTCAAATTATGAGTTTCTAAACAGGCTCAGTTTTTGTACCGATGTTGTTTTGGACTGGCAATATCTCTTGTCAAATATACTGATTCTCCATGTTGTCATGCCTTTGCGTTCCTCAAAGTGAGGGAGAAACTATCTGTGCCTTTATTCTAAAGACCTTATTTACTGAAGATAATTATAATTTATGTATTTATTTATAATTTACTCAATGTATGTATTCATAATTTATTTACTGAATATAATTATATACTTATGTAATTACATAATATAACAGTATGTATGTGCTTAATAGTACTGACTCTTGAGGCAGAATGCTATTTGGTAAGTAAGTATGAAGATTAAATGAATTGGTACATGTAAAGTTTACAGATCAGTGCTGTCTTCAGAAAAGCTCAGAAATCGATAAGTGATTGTTGTAGATGTTGTTCCTAAATTCAGACATGTGAAGCAGATAAGAGTGAGACTAAAAAGTCCAATTGCAGAGCAAAACCAGGAAGAAATAATAATGTTAGAGAAAAAAGGGCTGAGTGATACGAGACCGATAATGTAGTTTGGCTTTAACTAGGACTAGGAAATGTTTCCTTACAAGCCACAACTGAAGGAAACACTTATAGTCTGATATATAGATGTGTCATGTTTATATATAGTTACAATATACACAAATTTATATATAAATATATATTCCTATATTTCCTTTTTAGAGATTTCTAGCATCTGAATCTTTTATACTAGTTGGAGCAGTTAACATACTTCAGTCACTTGTTAGACTTGGGTGTCAGCTTTATCACTAGTATTAATCAAATGCTATACTTCAAAGAGGGAAAATTTCACCTTCTAAAATTATATTTGTTTTCAACCCATTATGTCCTTCTAGATCCCCAGCTTATCCTCTTGTCCTACTTTCTCTTCTTTTGCACCGTGACTAGACAGTGTTGATTTAATGAACCCACTAATGTATTTCCTACTGATTCCACAACATGCCCTAATATAGTTCAACTATTGTTCATGCTCTTTAAATATATTGGTTTTTTACCATCCTCTTGTTCTCCCTACTTTGAGCTGTTGACATTCTTCCAGTCACTGGGAGTATTGGAGACATTCAAAGCTGCTGCAGCTCCTATCTTCCATTTTATTTATTTGAGCCATATTTTTTATCTCTGGACTTTTATTTTTATCTCCTCTGCAGGTTCACAGGCTGGAATTTCTTCTCTCTTTTTCAAGGGTAACCGTTTTTGTTTTTGTTTTTTGTTTTTGTTTTTGTTTTTTACCTACTCTGTATTGGGTGGGAGTCAGGGGAGGTGGTATTCTTTAGCTTTTTTGAAGTGAAAACATTAAACTTTTCACTGGAGCTACTTCCCCTTCTCTATGTGGTCTACTAATGAATTAGGTGAAATTGTATCTCTTGCCACCTTTTTTTCCCCCCACATTTCTTTTTTAATCTTCGGACTTTTTCATGTAACTGCTGGAATGGAAAAATTCCTGCTGTGCACAATGCATGAATTTCCTCTCCATTAATCTTAAATGATATTGTGTGTATCATGGAAATGAAGACTGGAATAGTTCTTAAACGTGGACTCTGTAGCCAGACTTTCTGGCCTGTATAGGATTTTACCTCTAAGTAAGGAATTCCATTGTATTTGGGAATAGCTCTAAGTAATTATGAAATTCAATGGCCTTTTCTAGGTCGTCACTCTCTAAACATATTTGCTTCATTTGGCACCTTGATTTTCCTTTTACTGGTTGTCTTCCTAAATGACAGTATAATTTAGCAGTCAAGAAAGAGCAGAGTCTGAGGTCAGTTAGAGCTGGGTTTGACAGATGTCATTGTATTCTAAGTTTCAGTTTCTTCTATAAAATAGATTAAATACTATTGCAAAGGACTATTGTCAGGGTCTGTTCTTATTGCTTCCATCCTACTCATACCTCAGTTTGTACTCCACATAGCAACCAGAGTAATCATGACTTAGAGGGAGAATAAAGTCACACCGTTATATTTCTGTGCCTACAACACTCCAGTGGCTTTCCATCTCATTTAGGAGAAAAGATTCTTAGCCTGAAACCAGCCTCGTAGCATCTAGTCACCTCCCATCGTTGCCGGCCACTTCTCTGACTTACTTGGTTCCAGCGACACTGGCATTCATACTTTTTTAAAAAACATGTCAAACAAGTTTTAGGACTTTCATGTTTGTTTTTTCCTCTACTTGGAATGGCTTGCTCCTTCATTTTCTTTAGGTGTCCTCTCAAACATTGCCCTTCTTTGAAATCTTGCTTATGATAAGATAGGAAGCTCCCTGCTCTTTCTTCCTTTATTTTTCTTTATCACAGTTGTTGTCATCTGACATACTATTTCTTGTTCATTTACTGGCTCTCTTATACTAGAGTCCAGGTTCCATAAAGGCAGGATCTGTTTTACTTACAGCTCTATTTCCTGCATCTGGAACAATGCCTAGAACATAGTATGTACTAAACTTACATATGTTGGATAAATTATTTTCTAACAGAATATAAACTGCCAAAGTTGAACAAAAAATAGGAAACATAAAAGCAATGAATAAACTAAAAGTTAGAAAGGAAATTAAAGATTTTCCCTTTCTTAAAGCATCAGATCTGACTGAATTCTAATTTTATTTATAATAAGAGAGGTCCTTCAAAGCAGTGGTGTGAGGATTTATTATTTTATTTTTTTGAAATAGGGTCTCACTTTTGCCTAGGCTGCAGTGCCAGTGGCATGATCACAGCTCATTACAGTCTCCTGGGTTCAAACAGTCCTCCCACCTTGACCTCCTGAGTAGCTGGGACTACAGGTGTGCGCCACCATGCTTGGCTAATTTTTTTTTTTTTTTTTTTTTTTTTTTTGGTATAGAATCAGGATCTCACTGTTGCCCAGGCTGATCTCAAACTCCTGGACTCAAGTGATCCTCCCGCCTCAGCCTCCCAAAGTGCTGGGGTTACAGGCCTGAGCCACCATGCCTGGCCCAATTTCTTAATAAATGATGTTGGATTATCTAAATGCATTGTCTGATGTTGACCCATCATCCTTATATTCCTAGAACTAAACCAGCTTGCTTTCTGTGAATATGATGTTAAATTTTTATTTGTTTTTGCATTTACAAATTTTATCTGACGGTTGCCTTGTTAGTAATATTTTTATTCTGATTTTGGCATAAGGTTATAGTGCCTATTGCTACAATAAAACATGCAATTCTTAATATGTCATCCTTTTATTAGCATGTCAGGAATGTACAGGCCAAGGAAAAAGTTACCCTTTGACCCTCTACTCCCCAACCACCCAAAATATGAAGAGCAAGCCATTATTGCCACCTTCTGTTATCACAAAGGTTTGGAAGAATACAGTTTATATATCTAGCTATATTGATTTTAATAGTTTTGCTAAAATCATTTTACCCTGTATTTAGTGGATAGTAGGGTATTAAGTTATACTCTGAAATATTTTACTATCTTTTAATAGTCTATATTTAAGACTCCTTAGAATAGTGTGCTACAATATAAAAAATAACCATTTTTGTAGAAGCTAAGTAAAATCCAAAACTTTTACTTACTCAAAGACTGATTTTAAATGATAACAGAAAGGCTTGCTCTCCTGAAGAAAATCTAAAGGGGAAAGAACCCTGATGTATAAGATTTGTGAAGTGAGATTTAATTGCTTATTTTGCTATCAAACAGTGTTATAATATTATACTCATGTAAATATCATTGAAGGAGGTAGACCTTGTTGAATTTAGGTTTTTAATACATGTGTTTATATTCTTGTTTTCTCATTTTAAAGTGTAAAGAAAGAATGAGGCCTGTTAAAGCAGCTTTGAAACAACTTGATAGGCCTGAGAAAGGCCTTTCAGAAAGAGAACAACTAGAGCATACTAGACAATGTTTAATAAAAATTGGAGACCATATCACAGAATGTCTAAAAGAGTATACAAATCCTGAACAAATTAAGCAATGGAGAAAGTAAGTGATACACTTTTCAGGAAGTGTTAAATTTATATTATATAACTGTCTTTTTTTTTTTTTGTTTTCTTTCCTGATTCTGAAGTTTAGGTAACAAGATAATTTTTAAAGAGGTAACCTACAGATGATTGTTTTAATTTTTCTCCCTTTAATGTTAAATTTTTTTATTTATGAGTGGTTACTTATGTATCATGGTATGTAACAAGTGGCATCTCTGCCTTTAAAGAAATAGTGAAAGCTGTTTCATTAAAATTCAGATTGCATTTTATTTGAAAAAGTCTTTGCAATTTACCAAATTATTATCAGTAATATCTTTTGAAGTTGGTGTTCCCACAAAGTTTATTGTTGCTTGAATTTAGCAATTTACCTCCTGGATACATGTATAAAGATGTAAAAATTAACATCCTCACGCAATGTAAAATGCAAAAAATTAGGAAAATAAAGGTAATGTAGTGCAAATTGTTCTTAAAGCTAAATTTAGCTAATCTAAAGGATTATATTAAAATTCTTCTCTACTTTTATTAGTGTAAAAATGCTTGGCTTCTATCTTTTACATTTAACTGGAACTATAAAATTTGAAAGCCTGGCAACTTCTCTTTTAAATAATGCCTTTTGCCAAGAATGGGTTATCATTTTGGAGGACCACTGAATGAAAATACTTAGTTGTATCTTCACCAATTTTTTGAATCCTTATAATTAGGGCTTAGATTTTTGAGGTTCAAAGAGTTAGAATGTCTACCTTTTCTGCTTTCTAGATGAGAAATAAGGAACATCTTATTGAAATTACACAGTGAATTTGGTTGAAAGTAAATTTAAAAATGAGCAAAGAATTAAAGAATTTGAAATAAAATTTTAAGTAAAATAAAAAAAGTTACACAGTGACTAATACAAATAGGTACCATTTCAAATTCGGTTTGTTATAAGGAAAGGGTGGGGAAACCTTTGGAAGAAGAGAGACTAATAGCCAGGAGACTTAACTTTTTCATTGTGTTCTGTCACTTTACATCCTAAGGCTGTGCTCTCACCTCACTTTTCTTTACTCAGTTGGGCAGATTACCTTTTTGGTTTTCCCCTGTTTGGTTCTCAGTTACTTTGATTTCATATTCCTTATTGTTCATTCCTGCTGCCACTCTCTCTGGTTAAACCAAATTCCCTTAAGGGGGAGATGGGGAAGGAAAGAGGGAAATATCCCATAAAGCAAAATAGCTTTTGCTGTCTTGGAGAAATTTTATTTTGATTTATTTATTTTTTTGAGATGGAATCTTACTCTGTTGCCCAGGTTGGAGTGCAGTGGCGAATCTCAGCTCGCTGCATCCTCCGCCTCCTGGGCTCAAGCTATCCTTCCACCTCAGTCTCTTTGGTAGCTGGGACTACAGGCCCACGCTACCAGGCCTGGCTAATTCTTGTATTTTTTGTAGAGATGGGGTTTCACCATGTCAGCCAGGCTGGTGTTGAACTCCTGACCTCAAGGAATCTGCCTGCCTTGGCCTCCCAAAGTGCTGGGGGGAATTTTTTTTTTATTTTTAATGCAGAAACAAGAAAAAAAAGTACCTTATATTAAGACCTATCATTGGCTGACCCGATCCCCTCAAGAACAGTCATTGTGGGCTGGGCACAATGGCTCATGCCTATAATCCCAGCACGTTGGGAGGCCAAGGTGGGCGCATCACAAGGTCAGGAGATTGAGACCATCCTGGCTAAGACGGTGGTCTACTAAAAATACAAAAAAAAAAAAAAAAGTAGTCGGGCATGGTGGCATGTGCCTGTAGAACCAGCTACTCAGGAGGCTGAGGCAAGAGAATCGCTTGAACCCAGGAGGTAGAGGTCGCAGCTATTTTGCTTTAAGGGATATTTCCCTTTCTTTCCTGAATGAAAGAAGATAGAGATCTAAACCACAATTACAGAACAGTTGGCATTAAGCAAGTGTTACAGTAGTTACCATAATGATCTTTTTGTTTTTTGCTTACAATTTTTTTCAATATATTTTTTGACCAAATTTCTTAAAAACAACTGAAATGCAAGACTAGTTTTTATTTAAAGATGACTGTAATAAAGTGATGGCCAAAATAGAATGTATATTTGTATTTTGTCTTATTAAATATGCCTCATTCTAGCTGATCCTTTTAATAGTATTGTAGAAAATGTGAACAGATATTTACTATTCCATTTTACAGAAGAAAAAAATGGATTCAGATGAAAAGCATTTTAGGGCTGGGACTGGAGAATGACAAAGGAAACACCTAGGACCTGAACTGTTTAAAAGAGGCACTAATTCTTAGGTTTGTGTAAGTGCTGACGCTTGCCTCAGCTCTGGTGCTTTGTTCAAGATCAGACAGTCATTCGGATGATATAATTAAGACCAGAATCTGATTCCTGACTAGATTTTTTGGGGGGAAAATATATTTTTATAAGGAATTTACTTAGGAACAAAAAGGTACTTTATTAACTTCCTACCTTTTACCCTTATAAGTTAATCGTAGAATGTAGATATGTTCGAGATAGTCTGTGAATTTATATAAAGGCTAGATGAATTTTCCTTCTTCTGTGGATTTCATTTCAGTAAGGTATCATTCAATATATTCTCAAAGTTCATTTTAAAAATATATTTCAAGGTAAATATTATACCTCTAGTGTATATTTGAATCTTCTAGGGATACTACCCTAACTTAGAACCTAACATTCCTTTTCTTTTTGGAGGTATATTTGACAATTACAGTTCCTTATATATTTAAGGTATACAATTTGATGATTTGATATACACATGCATTGTGAAATAATTACAGTCTCTGATTAATTACTGATGCCTCCCTTGGGATGGGAAGAGATAGCAAACTGTACCTCATTTATGGTGTTTGGTTGTGTTACTCTTGGGACCATTACATTACCATTATTAAGTGACAGTTAACTTTTTAATGCATTATTTAAGACAATTCTTTACAAGCATAATTCATATTATCTGATGGTATTTCCACTCCAGTTATTAACATACCTGTCCCTTATATGCATAATCAGGATCACAATATGAATCTGAGTCACTTCCTGATTTAATTTATGTCTTTGGTGCATTTCAAATTAGGATTGTACTGCTTTTCACCCTAAAGACTATAAAATGAAGCGATTTGGAAGAGAAGTAAAATTTAATGTTTAGTTTCACTGGAGTCTTAGTCATATATGAAGTTTTGAAAAAATGCATAGGAAAATTAATATCCTTAAGAGTTTGTTCCATAGAGGGCTGTGTATGTGTATATGTGTTTGTGCCTGGAGGGAAGGAGTTCCATGAAAAAAACTAAATATTTTCCACCAGACTAACTTAATTTGCCTTTTTTTAAATTCTTCTAGAAACCTGTGGATTTTTGTATCTAAGTTTACTGAATTTGATGCAAGAAAATTACATAAATTATATAAGCATGCTATTAAAAAACGGCAGGAGTCTCAGGTAAACTTGACATCATATTTTTTCCCTGAATTTATATAATTAAAACCTTGAGACATTCTTTTTACAGAGCAGTTTGATTAATAAATACAGAATGAATAAGATAAATTTAAAAAATCACCATTGAACACCACAGTAATGATTGTTGCAGGCGAGATTCACAGAAGAGAGGTAAAATTAATGGGCAAGAAAACAGGATATTGGCAGATCTCCTCTGAAATGTTTATTAGTTATAAAGGGAAAATAATAACTTTATAGAGAAACTTGCCTGACCCACCTTAAACAAGTGATCAAAGTTAATGTCACCAATAGTTAAGACATATCAGCATCATGAACCCTCTGATACTGAGAAAGGTACATCACTTATGTGGAATTCTTGCCAAAAATATATGTGTTATTATGTGAAAATATCAGACAAGCCCTACTTGACGGATATTCTATAAAATAACTGTCTGCTACTCTTCTAAAGTGTTAAGAGCATGCAGTAGACTAAGGAGCTGTCCCAGAGGAAGACGTGACAACTAAGTGTAATATGGGCTTCCAAATCGAATCCCCGAGCAGATAAAGAACATTAGTGGAAAAATGTGAAATCTGAATGAAGTCTGTTCTTCAATTAATAGTGTTATACCAATGTTAATTATTTGGTTTTGATCATTATACTATGTTTGTATAAGATATTAACATTAGGAGAAGCTAGATGAAGGGAACTCAGTATTTTTGCAACCTTTCTGTTAAGTCAATTTATTTCAAAATGAAAAAATATCTTTAAGTCATGGGACAAGTAGTTCATGCTTTAAAAATGGAGATCTATAAATGTCATACATGTATATATACACACATAAACATTCTAATATCTTGTGTGAAGACTTCATTATCAGTATTTTCTAAGAATTATCTGTGCTTTTTTGTAAGTTTGTGAAGTCACCTAAAGATTCTTAACACGTGTGCATTTATTTTAGCAAAACAGTGATCAAAACAGCAACTTGAATCCTCACGTGATTAGAAATCCAGGTATGTAAGCCTTACTGATTGGGAAAATAAATTAAAAAAAATTTTTTTTAAATTTTTGTTTTAAATAAACCAAATGATAAAAAAGGTTCTTACCTTGTTTTTATTTATAAGTACCTTTATATTAAGGAGATACAGTAATTCTGATACATACCTACATTATTATGTAAAATGTATTCTCTTAAACTGTAGTTCATTTTAGTTTATTATCCTTTTAATCATCCTTTTCTCAGTTTCTAGAAATTGTAGAATGACTGTTAAAATGAACAAATATTCTTTTTTATGTAATTTGGAATAGTAATGCATTCTTTCTGTATCAGAGTCACAAAAGTATAGTCTGAGAAAGGAATAGGTCCCATATTTTTTAGTTTTTGTGACATTTCAGAATCAAGCAACCTTTTTTAATTAATCCTTAGTACTGCTTTTATACACCATTTCTAAATGCTTTAACTGCTTGTATTTGGGAACCGATTTTGTTTTGGCAAGGGTTGAAACGAATTCTTGTTATCTATCAACTAAGTTTTTTTTGCCACATTATTTTTAAGGTCATTAATAAAAGTTGTACTTATCTAACAGATGTGGAAAGATTAAAAGAGAATACAAATCACGATGATAGCAGCAGGGACAGTTATTCCTCTGATAGACACTTAACTCAGTACCATGATCATCATAAAGACCGACATCAGGGAGATTCTTACAAAAAAAGTGATTCCAGGAAAAGACCCTATTCTTCTTTTAGTAATGGTAAAGACCATCGTGATTGGGATCACTACAAGCAAGACAGCAGGTAAACTTGGCAGTCACTTTAGAAATTTTGCTTATGCATGTTTTTCTCCTTATCATGATGTTCCTGTATTTGACCTGTCAGCCAATTCAATCTTCATGCAGTCAAAACAAATCTTGTGAAATAAAGGTGTTGTATATAATTAAGAAAAATGTATATATTTTAAGAACTGAATTTCTCTATAAAATGGATTTTGAATTATAAAATTGAGATCAAAATATGTAGTAAGGTGATGTAGGGAGTTGTATGATTATAAATTGCGTGGGGTTCATTGTTCGTTTTGAAGAATATTGGCTCAAATACTCTTTAAAATATAATAAGTGGGATAAAAGCTTGATATAATAGTGATTCAGGTTTGGTTTAGGAAATTTTGCATTCCATATTTTTAAAAAGTCGGGAAAAATTAATATATGTGAACACATCTCATTGAGGTAAAACTTAACCTCAGCAATCTGGAATATTATTGGAACCAGGAAGGTTTTTTGTTTATTGTTTTTTGAAGCCTTTGAACAGTAAGCAACCTCAGTGTAATAACATCAGAATACTTTTTATTCCTTTATTGATAAAGAAGTATTTTCGGTAGTTAATGATCACTACTAAAAGTAAACTTGAAAACTGAGATTTATAGTATTTATGCTTTTATAGTAAGTAGAAGAAACAAATTAGAAGACATCTTTGTATTTTAGTGTTCATTACAATAATTTCTTTGAGAACCTCTGTCAGCACTATGAACACATCAGTTGTAGAATGGCTGTTATTTGAAGGGGTCAAATAATTAAAAGGAAAAGGCAGATTTATAGTATATATTTCACAGGCTTATGCAATATAGTTACAGTTGTGTGTGTGTCAGTTTGGAAAAGGCACTCATTTTAGAGAATAATTCTCATTAAACTGCCACATTTATTTTTTATCAAGCTGTCACATGTTTGTATGGAGTAAATTTCGTAATGATTCATGTGTCGAGTCTTACTATATAACTAGTCAAACTTGAGGAAGCTTTTAATAGGCATCAGCAACCAGTGAAAAATTTTTCAGCATAGACTGCATTCTAGCATTTTTAAACTTTTTCCTGCTTAGAGGTTGGTAAAAGGCTCTGGTCTCAGGAGTATTTCAGATAGTTGTAATAATCTTAATTTCAGCTTCCAGACAATTAAGATGCAGTCATATAAATGATGTGTAAAATAAAAAGCAGCTAATTATCTAAAATAGCCATGTGAAATTAGATGCTATTTTAGGGGTTTTGTATGGTTCGCTTTAGTTTTATGAATCAAATAGTTTTTCCAAAGAGATATATCCAGTGATTTTTGAGTTAATTAAGTAAGTTTTATAATGCAACACTGAATTTCTATACAATTAAAAACATGTTTTAAGGTATTTTTATGTTTTTTAGTTATCTTTTATTTGGAAACATTTTAATTTGCATGATTTGTCTAAAATTCTCAATTTTTCTTTATTAGATATTACAGTGACAGAGAGAAACACAGAAAACTGGATGATCACAGGAGTAGAGATCACAGGTCAAATTTGGAAGGAAGTTTAAAAGATAGATCTCATTCTGATCATCGTTCTCACTCAGATCATCGGTTACATTCAGACCACCGGTCAAGTTCTGAATATACGCACCATAAATCTTCCAGGGATTATAGGTATCACTCAGACTGGCAAATGGACCACAGAGCTTCCAGCAGTGGCCCTAGGTCACCACTAGATCAGAGATCTCCTTATGGCTCCAGATCTCCATTTGAACATTCAGTTGAACACAAAAGTACACCGGAGCATACCTGGAGTAGTCGGAAAACATAACAAAAACTGATACTTCGTCTTTCTGGACTTTTCTTTTAGCCATATATCATAAACCAACACAGTAATTGCCTTACATGACTTGAAAGATATAAACAGATCTTCTATCAGTAGCAGTATTGTTACTTCTTTCCAGGATGCAAGGTCTATTATCCCAACAGAAGAGAAAATATTTTTATATTTAAGGATTATGCTGCACTGTACTACAAAATTGTAGTACTTTTTTTTGTTTTCTTTTTTAAAGAAATGGAAAATGTTTACTATTACAGGGACCTCAACACTGCCCTCCCATACAGGCTGGATAAAACTGTTTTTAAGTCAGTGATTTTAGACTGACCTCCATTTAAATTATGTTTATATATGAACTTTACTCTGACCTGTGATCATGTTTCAGGAAGGAATGAAAGAGAGTTCTTTCTTAATAAAGAAAAACACTCAAGGACTTTGTTCATTTCCAAAGCTACTTGTTTACATTGTACACTGCGACCACCTTGCCGCTTTTCATCACAAGCTTGAATATTTAAATTCTGTACTTATATCTGTAAAATAGCCAGGAATTTCCTGTTTGTGATCTATTATGCCTTTTTACAAAAAAAATGGCTGTAAATTATTGTAAATATTAAAGGAACTTTCCTTACTTCCTTCCCTTTCTCAGGCTTTTTTTGACTGTTCCTTTCCCTACCAACTCAGGCCTTCTTATTAAAAAAAAAAAAATCAGTGTAATAACACTTTTTAATGATTTGTCTTGATGGAATCATTGTTTAGAATGTAAAAATGGGGAAAGGGGCCACTTAATTCCATTAGTCCTCTTTTTATACTGAATATTTTATTAGATACATGTTATTCCCTTTTTTTTCCTTTTTTAGTCAATATTGTGTTTGTAGTTTTAAAAAATGGCGAGATATGTAAAATCTAAACTGCATGCTCTGGAAACACTTTTTTCAGATGCATCTGGTTTAAAAGGGTAGGTGTATAAACACTTTTCAGAATCCAAAACGGCCAAAAGTTATTGTAAATCCGTTTGTTTTCCCGTTTTATGTGGGCAATAATGTCAAATGTGCTATGCAGCCAGGTTAACATTTTAGATAAACTTGATTGACTTTTAATATAAACTGTTACAATGCACACTGATTGTATATAAAAACGTTATATATGACAAATTAAATTTAAGAAAAAGGATATGTGGGCTCCTGTAATTTTCTGCTGCATTCTTACTCCCTCAAGCACTTACCACCACCACCACCGCCCCCTACCCCCGTTTTTAAGTAACATTTTGCTGCCAGAAAAAGTATTTTGGTAAGCAGTTGAATATTTGTAATGTGTAGCATTACAACTAAATCTGTTTTGGAGACTATGAATATTCCTATGAAGTAAAACTTAGGTCATAGACATTTTTGTTGGCCCCTTTTGGCTTCCTACAGATATTATTATGGGATGCTTTATATTTATTCACAGATTTTTATTTTGTTTTATATTCAGCGGGAAGTTTTTAAGTCATGTGGCACACATTCTTGCATGTATGCTTTGATGTAACAAATTTGAATCTTTGACGAATATAAGTATGTGGACATAATTTCTATAGTATTGCTATGTGTGTCACTGTTAATTAGCTGTGGGAGCAACCTACAGATATTTGTCCATAGGTGTATTTTTTAATATTTTCCTTTGTCCAATTAGGTTTATGTGTATAAAAGCTTGTGGGTTTTTTTGCTTTTTGTTTTGTTTTTTGCAGTAATTTCTCTTTCTGATACAGTTACCCTGAAGAATAATAATGCTTTGTTTCTTTTCTGGTATATGAGAGAACATGTGAGGGAGTAGCTCAGTTTTTTAAACATCTAATTTATAATTAAATATAAAAGTAATGAAGGTAGTCCTGGCACACATTTTTGAAACTTTTATCACTTTTCTCTACATTTAGTATGACTATTTTATTCCACAAGATAGCATTTGACTAATTCATAATGCTTAAGTCATAAGATGGTGGCTGGCATTTTTTAATTTATTACTAAAAGCTAAGATATTTGCATTATATTGTGCAAATTTCACAGAACAATGTTGCATTTTCTGAGATAAGGCTCTAATTTTTTAAATAGTGCTACATTTAGTTGAAAGTTTCAGTCAGCTAGTTAGCTGAGTTGAATGAAAAATATAGAACTGTATGTACATTTATCAAATGATAAAATATGTTCATTTTTGTAAGAAATCAGAAAAATTAAGACGCAATGGTGAAGAACATTAGTACATAAATATAGCAGAACATTCTCCATAAAATATTCTGTTTTCATTCTGCTTTGTTATTTTTATCCAGTTATGTTTAATTTTTCAAGGGTGAGAGATTATGTATAGTACTGTACCAATTAACCTTCCACTTTTATACAATAAATAATTCTTACTAAAAGCAATAGCCTGTTTGCTTATAAAGATATTCTTTGTTTAGAGTATGTTAGAAATTAATTTTCAGACTATGGAAAATGAGTTTGAATAATTTTATTTTCAGAGTGAGTAGCTTAATGAGAACCTTTTTAATTTTATGTAATATAAATTATAATTTCTTTTTGTAGTTAATATGAAAAGGTTGAGTAGGTTATTCATTTTCATGAAGTTTATCAAGAATATGCTCTAGGAGTAAATGGCCTGATTTTTACTCTACCCCATTACTATTTCTAACTAGAAAATAATCTTTGCACCCCAAATTAGCTGTCATAGCTTTATAAATACAAATAGCTTTATAAATACAACAGCTTAAAAAGGGATAGGGATTTGGAAGAGCAACTAATTTTTAAATACAGGATTTTAAAAAACGACTTTCAGCTTCATAGGAAACTGCAAAAATATTTTAAAATATTTCTGAGTTAATATGTAAAAGCACATTAATATAGATGCCTCTATTAAATATACATTAAATACTCAATTTGAAAATGCAGACAAAACTTAGATACATTTTAGCATTGTACAATAATTGTAGTGAATGGAGGATGTTATAGAGGACACAACTAGATAGTAATGCGACAAATATTTTGAGATAGTGTCAAAATGTGTGTGAAAATTTCTAAGATTCAATTATAGATATTTGGAAGAAAGTTTGAGATTATATTTTCTGACAATAACTAGTAATTGATTTTGTAGAACACTTCATGCTAATTTTCTTTAAAAAATTAGGACCTAATAGGTTGACTCCATTACAGAAATTCATTGAATTCTCATAGGAAGATCTAGGAATAGGAAATCTTAGCTATGGTGTAAAAGGATGAAAGATGAGATTACTGGGGAAAGTAGGATTAATGAAAAATGTTAAAAGGTTGTTCCAAGTACCTATACAAATTCTCTAATGGGGCTTCATGTGCTGGATTTTCTACACTAAAAGGCCACTAACCACTCTGCCCTTTAGCTTAAAAAAAAAATTACATCTATATTTGAAACAAAATTTGTAGTTCCAACTCCCAAATGAATGAAATTATTTTAATTCGATGTTCTACTCCACATTTGAGTCCTGATCTAAATATGAAACTAAAGAGGTATGAACAGTCTAAAACTCCTAATGATTCTATTAAATGAGCTAAGGATATTGTTTCCGTTGGTGATATGCAAACTTTATGTGACTGAAAAATGTGTGATGTATTATCATTTCATTATTGTTGACTAATATTAATTAGATTTCCAATCTAGAATGAGCTATGGAACTGCCACTAGTTACTTTTTTTTATTCCTTCTGTTTACTTTTCAAATCTTTGATTTGTCTCTAGTGTTCTGCAGGCTGACTATATTAAGTCCTGGTGTGGTGGTTTTATTTATTTATTTTTTTTAAATTTCTTTTTTTATCAGCTGTTGCCTCTTACCCACTTCTTTTTACTTTCTGGAATCCTATATCATTGCTATCATAAGACTTAATTTCTGATCTCTCTCTTTCTCAACAGCTGTACTATTTTTCTCTTCCTGTTTCTAGTGCTATCTTCAGCTTCAACCACTACCCTGAACTCATCTCCACTTAGACAGCTAATAGATATGTAATATTAAAATATGTAAAACCAAACTCAACCCTTTTACACTAAGACATTAAAAGTTTTAAAAACTGCAAGGCTGGGTGCAGTGGCTCACTCCTGTAATCCCAGCACTTCGGGAGGCCGAGGCAGGCAGATCACTTGAGATCAGGACTTTGAAACCAACCTGGTTAACACGGTGAGACCCTGTCTCTACTAAAAATACAAAAATCAGCTGGGTGTGGTGGTATGCGCCTGTAATCCCCACTACTCGGGAGGCTGAGGCAGGAGAATCACCTGAACCGAGGAGGCAGAAGTTGCAGTGAGCAAAGATCACACCACTACAGCATGGGCGACAGAGTGAGACTGCCTCAAAAAAAAGAGAAAGTTTTAAAAACTAGGGTCTTTGATAAATGCATTCACAGCTTTCTGCCTAAGGCACTTCTTAGCTATTTCTGTTCTTTTTGCTTCACTTCAGCCACTCCTGTCAATGCAAAGAAAATACTTCTTGGCCTTTGCATTATTGTCCCTCTATTAAAAAATGCTTGGCCGGGCGCGGTGGCTCACGCCTGTAATCCCAGCACTTTGGGAGGCCGAGGCGGGTGGATCATGAGGTCAGGAGATCGAGACCATCCTGGCTAACAAGGTGAAACCCCGTCTCTACTAAAAATACAAAAAATTAGCCGGGCGCGGTGGCGGGCGCCTGTAGTCCCAGCTACTCGGGAGGCTGAGGCAGGAGAATGGCGTGAACCCGGGAAGCAGAGCTTGCAGTGAGCCGAGATTGCGCCACTGCAGTCCGCAGTCCGGCCTGGGCGACAGAGCGAGACTCCGTCTCAAAAAAAAAAAAAAAAAAAAAAAAAAAAAAAGCTTATTTGTGACTTGTACAAAACTCGTTTCCTCAATTCAGGTTTCTTTCAGCTCAAATGTCATTTCAAGTCTTGAAATTAGTACCCTGCCCCATCATTTTTAAAAATCCCTTATCTTGCATTTTCTTCTAGCATTACCACAGCTTATATATTTGGTTCATTTGCCATTGACTGCTTCCCCACTAGAATATAAGTTCCATTAGGGCAGGGACTTTATTTTGTTCACTGCTATATTCTCAGTACTTAAAACAATGCCTTGTATCAATTATATTTTCATTTTTTTTAATGTCCTTCCCGGAAATGCTATGCCCTATAAATGGCCAACATTACCAAACTTTTTGTCTTACCGTTGTTAACCTGATTTGTTAGTATTGGAAATTATCGTATGCCTTACTATCTCATGGATTACTTGAGTCTGTTTACTAACTTCCAGTTTTTAAACTTGACTGATAAAAATCACCGGAGGTACTTGAGAAATATAGAAAAACATAAGCCTCATCTCTAGGAATTAAAATGGCAGGGAAATGCTCCAAGTAATGGGGCTTTAATATCTCTTTCATTTACCTGAATAATTAATATAGAGGTTAATTCCACTGTTATAAATAATACAGTAATGCTTAAATGAAAAACTGGTTTCTGTAACTATATGGCTACTTAGGAAATATAATTGATACTTTGCGAAGAGATATGCAGAGATGTGGTATATAATAGGAAAATATAAAACATTCTGATTTGTCTATTGCTTTACCTTTCTTATGAACCTTCTTCATTATTATTTTTTAAATTAGAAGTGAAGTCTTGCTATATTGCTCCAGGCTGGTATCGAACTCCTGGGATCAAGGCAATCTTCCTGCCTCAGCCTCCCAAGTAGCTGGGATTACAGACTCAAGCCACAGTGACTGGGTTGTCTATTCCCTTATCTTTCGAAAGGAAATATGTTTTTAGGTATCATGATACACTATCTTTCTTAACGCACAAGAACACGACTTGTAAAAACACTAAGAGAAATATGTTGTATTTCCAATGTTTTTAAAGTAAAATTGCAAAAGCAAAAAATATCCCCTCTCTTGCTGTTACTTGCTAGGTTTTTCCCATTAAGAAATTTACATCATGTTTACCCAAGTTAAATTCACCTTCTCTAGGTGTACAGCATGATGAGTTTTGACAGATTATGCAGTTGTTGTAACTATCAGCGTACTTAAGATATAAAATATTTCCATCTTATCAAGTAAATTCTCTTTTGCTCCTTTCCCCTATACCAAGCCCTTGGCAATCACTGATTTGTTCCTATAGTTTTATTTTTCCCATAATGTCATATAAATGGAATCATATTGTATGTTGCCCTTTGAGTTTGCCGTTTGCTTAGCATGATGCTTTTGTAATTATCCATGATTTTGCATTTATCAGTAGTTCATTTCCTTTTATTGCTGAGTGATCCTCCTTTCCCAGGTTGGAGTGCAGTGGCACAATCATGGCTCACTGCAGCCTTGACCTTTTAAGTATGTCTGTGATTCATTTTGAGTTGATGTTTTGTATGTTGTGTGGAACACACAAAGTTGTGGGTTTTGTTATTGCTTAAATATTATATATCCAATTTTTTCAGTACCATTTGTTAATAAGACTATCCTTTTTCCACTACATTTCTTTATTATTTATTTATTTATTTTGAGACGAGATCTCACCATATTGCCCAGGCTGGTCTCAAACACCCATGCTCAAAGCCGTCCTCCCAACTAAGTCTTTCAAGTAGCTAGGACTATAGGTGAATGCCACCTTGCCTGGCTTATTTGATTTTTATTGAAAATCAGCTGTTCATATATGTGTGAGTCTGTTTCTGGGCTTTCCATTCTGTCCCATTAATTTATATTTCTGTCTTTATGCCAACACCACACTATGGTGATTACTGTAGTTTATAGTAAACCATAAAATCAGGTAGTCGTGAGTCCTATTTTGCTTTTTAAAAATTGTTTTGGCTTTCTCTTTATTTAATATTAAAAAAATTGGATCTCAGGCCGGGCGTGGTGGCTCATGCCTGTAATCCCAGCACTTTGGGAGGCTGAGGCAGGCGGATCAGAAGGTCAGGAGTTTGAGACCAGCCTGGCCAACATGGTGAAACCCCGTCTCTACTAAAAAAACACAAAAATTAGCCAGGCATGGTGTTGTGCGCCTGTAATCCCAGCTACTCGGGAGGGTGAGGCAGGAGAATTCCTTGAACCCGGGAGGCAGAGGTTGCAGTGAGCTGAGATCATGCCACTGCACTCCAGCCTGGGCGGCAGAGCAAGATCCATCTCAAAAAAAAAAATTGGATCTCAATGAACTACAATGTTTTGTTCTAAATTAGAAAGCATGCTGGGATTTTGAGATTGCATTGTTTACATAATCAATTTGGGAAATACAATTTAACAATATTGAGACTTCTAGCCCATGAACACAAAATATGTCTACATTATTTAGGTATTTTGATTTTTCTTATCAGCATATAGCAGTTTTTTGGTGTATGCAATCTTGTAACATATATTGTTACATTTATCTTTGGTAAATTATATTTTTGTGCTATTTAAATTTTTTTATTTTCAGTTTTTAAGTGCTCATGTTTTGGATTTGACCTTGTGTCCTTTGACCTTGTGTCCTCTGATCTTGCTCAATAACTCATTGGGTCTAATAATTTTGTTCCAGATTCTTTGAGATTTTCTGCATAAATGATCATGTCTTTAGTGAAAAGTTTTATTTGTGCCTTAGGTTCTTCTATGCACACGATCACATCTGCAAATAAAGACAGCATTAATTCCTCTTTGCAATCTGTATACTTTTTTTTTCTTGCTTTACTGCACTAGGTATGACCACCTATACCATGTTGACATGGGGGAGAGGTGGAGAGTGGATATCCTGGCTTATCCCTTATCTTACAGTGGAAGCATTTAGCCTTTCTTCATTATTATCTTAGCAGTTAAGTTTTTTAATAGATGCCTTTTATCAGGTTTTGTAATTTGCCTTCTACATTTTTAGAGAAGTTTTATCATAAATGTTGTCTGTTGAGGTGATATGTTCTTTCACCTTAACTTTTAAATGTCTGTATGTTCTGTAGTGATCTTTCCTTTTTTTTTTTTTTTTGTTTCTGATATTAATCATTCATCTCTTTTTCTTATTCAGCCTAACTAGAGGTTTGCCAATTTTGTTGATATTTTTAAAACCAGCTTTTGATTTTATTTTGTATTGCTTGTCTTTTTATAAATATATATATTTTAAGGCTTATTTATTTATTGAGACACAGAGTCTTGCTTTGTTGCCCAGGCTGGAGTGCAGTGGTGCCATCATGGCTCACTGTAACCTTGAACTCCTGGGCTCAAGGGATCCTCCTACCTCAGCTTCCTAAGTAGCTAGGACTACAGGTATGCACCACCATGCCCAGCTAATTTTTTTGTAGAGAAGGGGTCTCACATGTTTCCCAGGCTGGCTTTAACTCCTGGCCTCAAGTGATCCTCCTGCCTCAGCTTCCCAAAGTGCTGGGATTATAGGCATGAGCCACTGTGCTCAGTCTAAAAGTTTTAGGTTCATGGCAAAATTGGGAGGAAGGTACAGACATATACTCTCTAGTCGCCACGCATATATAACCTCCCCATAAATGGAGTATTACATTTGCTTACAATTGGTGAATCTGTATTGACACATCGTCACCCTAAATCAATAGTTCACTCTTGGTGTTGTATATTCCGTGGATCTGGATAAATGTATAATGATATGTATCCTTCATTACAGTATCATACAGAGTATTTCCACTGCCCTAAAAATTATGTGCCCCTCCTATTAATTCCCTCTCTCCCTCAATCCCCTAACTTATGGCAACCCCTGATCCTTTTACTGTCTCCATAGTCTTTACCTTTCCAAGTGTCACAGTTAGAATCCTATAGCATGTAGCTAGACTTTTCAGATTGGCTTCCTTCACTTAGTTATAGGCATTTAAGTTTCCTCCATGTTTTTCATAACTTGCTAGCCCATTTTTTCTTAGCACTGAGTAATATTCTGTTGTCTGGATGTACCATAGTTTTATATATCCCTTCACATACTGAAGGACAGACATCTCGATTGTCTTCAAGTTTTGGCCATTATGAATAAAGCATCCATGTGCATGTTTTTGTGCAGACATACATTTTCAACTCGTTTGGGTAAATACCAAGGAGGGCAATTACTGGATTACATGCTAAGAGTATGTTTACTTACAGAAGAACCTCTCAAACTGTCTTCCAAGTGGCTATACTATTTTGCATTCCAACCAGCAGTAAATGAGTTTGTTCCACATCTTTGCCAGCATTTTGTGTTGTCAGTGTGCTGGACTATAGACATTCTAATGGGTGTTTAGTGTTATCTTGTTTTAATATGCATTTCCTTGATGACATATAATATGGAACATCTTTTCATATGCTTATTTGCCATGTGTACATCTTCTTTGGTGAGGTGTTTGTTCAGGTCTTTAATCCCCCCTTTTTAGAAAATTGGGTATGTTTTCTTACTGTTGAGTTTTAAGCATTCTTTACATATTTTGAATAACAGTCTTTTATCACATATATCTTCAGCAAATATTTTCTCCCAGTCCGTGTCTTGTCTTCTCATTCTCTCGACAATGTCTTATACAGAGTAAAAAAAAAAAACAAAAAAACCTAAACTAATTTTAATGAAGTCCAGTCCAGTTTATTATTTATTTCATGGATTGTGCCTTTGGTGTCCTATAAAAAGTACAATACTGATAGATGCAGGAGGCATATAAGGGTGCACAGGGCCTTGTCTGGGCATGCCTGCAACAGACTGGGGGCCCGCATGCATGCACTGGGAGAATGGGGTGGAGACACCAGGGATTCACACCTTATGCCGGGGATGGAGTCTGCCTCTTCAGCTTGTGTATGGTGGCCTGGTATTCAGTCTGTGACGTGGAGGCCTGTTGGCAGGACCACCTCTTTCTTTGCTGAGAGCTTTCTTTTTGCCTACTCCTCACCCTTCAGTGTGCCTGTGTGCCTAATTTTTCCTGGTTGTGAGATAAGAACCCAGATTTTAGCTGAACTAAGGAGCAAAAATTCTGTATCATTTTGGTGGCCTGTTTGGAACTATGAGACATGGTGAGTAAAATGTGGACAAAAAAATTTCTCTCCCTTTCATTTCTGAGCCTTGTTGGACTTCTTCTGAGGGTAGAGGAAACTCTCCACCCCGACCCCCGACCCCTTGTCGCTCTTGGGGGTCAGGAATGTTGGTCTCGGTCCAACCCAGCCTTTTCTATGGCATTTTGCTTCTTTTTATTCGGGACTGTAATGTCACCTATCTTTTCTTTTACAATATTGGGGGTGTTCCACTCCCACCCCAATGGCCGCAGGTGCACATGTGGGACAAATGGGTGAACAGCGGCTCCCTGCTCCCCTTCCCTCCTGGCTGAGGTGCATGGCTGAGTCCACCGCATGTGCATGCCATGTCCAGTGGCCATGCAGGGCAGGGATGAGCCACCACCACCGCCCAGCCCAAGGTGGCCTTGGGGGCCCGGGCCTTGTGTGGCCATCTGGACAGCATTTCCCGCTAAGTACCCACAGAGTCTTCCCTTCCCCCAACCGAGGGCTCCAGCTTGGTCCAAGACCCAGGGAAGAAACAGCAATTAAAAGTTTCTCTTGGCTTGGTGTGGTGGCTCACACCTGTAATCCCAGCATTTTGGGAGGCTGAGGCAGGTGGATCACCTGAGGTCAGGAGTTCAAGACCAGCTTGGTCAACCTGGTGAAACCCCATCTCTACTAAAAATACAAAAAATTAGCTGTGCATGGTGGGCAGGCGCCTGTAATCCCAGCCACCTGGGAGTCTGAGGCAGGAGAATTGCTTGAACCTGGGAGGCAGAGGTTGCAGTGAGCCAAGATTGCGCCATTGCACTCCAGCCTGGGCAACAAGAGTGAAACTGTCTCAAAAAAAACAATTCTCTCCCTGTTGGAGAAACCCATTTGCATAAGAATAAGAGGTTCTTCCTTCAGGCATCTTTCCAGCCCTGCATTTAAGCTGTTGTTGTTTTTTTTTCTTTTCTCCACCCCGTCAGAGTTAACTTTTATGTAAGTTTTTTTTTTTTCCTTTTAGAAGATGTTTCACCAGGTCAGGACCCCAATTCCTTTTCCTTGTTGGAGGAGTACTCAATTCCACAGCTTCACCTTAGCATTCAGCTTATGATAAGGAGTCCATGCAACCCCCTGAGGCAGGTCTTTTGTCCCAAACTCAATTCCAAGCTTCGAGTTGAAGCCCAGGGAAAGAAAACTGTATCTGAGGGATTCAGAGGCAGACGATGACGGAAGTTAAAAGGCACAGCGCAGGTGAGCATGACTAATTGCTGCTGATTAAGCCAAGCTTCTCATTTCATGGATAAAGGTCATGCTAGTATCCATGGCATAAATGAGATCTAGGGAACTCAAAAGCTACTGACAGCAGGGGACATAGGACATACATGGGTAAGAGAGGATAATCCTATCCCCTAGGCCCCACTGTTAACATGGGTGAAAGCTGCTTTGACACTCATGGGCAGCACCCGTGTGCTGGTGACCACCCGGTGTTGTGGTCACCGGGACTCAGGGATATAAATAAAGAAAGAGGGATGCCTCACTTTCTCTACCTCATGTACCCCAGGTATTCACTAGGAAGAGAAGGGAATCAGGGATGCCTCTCTCCCCTCTTTCTAGATGCGTAGCCATTCATTTTCAGTCTGCATCTCTTTCAAATGCATCCTGAGTCCTGGGGCTCTTTTGAAAAAATGCTGCCTTTTTCCTCCTCTGTCCTTTCTTCACAGATGGGTGGTTGTGTCCCCATGCTGCAGGGCACTCCCCTCAGATGTATCCTCCAAACTGGGAAAAGTTAATTTCCCAAGCCTTAAACTGGTTGGCTTGGGATTGAGCTTGAGGGGAGGGAAGCCAGAAGCCTGACGTGCTGGAAAAAGGATAAGAGTTTTTTTAAACCAGTTGGGCTTTTGGCCTCCCTGTCCCTGTGCAAACCAGTAAAGAGAATGTTTAGGATCACTGTTTATATTCTCTTTAAAGTTTTAATTATGAAAAAGTATTTGTGAAGTTGGCCTTAAGCTGTAGCCAATCTGGTATGCCTTGCATGTCTCTCTGTATGATTCTGTCAGAAAGAGGGGTACCTTAGGATGCGATGTGGGCCTGGGACTCCATAGGCCCACTGTTCAACCCAGCCTAGCAAACTGGTCAGTGGCAAACTTTGCTGCGGGTCTCCATCTTGTTTTACTTCCTTGAAAGCGTGACCTGTAACCACGTGGCAGTGCTTTCTTTTAGCCTCTGCCATTTTACAATGGTGGCCTGGGTTCAATCCTGGCTTAGGTAATGGGTCCTTTCTGGTTTGATTCTTGATTCTCTTTCTGGTTTGATTGTTGATTCTCTCCCCCTTCATGAACCACCTTCAATTTTCCTTTCTCTGAGCACCTGGGAGGTTACCTTTGGTAAAATTCAAAAGCCAGAAATATTGGCTGCTTGGCATGGGTAAAATCAGGTAATAAGGGATTTAAAAGGATTTTCTTAAAGAGCACTCAGCTTAATTAAAAGTGGATATCCAAGTTATAGGTATATTTAAAAGGCCTTTATGTTTTTCTCCTCTTGGATCTTATTTTGCTGGAAAAAGGTTGTTTTCTCAGTTGACTGAATTCTTTTTCTCCATTTTTTCTTGCCACCCTTAATGCACACATGAGAGGCCCTAAGATAATTTCTGATGGCCTGGTGAAAACAGAAAAGGTGCCACTAATTCCATTTTTAGAGAGACCTCTGTTTTCCTCATGGAGCTCCAGGAATTAGAGGCAGATGGATTCCTTTCAAAATCTGCTTTTGTCTTCCAGCTATACCTGTTTATTAGGCCCTAGGAAGTGCATGCTTTCCTAGCCTTGCTCTTAAAGGGCCCCACTTAGAGGCCAATAGTCCAATAAGGAGATTGGTGAACAGAAAATCTTTTTTTTTTTTTTTGAGACGGAGTTGCGCTCTGTCACCCAGGCTGGAGTGCAATGGCACGATCTTGGCTCACTGCAACCTCTGCCTCCCAGGTTCAAGCTATTCTCCTGTCTCAGCCTCCTGAGTAGCTGGGACTACAGGTGCAAGCCACCACGTCCGGCTAATTTTTGTATTTTTAGTAGAGATGGGTTTCACCATATTGGTCAGGCTGGTCTCAAACTCCTGACCTCAGGTGATTCACCCCCATCAGCCTCCCAAAGTGCTAGGATGACAGCCACTGCGCCTGGCTGGTAAACAGAAAATCTTATAACTACTGAATCTGCTTCTGTTTGTCTGTGTGGTTATGTATGTGTTGTGTGTGATGTCTATAAAAAAGAGAGCTCTAATTAATTGGCCTAAAGGAAAATAAGTGCTTAGATCAAATATTTTTGAAGGAAAAATAAAAGCTATAATGCCTTTTAGTTCATGTGACATTAATCTTTGAGTAATAAAAACAGTCTTGGCTGGGCATGGTGGCTCACGCCTGTAATCCCAGCACTTTGGGAGGCCGAGGCGAGCAGATCACAAGGTTAGGAGATTGAGACCATCCTGGCTAACACGGTGAAACCCTGTCTCTACTAAAAATACAAAAAATTAGCCAGGAGTGGTGGCAGGCACCTGTAGTCCCAGCTACTCTGGAGGCTGAGGCAGGAGAATGGCGTGAACCTGGGAGGCGGAGCTTGCAGTGAGCCAAGATCACACCACTGCACTCCAACCTGGGTGGCAGAGCGAGACTCTGTCTCAAAAAAAAAAAAGTCTTAAAGATTATTGGTAAAATGCAAATGTAGCTAAAATGGAAATAGGTGGTCTAAATTCTGTGGGTCAGATAGTAGATTTGCTAAATGTTTTAAAGTTGTACACTGTTTCTTTGGCCTTTGAGAACTTGCCTACTTTACAACATGGTAAGGCCTGGGGACATAGGCCTTAATCTTAGTAAATAATCATTAATCATATAATCTTAGTAAAATATAAGAAGGCATGGAAATCTAAATTTTTGCCTATGGTAAAAGGATTGTTTTAAATTAGATAAAATAAAGCTAAAGATTTAAGAACGTTATGGAAGGATTGTAAAAATTAATCTTGCAAAAGAAATTCTGTGTGTAAACATTGACTAAATTCAATAGTGTATTATATTGTTTTTCTCTAAATTCAGCATTGAAATGAAAGCACAACAAGTTTCCCTTAAGGCAGTAATCTGCTCTTTAGCAAAAATTGTAAAGGGTTATGAAAGGTTATAAGAATCTTACCTAATGGTCAAACTGGTTAAGATCAGATAGAATTGTCTGTAAGTTTTCATTAGAAAATTGGGGTTGACATCAATAGTAAACTAATGTAAGGGCAAAATTTGGCTCTCTCTCCCATGTACAAGATTTTTGTGTAATAGTAAAGGATAATGAAAGATTTCTGTTTGCCTTGTGGATAGGCTTCCAAAGAAAATAAAGAGAAAGCAGGAGACAAACTGTTTGGAAAGCTAAGTTTTCCCTCTTAATGAGTAAAGGTTTTTGCTTTGTTTTAAATTTTTTGAGTCATCATTTTGGCAAAATAAATAACTTATGGTAATACAGAATTCTATTTCATAGCATTAACAGGCTTCCCAAAATCAAATTTCAGCCTCAAGATTGTCTTTCCTGACCCCTAGCTCTTGGATGGTACAGAGGACCCCTGGAGCATCCAAAAGAGAGGTAAGCAGGATTATTTGACATGTTTAGGTATGTGTGATTGCCAATATGATGTTTAATCTTCTTTGGATTGTACTTTAGGAAATAATATTAATATTTGTTTCAGAATTGTCTGAGATTTCTAAAATTCTAATGACTGAGTATATGCTATTGATCACAATTAAGGTTATTATGTTAAATTATTATAAACCACAGAGATAACCAGATTTCTTTGTCAATTGTGTTTTGAGAGTAACTACCCTGGACATTTTGTTATTCGCAGACAATTGTTGTCTTGTTTTGATCCTCTTCAAAACATGGTTTATAATCAGCTATAGAATCTTGACAGGTGCTCTCAAATGCAGGTTTCTGATAACTTCGGGGATTGTGACAATGGAATTAAAAAAAGTACAGGACTCATGAAGAACTGAAGTGTTCATGAATGTCAAGCAAAGCAAGAATAAACTGAATGGACTGACCTAACAGAAAACTGAAGTAATATTTTTTGGCTTTTGCTTGGAACATTGCTGATCCTTGTTTTGTTTTTCAGAGTCAAGGATATGTATTTTGAGCTATTTATGGGCTTTAATAATTGAGTAAGGTATACTCCTGTGAACAAAATTTGGAGCATATTTGTTTTTTTCTCTGACTGGCTTCTTCAGGATTTGGAAACTTGTCATGAGTGTTCTTGACTTAAGGCAGTATAGTTGTTTGCATCAGTGCAATAACAATCCATTTCCTTTTGCAACAGGATGCAATGGGAGAAACTGGTTGTTTTGCCAAGGCTTTGACTGGAAGGGTATGCTTCCCTTTAAGGAATCAAGCTTGACTTGTAGAGCCGATAAAAGCCCCTTGGGAAAACTGCCTCATACCTTGTCTACACAGTCCCTGTACAGGGTTCCTAATCTATGGTGAGTAAAGAATGTCACTTTTTAACAGGTCCCGGAACCCCATGTTCTTGGGACCTCAAGAAGAGTGGAGTTTACCCAACTCATAGGTATTTGAGGGTACAAACCCATAGCTGGGCTTGGCTTTCAAAAGTCCTATCTGAGATTCCTTGTGGAATAGAATTCCATCAAAGCCTATGTCAGCTGAGGCAGAGGAATCGCTTGAACCCGGGAGGCAGAGGTTGCAGTGAGCCGAGATCGTGCCACTGCATTCCAGCCTGGGCGACAAGAGCGAAACTCTGTCTCAAAAAAAAAAAAAAAAAAAAAAAAAAAAGGCCTATGTAAAAACAATTATTCTTGCTGCACTTTATGCAAGTAATCAAGCCAAGTATTAAGACTAAAGTCTATTTTGCAAACAGCTCAGGTTTATCATGATTTATTTTTAACAAATTGATTGGAGAGAGAGAAATTATGTTTTGAAATTTATCATACATTTGTCATTAAATTCTAAACTCATTAGTTGTTTTTAAGTTTTTGCCTACATTTTAGACTAACCCTACTTGTTCCTGTGAACCAACCAGCAATCTCCGGCTGCAGCTCAGAAGGAACAAAAGGGATGGCTAATGTAAAAATCTAGATCAATATTTTAATTCTGAGTAATTATCCTGCAAATCCTACCAGGTGATGGGAGTAAATAGGTGCTCATAACCTGGAGGTTTCTTTTTGGGAAAATGAGCCCAAGGGAGCTCACCAAATCCAAGCCCCATGCACCCAAATCTTAGCAGGCATAACTGTAGCCACTAGTTATCTGCGCGTGTTGGAAGTCTGGGGATTTTTGAGCTGTCCTCACCCCTTTTTGTTTCGTTTTGCTACATGTTTTCTAATAAGCCAGTTTGTTTCTTCTTACCTTAGGCCACTGAACTCCAAACGATCATGTAATCGGAACCTTAAATGGTAGCCCCCTTTTACCGAGGACCCTTACTTAGATAGGCCTCCGAGGGAGATATGATTGCCGTCTTCCTAAAACAGTGCCCTCTGTCGGCAGGAAGCAGTTCAGATCGTTCTTTGTCCTTATCCTTATTCTAATGGCAGTTGGATGTACTTCTTTAGAGGGGGGAAATGATAGATGCAGAAGGCGGTTAAGGGAACCTGTCTGGGCATGCCCACAACAGACTGGGGGGCCCGCTTGTGCGGGGTGGAGCCACTGGGGATTTGCACCTTATGCAGGGGGAGGAGCCTGGCCTCTTCAGCTCATGAAGGGTGCAGCTCCAGAACTCGAAGCCCTGCTGCTTTGGTACGGTCTCCAGGCGCGCGAGGGTCCAGCCTTGTCAGCCGCGCGCCGCTGGCTCCGGGGGCGCCGGGCCCGGCTCCCGCCCCGCTCTCGCCCGGTCGCTGCCGCCGGGGGCGTCTGCAGTGCTCCCGTCTAAGCGAACGCCTGCACAGCGCGGGGGCCGCTGTCGGGCCTGGGCTCCAAGCCGCCACCCAAGATTTCTACTTTAATCTCTAGGTTGAGTCCATTCTGTCATCCAATAGATTTTGCAGACTTCAGTGTTCTCCCAGTTCAGTGAGGTCTTAGGATACCTGCCTTTCACCTGTGTATTCACTTGACTGAATATCATGTCCAGAGGTCGAACTTTCTTTCCCTCAGCCTTGTGTAGCTATTGCTACGTCCTCTTCTGTTAACAGCCTATCTTTTCCCTCATGTAGTTAGTTGTTTTGTAAGGAAACATGAAGAAATTTTTGTTCTTAAATTCAGTAACTTAACCAGAATATGTGTTTATGTTTATGTTGATAATCTGTATACTTTTTCTACTGCAGATTTCATTATTTCTAACATTTATGCAAGTTATTTTAAGAAAATAATATCTATGAATACATTTTCTGTTTCATTGTCCTCCTTTTCTACAATCTTCTATACAATTTCTTCAATCTATTTTTTTTATTTTTTATTTTTTTTGAGAGGGAGTCTGGCTCTGTCACCCAGGCTGGTGTGCAGCGGCGTGATCTCTGCTCACTGCAACCTCTGCCTCCCGGATTCAAGCGATTCTCCTGCCTCAGCCTCCCGAGTAGCTGAGATTACAGGCATGCACCACTACGCCTGGCTAATTTTTGTATTTTTAGTAGAGACGGGGTTTCACTATGATGGCCAGGCTGGTCTTGAACTCCCAACCTCAGGTGATCTGCCCACCTCGGCCTCCCAAAGTGCTGGGATTACAGGTGTGAGCCACTACACCTGGCCTCAATCTGTTTTTCTTATTTTGCATCTGTAGTGATTGTCTTATGTCTTTCTCTCTAGGCCACTGATTTGATTTTCAGCTGTGGTTGTTTTGCCCCATGCTGTTTCTAATTTCTTTATAATTTTTAACAGTGGTGTTTTGGTTTTTAATGTTTACCTTGGTTTCATAAATCTCCCTATTCTTTTGTTTTGACTGTATAGTTCTCCATTCAGCTTTCTAGTTTAGCTAACTTTCCATTATTACAAACAACCCTGAGATTAATATCCTTGCATATGTCCTCTCATAGGCTGAGCCTGTGTAAGAAAACTCTCACATATGTACCCAGGAATGGGATTACTCAGTCACAGGGTCTATTTTACTTTATTATTCCATTTGACAAACTGTTACCAAATTGCTCTCCAGAGGGGCTGCACCAGTCTACACTCCCATTTGTAGTCCGAGACTCTGTAGTCCCAGACTCTGTAGCCCCTTATTTATGTCAATGATTGACATTATCAGACTTTCTTTTTTCCCCCCAATCTTATAGGTATAAAGTAGCATCATCTTGCTTTATTTTAAAAATTCTCCCTTTTGTTTTCACTTGTATTTCTCTCGATTAACAATGAGTTTGACATCTCTTCATATATTTTATACTCCTTTGAGTTATTTTCGTCTATGGATTGCCTGCTCATATCATTTATCAATTTTTGTATTGATTTTCCTTTTACTTGTTAATTATTGTTCCTTTGGAATACTAAAAATTAGTTCCTTATTGGTTCAAAATATTGTAAATATTTCCTTCCAACCAATTATCTGTCATTAACTTTTTCTTGTTTCCCAAAGCTGATATTGTATTTAGGTACCTTTAGACAAATACATTGTCTTGTTTGTTCCTTGCATATTTTGGCCTTCAGATTTTAAAATTAACTTGTACAAATTAAAAAATATGCACAGGGCAGGGTACAGTGGCTCACATCTGTAATCCCAGTATTTTGGGAGGCAGAGGCAGGTGAATCACCTGAGGTCAGGAGTTTGAGGCCAGCCTGGCCAACATGGTGAAACCTCATCTCTACTAAAAATACAAAAAAATTAGCCAGGTGTTGTGGTGGGTGCCTGTAATCCCAGCTACTTGGGAGGCTGAGACAGGGGAATCACTTGTACCGAGATCACGCCACTGCACTCTAGCCTGGGCAACAAAATGTGACTCTGTCTCAAAACAACCAACAACAATAACAAAAACAGAAAAATATTCTGTGATACATTTGATGCAAAATTTTTCTGGTTGGATTTATATTTTTTGGTTAATGCAAATAATTATAAAGTAGTTAATGCCTCTGTTATAATGATATATTTGCAATATACTTGTGCAAATGTATAAATATTTTATGTATAAGTATTTTTATGTTTTAAATTGTTTTATTCCATACTCCTAAAGTATTAAATAATACTGGAATTAAATACATGAATACATTTACAAATATATATAGAATCAAGTTGGAAGTTAATCTTAGAATTTGCTTTATTTATCTCACTTTGTAAATAAGAAAATAGAGACACAAAGAGGTAAATTGACCTAAGTGGATACAGGTTAATTATTGACTTCACCAATCTCATCTAACATATATGCTTATTTCTTAACTTTGGCCTGTGTATATAGTTCTGATGTCTATGATTTATTCACTGCTGAATCTTTCATTCAACTATAACACAGGAAAACATGTTTGTCAAAATAGATTTTTCAGATATTAGACAATTCTTGTTCACATTACCTTGATCATGTGTAACCTTCATTATTGGTCTTCTAGGGTAGAGATAATATTTATTCTTGATAAATTTGGCAAAATTGAGACTAGGATATGGTACTTTGGCAAAAGTGTTCTGCTATCATAACAAGTGGCATATGTCTGTAAAGCAACTGTTTTCAGAATGGACATCTCTCACTATCTGCATATTTGAGAAAGTTCAGGATACAGTTCAGAGGCGGTAAGTACTCTCTTACTTATAATATCTAATTAAAATAGTAAGATGACTGAGCAGATGCAAATATTTTGCAAAACAGATGCCACTAAAAGGCTTTGGTAAGGATGCATGTAAATATGTAAATGTTCTTTCCAAAGACTGTCCTATTTGATTAAGAAAAAGAAACACCACGATAACAATAGACTCCATTTATTTCACAAGAAACTGGCAAGCTTTGGTGACTTTTTAATGTGTCAACTTGGCTAGTCTACATTACACTTCCCAGAATTTACTGTCCTGTGTGTTGCCAGTTAGAGTGGGCGGGACATTTTTGTGCGAGATTCAGAGGGTAAAAGTGAAGAAGCAGCCATTTTATGGCCTAGACAGCTCGTTGTTTGTCTGTTGGATCACCTCCTGGCATGAGTCAGTGACCAGGCCTGCACCTGTTCTACCCTCCCCTGAAGTCAGTGTCTCCGACTCCTGGGCCAGGTGTGTGTGTTTAACACCTTGATGAAAGGCCCTTGCTTCTGCAGGGCTTGTATTTCCTTAAGGCGAGAAGCAAAAAGAAATGACATATTGGTCAGTGTGTTCTCATGGGCTCCAATTGTGCTTATGAATTTGAGACTGTCCTTGGTCTTCCTCACTTTACACCCATCTTCTTTCCCAACTGTCTACTGTATGGACTGAAGAGTTTCAGCATCAGGTGCAAAGTCTACAGCCTTACAGAGACTGCTTAACCAGCTCCCAAAGTTGATAAGGTCAAATCCCTGTACCAAGTCCCTCTATCTATCTATCTATCTATCTATCTATCTATCTATCTATCTATCTATCTAGTCATCATAATCATCTGCCTCCTAATAGTTCTTTTCTGATATATTTCTTCATTTATTTGAAGAAGTATGACTAAAATTTCCTTCTAAGCTATATGTGTTATATATAGCACATATGTATTAAAATAAAATTAAGGATTTTGAGTTTTTCACTTTGTATTTGGACCTAAACCAAGAATGACTCTTCTTCTTCTTCTTCAACTATCAGGAACATTTGATAAGGTTGATCTGACTCTTCTTAACTCTGGCTGCATTTTACATATTAATGTGTACTTTGGGCTGCAGAAAATCCTTACTAGACTGATTTAAACACTGAGGAGAAGTTATCTTCCATAGTCCTGAACTATTTTGTCTCAAGGATAACTCATCAACAATTTAATGATGTGATTGAGGACCCAGGTCCTTTCCATTTTCTACTCTGCCATCCTGAGATAGTTTTCTTCAATACAGGATGGCTGCTGCAGTTCCAAGAGGAACAAAGGCTAGAAGAAGGGGAACTTCATTTCTCAGCAGCGAAACTCTTTCCCAGAAGTCTCTACAGCAGGTTTTCCCTCACAATGCATGGGCCAGAACTACTGTGTGTGTGTGTGTGTGTGTGTGTGTGTGTGTATAAACATATACGCAATTATATATAACATATACAAATATATACACACATATATTATATATAGAGATATATATGCCAATCTATGACAAGATGAATGGAGCACAATGATCAGCTTAGGTAAATTAGGATTTACCCCTGGAGCTGGGAGTAGCTCACCCTTCCCAGAGTGAAGTGGGCAAAATAGAATAAATTGGGATTGAGACAGCAAGAATAAAAGAGAAAAATGAATGAAAGGGAAATATGCTCCTGAGAGGCCAAGTAGTGCTGCTACATAGTAGTGGATGATTTCCGTCCCTTAAATCAGACCTCTTTTTTTCTGTCTGTTTGAAATCCTTAAAAATGTACCAAGCTCTCTGATATGGTTTGCCTGTGTCCCTACCTAAATCTCATCTTGAATTGTAGCTTCCATAATCCCCATGTGTCCTGGGAGGGACTTGGTGGGAGGTAATTGAATCATAGGGGTGGGTTTTTTCTATGCTGTTCTCATGATAGTGAATAAATCTCTTGAGATTTGGTGGTTTTATAATGGGCAGATCCCCTGCATACCCTCTCTTGCCTGCTGCCATGTAAGACATGCCTTTCCTTCTCCTTCACCTTCCACCATGATAGTGAAGCCTCCCCAGCTATGTGGAACTGTGAGTCCATTAAACCTCTTTTTCTCTATAAATTACTCAGTCTCAGGTATTTCTTCATAGCAGTATGAAAAAGGACTAATACACTCTCTTTTGTTCTTTTTACACATTCTTCCTTGGCAATGCCATCTACTTTCGTGGCTTTAATTATAATGTTTCAGTAGATGCTTTCTATATCATTGCCAATGGTGACCTCTCCCAAACTCTAGAGTGCTGTTTTCAGAGGCCCATTGGACATTTTCAACTGGTTGTCTTCTGTACCTCAAACTCTGCTTAATTTTTTAGCAATCCATTTTCCTTCTTCAAAGCATTTTCCCTCACCTCAGTTTCTGTATAACCTATTTTCTGATCAGTAGAATTCCAGTTAATTATGGTTTTGCTCTGACTGCAAATTGTGAAAACAAGACACACACATACAAACAAAAATAAGACACTGCATTTCACCTATACTTTAGTAATTTAGTATTAGGGTGAATAAATATTTTATACTACTGTGATATTCAAGATTGCCCTATACTGGTCCAGAAAGAAAACGGCAAGAGTCAGAGTTTACTAGTGGCTAGCTGCTGTCAGAAAGTGAGGTCAGACTCCCTCCTAGTCTTTGCCTTGGGTCTTTCACCTCTTTGCTCCATTCCAGTGAAGTTTTCTTCTATATAGTCTGTCTTTTTGAAAGTGTCACCTCTTCTCTCACTTCCAGAATGCAGAGGATTCCAGAGTGCCTTTTCTACTTTTTAATTTTTTAAATTCCCCCAATTTGTGTGTGTCAACCATTTAGTTAACTTTTCCACTTGAAAAAATGCAGTAGAAAACCAGACACCATGTTTCACTCTCTCAGTTAATAGTCACAGTTACAGTGGCTACAACTCAGGATACAACATCACCAATGCTGCTCAGAGTCCGTTTATACTGAAATTAAGTTCTTTACATCAACACTGTCCATAACCACTGGCTAGTGTACATATGAACTAAAAATTCTAGATTTGGAGAGAAACCAATGCTGCTCTGATCGTCTGCTCTGCTTCTTCTGTTCCTCAATTCATGCTTAGAAACCTTTCATGTTACTCTTGCTTTTATCAGTTTGCTTGCCTGTGGGAGTTTGGGCCTGCTGACCCTGCCCACTGGAAGAGGCTGCTTGCTGTGCTACTTTCTGCTTTTACATTGTCCAATCAAATGTGTAGTCATATTGATGGTTCACGGTCCTGAAAAGAATGCGGAATAGCTGCTTCAGATGGGAGCTATAGTTGCTATCTGAGTTGAAGTATGTGATAAATTCTGCAGGAAACCCCTTACATAAAACTGCAACAGTAGTGAACATCTTGTTTTCACTAATCTTTTTATAATTTTGTTTCTTTGTTGCAGCCTTTAGCCCTTGCCTATTTTTAAAACTTTATATTTTTTAACTTTTATTTTTGTAGAGATAGTGTCCTGCTATGTTTCCCAGGCTGGTCTCAAACTCCTGGGCTCAAGTGATCCTCTGACCTTAGCCTCCCGAAGTGCAGAGATAACAAGCATGAGCCACCTCAACCAGTCCCTTTTCTATTTTAGTTCTAGCCACTGAAGCTATAAAATGTCAATATGAATAGTCAAATTATTTAAGGAAGTGGTTTAAATTTTAACTATGTTACCAATATTAATTTGTATTTATTTGTATTTATAATGCACTATATTATAATAAATAGTATTAATTTAAAATATGCTAGTCTTTTCTTTTTGAGACGGAGTCTTGCTCTGTCACCCAGGCTGGAGTGCAGTGGCGCAATCTCTGCTCACTACAAGCTCCGCCTCCTGGGTTCACGCCATTCTCCTGCCTCAGCCTCCTGAGTAGCTGGTAGTACAGGCGCCCGCCACTATGCCCAGCTAATTTTCTTTTGTAGTTTTAGCAGAGACGGGGTTTCACCGTGTTAGCCAGGATGGTCTGGATCTCCTGACCTCTTGATCCGCCCGCCTCGGCCTCCCAAAGTGCTGGGATTACAGGCGTGAGCCACCATGCCCGGCTGCTAATCTTTTAATTAAAAACTTTTTGTGTGTGTGGAGATGGAGGTCTCACTGTCTTGCCCAGGCTGGTCTTGACCTTTTGGCCTAAAGTGATCCTTGCATCTCAGTCTCAGGATTACAGGCCTGAACTACCATGTCCGGCCCCTAATCATTTTTCATTTTTCCAGTGAATCCTTTTCTATTTAATTTATTTTGAGTGAATTTGTATTATTTACTACCAAGTCATCAAGGTATCACCAGTATATCATTTTCACATACCACATTTAAAAAAAATTTAAGTGGTCAACTGTCAAAAGCTGCTAAGGAGTTAGTTAAAATAAGAGCAGGGAAGGTTTCAATGAATGTAGTATCACAGAATTAATTTCTGATCTTGACAAGAGAAGTCTCAGCTGAGTGGAAGAAAATTATTCCAAATGAATACTACTGAGGGAAGCATGTGAGGTGAGGAAATAGAAAGTGATACTATAGGCAACTCTTCCAAGAAATTTAATTTAGACAACATTTTCAATAAATTTAAAAACACATTTATTTTCAATAGAGACAGGAGTCTTACTATGTTGCCCAGGCTGATCTGGAACCCCTGGCCTCAAGCGGTCTTCCCACCTCAGCCTTCCAAAGTATTGAGATTACAGGTGTGAGCCACTGGACCCCGCCCCAAGAAGTTTAATGGTGAGGAGAAACAGAGAAATAGGTCATTAGCTTCAAGATCATGTGAAGTTAAGAAGGATTTCGAGGAATGAGGTGGGGGTGGGGATTGTTTTCAAGAGAAGCAGATACTTGAGGATATTTTCGGGGGATGAAAATGATCCAGTAGAGAGGGAAAAATGACAGTAGATAGTTCTGATTTTAGTTATTTAAGGAACACACAGAAGAGCAGATAATTGCAAGGATGAAGCCTTTGATAAAAGTTACAGGGGTCAAGTGTCAGAGCAGTCAGGGAGGAGCAATCATATGGGTATGATTGCTCAAAGTCTGGTTGTTTTAGGGGCTGGATATTTTTTCCCAATACCAACCCAGCTCATTACCTGAGAAAAGGAGAAGGGAGGAAGTTCAATGGAAATATTTATGTCAGAAAATGGGAAAGAAAACCCTTAGGAAGATGGCACTATCGTGACCAAATAAGTAGAAATGACTAAGCTACTAAAAGAGACTCCTTAAGATTATATTCTGTATCCTCTAAATGGACAGAGCTACTTATCTTTCAAACATATAAAGTAGCAATAACGACAATTGGTTGCTATTATTGAGCATCTTACTTATGTGCTTTTTTAATTTTACAAGGCAACTGTAAGGCTAGAATTTTTTTTTTTTTTTTTTTTTTTTGAGATGGAGTCTCGTTCTGTCACCCAGGCTGGAGTGCAGGGGCGCAATCTCGGCTCACTGGAAGCTCTGCCTCCTGGGTTCACGCCATACTCCTGCCTCAGCCTCCCAAGTAGCTGGGACTACAGCTAATTTTTTGTATTATTAGTAGAGATGGGGTTTCACTGTGTTAGCCAGGATGGTCTCAATCTCCTGACCTCGTGATTCACCCACCTCGGCCTCTCAAAGTGCTGGGATTAGAGGCATGAGCCACCATGCCTGGCCAAGGCTAGAATTTTTAAATTACTTATTAGTTTATTTTATTTTTAAAAAACATTTATTTTAAGTTCAGGGGTACATGTGCAGGTTTCTTACATAGGTAAACTTGTGTCATGGGGGTTTGTTGTACAGATTATTTCATCACCCAGGTATTAAGCTTAGTACCCATTAGTTATTTTTCCTGATCCTCTCCCTCCTCCCACCCTCCACCCTCTGCTAGGCCCCAGTTTCTGTTGTTCTCCTCTATATGTCCATGTGTCCTCATCATTTAGCCTCCACTTACAAATTAGAACATGCAGTATTTGGTTTTCTGTTCAGGGATTCAAGTTCTTCCTGATTCAGTCTTGGGAGGGTGTATATGTCCAGGAATTTATCAATTTCTTCCAGATTTTCTAGTTTATGTGCATAGAGGTGTTCATAATATTCTCTGATGGTTATTTGTATTTCTGTGGGGTCCAGTGGTAATATCCCTTTATCATTCTGATTGTGTTTATTTGAATTTTCTCTCATTTCTTCTTTATTAGTCTAGCTAGTGGTATATTTTATTATTTTTTTCAGAAGACCAGCTCCTGGATTTGTTGGTCTGTTGAATGGTTTTTGGTGTCTCTATTTCCTTTAGTTCAGCTCTGATTTTGTTATTTCTTATATTCTGTTAGCATTGGGATTTGTTTGCTCTTGGTTCTCTATTTCTTTTAGTTGGGATGTTAGGTTGTTAAATTGAGATCTTCCTAATTTTTGATGTGGGCACTTAGTGCTATACATTTCCATCTTAACACTGCCTTAGCTGTGTCCCAGGGATTCTGGTACATTGTGTCTTTGTTTTCATTCATTTCAAATCACTTCTTGAGTTCTGCCTTAGTTTCATTATTTACCCAAAAGTCATTTAGGAGCAGGTTATTTAATTTCCATGTAGTTATATGGTTTTGAGTGAATTTCTTAGTCTTGACGTCTAATTTGATTGTGCTGTGGTCTGAGAGAGTGGTTGTTGTAATATCAATTCTTTTGCATTTGCTGAGCAAAGTTTTGTATTTGATTATATAATCAGTTTTAGAGTATGTTCCATGTGGTGGTGAGACGAATGTATATTTTGTTGCTTTTGGGTGGAGAGCTCTGTAGGTATCTATCAGGTCCATTTGATCCAGTGCTGAGTTCAGGTCCTGAATATCTTTGCTAATTTTCTGCCTCAATGATCTGACTAACATTGTCAGTAGGATGTTAAAGTCTCCCACTGTTATCGTTTGAGAGTCTAAATCTCTTTGGAGATCTCTAAAAACTTGCTTTATGAATCTGGGTGTTCCTATGTTGGGTGTATATATATTTAGGATAGACAGGTCTTCTTGTTGAATTCATCACTTACCATTATGTAATGCCCTTCTTTGTCTTTTTTGATCTTTGTTGGTTTAAAGTCTGTTTTGTCAGCAATTAGGATTGCAACTCCTACTTGCTTCTGTTTTTCATTTTTTTGGTAGATTTTTCTCCATTGCTTTATTTTGAGCCTATAGGTGTCATTGCATGCGAGATGAGTCCTTGAAGACAGCATACCAATGGTTTTTGTTTTTTTTTTTAATCCAGATTGCACTCTGTGCCTTTTCATTGGGGCATTTAGCTCATTTACATTCAGGTTTAGTATTGATATGTGTGGATTTGATCCCATCATCATGATGTTAGCTGGTTATTTTGTAGACTTGTTTATGTGGTTGTTTTATAGTGTCAGTGGCCTATAACACACTATGTGTGTTTTTGTAGTAGCTGATAATGATCTTTTCTTTCCATATTTAGTGTTTCCTTCAGGAGCTCTTGTAAGGCAGGTCTGGTGGTAACAAATTCCCTCAGCATTTGCTTGTCTGAAAGCAATCTTATTTCTCCTCTGCTTATGAAACTTACTTTGGCTGAATATGAAATTTTGGGTTGAAATTTCTTTTCTTTAAGAATGCTGAATATTGGCTTCCAATCTCTTCTGGCTTATAGAGTTTCTACTGAGAGGTCCTCTGTTAGTATGATGGGGTTCCCTTTGTAGGTGACCTAACCTTTCTTCCTAGCTGCCTTTAACATTTTTTCTTTCATTTCAACCTTGGAAAATCTGATGGTTATGTATCTTGGGGACGACCTTCTTGTGAATTATCTTACTGGAGTTTTCTGCATTTCCTGAATTTGAATGTTGGCCTTTCTGGCTGGGCTGGGAAAGTTTTCATGGATAGTGTCCTGATGTATGTTTTTCAAATTGGTTCCATTCTCCCCATCTCTTTCAGGTATACCTGTCATTCATAGATTTGTTCTCTTAACACAGTCCCATATTTCTCAAAGGTTTTGTTATTTTCTTTTCATTCTTTTTTCTCTATTCTTGTCTGCCTGTCTTATTTCAGAAAGATAGTCTTCAAGCTCTGAGATTCTTCCTTGGTCTATTCTACTATTAATACTTGTGATTGCATTATAAAATTCTTGTAGTGTGTTTTTTAACTCTATCAGGTTAGTAATATTCTTTTATATACTGGCTATTTTGTTTGTCAGCTCCTGTATTGTTTTACTGTGATTCTTAGCTTTCTTGGATTGGGTTTCAATGTACTCCTGCAGCTCAATGATCTTTGTTTTTATCCATATTCTGAATTCTATTTCTGTCATTTTAGCCATCTCAGCCTGGTTCAGAACTCCTCCTGGAGAGGTGGTATGATCATTTACAGGAAAGAAGGCACTCTGGCCTTTTGAGTTGTCAGAATTCCTGCGATGGTTCTTTCTCATCTTTGTGGTTGAATATTCCTTCAATCTTTTAAGTTGCTAACCTTTGGATTTTTTTTTCCTTTTATCCTATTCGATGATCTTGAGGGTTTGATTGTGATATAAGGTGGATTCAGCTGATTGGCTTCATTTCTGGAAGATTTTAGGAGAGTAATGCTCAGCTCTCAACTCCTAGACTGCATGCTTTAACTGAGGGGGACTTGTATTGAGGCTCAATGTTGTTCTCTGGCTCCTCAAGGTTAGAAATCCACTGTGCTGGGGGAGGGGGCCCACGGTGCTCCCAGACTGCTGGTCACTGCACTCTGATGGGTGGTCTCAGCCTAAGCATTTCATAGTGCAGTGGCAGCATGATTCATTCTCATTTGCATGTGCCAGAAGCAGCGCTGTGGGGTGTATGCTCCATCAGCTGTAGCAGGGTGCTAGTGGGTGCTGGGATGCCTGCGTCCATGAGGGCACACCACAGTGGCAGAGGCAACACACATGCTAGAATTTTAACCATTTTATTGTTGTGGAAATTGGCCTAAAGAAGTTAATTCTTCCAAGATCACAGCTAGTGATAGGCGGGGATAAAATTCAGATATATAGTCTTTCTCAAATTTCATCATCCCCTACTCATACCACTGAGCCATGCTTTCTCCGTAACGTGCATTCTTGTTACTGACAGTGTCAGACCATGGAGACCCTGGGGACAGTGATGGGTAAGGAGAAAAGATGTTATGGGGACACTTATACAAAGGCAAACCTCTACAGTTACACAGAGAACACAATGAACCTGTAGGTGCATTCAGTTAATTGAATGTCTTCATCGTGTCTCTGAATATGATGCAGACATTGTATTGTTTGGATCTCTCTGGAAAGCAAAAATCTTGCTTGGTTCACACCAAATCACAATTATTAAAAGCAGATAAGTTGTTTTTCTATGGTCCATTTTGTTCTCAAATCCTAGTTTTCAAAATCCTTTTACTATATCCAGATTTTGCAAAACTTGCTATTTGTTTAATGCAACAAAAGGAAATGAAATTCCTGTGTTTCCAAAATGCCACAGGTCCAAATTTGTATCTCATGTGTTTTTGACCATCTTAACCACCAGAGGGGAGTATGAGTCCACCTATTAAACTGAGCCGCAGATGGGTTTACTTTTAACAGGTGTTTGGTATGAAATGCTTGGTCTCAGACTTCCTAAAATAATTTCAAAAATTATGAATCCAATTTAACAGTTTAAGTTGATATCTAAAATTTTTCCAGATAAGACATAATTTTTGTATGTTATAATAAAGGATATAATTTCTAGTGCATTTTAAATATTGGAATTTGTGATGGTTAATATTGAGTGTTAACTTGATTGGCTTGAAGGATGCAAAGTGTTGTTCCTGGCTGTGTCTGTAAGGGTGGTGCCAGAGGAGATTAATATTTGAGTCAGTGGACTAGGAGAGGCAGACCTACCCTCAATCTGGGTGGGCACAATCTAATCAGCTGTCGGAGCAGCCAGAATAAAGCAGGCAGAAGTATATGGAAAGACTAGACTGGCTTAGCCTCCCAGCCTATATCTTTCTCCTGTGGTGCTGGATGCTTCCTTCTCTCGAACATTGGACTCCAAGTTCTTCAGCTTCGGGAGTTGGACTGATTTCCTTGCTCTTCAGCTTGCAGATGGCCTATTGTGGTACCTTGTGATCATATGAGTCAATACTCCTTAATAAACTTCCTTTTATATATACATCTATCCTATTAGTTCTGTCCCTCTAGAGAACCCTGACTAATATGGCATTTTAAAATAAAATAGTACATTTTTCATATATCTGAAGGAATCTAAATAACATAGCAGTTTGATACTCATCACTATCCATTAAAAAATTATATGGTGAGGTGTTGGGGAGGGACTTGTGCTTCCTGTGGGTGGTGCCCCTCTCCCAGCCCTGCCTAGACTCATCCTTGTATTCAATTAAATAAGTTGTTTTTTTAATTGATAGATAAGTTCTCTCTCTCTCTCTCTCTCTATATATATATGAATATTTATATATATATGAATATTTATATATAAACTATTTAAAATGTACTTTTAAAACATACTTTTACTATTAAAAGTAACTATTTAAAACTATTAACTATTTAAAACATACTTTTCTGTTTTTATTGAATTAATCATACACATAATATAAGGACAGAAATACCTCCACAAAACTTTTGTAAAAAAGAGCAGTCCCTTGCCTCCCCCAGCTCACCCCCAGCATTGTCTACTTCCCTTCTTAACTCTCTTGATTGATTCTTGTGGTTGTAACTGACTTAAATCTATATAAAAGGTATGTATTTCTACTTCTCACTATTACTGTTTTAGGCATTAACTATTAACTTTCTATTACGAAAGGATTTAGTTGAATTTTATCTCCAGCTTCCCCTCCCACGGCATCCCCCTGCCACATCTTTCCTGTATAGATATAACTTTAATAAGGACAATGTTCTGGCAGGCATGGTGGCTCATGCCTAATCCCAGGACTTTAGGATGCTGAGGCAGGAGGATCACTTGAACCCAGGAGTTGGAAACCAGCCTGGGCAACATGATGAGACCCCATCTCTACAAAAAATACAAAATGTAACTGGATGTGATTGCACGCACCTGTAGTCCCAGCTGCTAGGAAGACTGAGGTGGAAGGATAACTTGACCCTAGGAGGCGGAGGTTTCAGTAAGCTGAGATCATGCAACTACAGTCTAGCTTTGGAGACAGAGTGAGACTGTCTCAAAAAAAAAAAAGAGAGCAATGTTCAGTGTTTACATTATCATGACCATGTAAACAGTTTGTTGATGAACCAGGCAGTATTTTGTGGTTACTTTTTTTTTGCTAGCACAATATTTATCTTCCTTGGAATTTTTAAGTGTCTTGTTTGTCAATATACTTGTTTTTTTTAATGTACTTAATTTAGTCCCAAACTCTCCCTTAATTGTGTAAATCTTCAATTATGATGTTCAAACACATTAGATACTCTATCAATTTCATCTCTTTAAGAAGTTTCTTCCAAAACTTTCTAACCTTTCCCCTTCAGGACTGGTGGGCTTCTACCCTGGCGTGTAACCATAGCCTTGGGATTTTTCTTCATTCTGTAAATGGGGGTTCTCTTAGTCTCCCTCCTGTGTTGGATTCCCTGGTTCCTGGATCTCCTATTTTCCTCTTTGGTTTTTCTCTTATTTTATGGAGTGTATTCTCCAGTAGCATTCTAAGAAAGGATAAATAGGAATTAAGTTTTTGAGAATCTATTTCTAAAAATGTCTTTTTTTTCTAGTCTCCCACTTAATTGATAATTGGGAAGACTTTAAAATTCTAGGTTGGAAATAATTTTTCTTTTTTTCTAGTCAATGTGCAGTTTTCATGAAGGTAGTAGTGAGGTTCCATATCCAGGCAGTTTTTATCTTGATGATTATTTCAATTGAACTAGAACATTACATTTGTGCATTACTGAGAATGGGAGCAAGTATTTGATAACAATCAGTTTTCCATGTTTGTATTGAAAATGAACCTGAAGTTAAAGAGCGATTGCTCACTGAAAATGGCTTTAGTTACTTTCTTGGACACGGTGTGGATGAGTTATCACATTAAAATAACAACAGCCACCAAAGCAACCTATACAGTTGGATTGGGCACAGTGGCTCATGCCTATAATCCCAGCACTTTGGGAGGCCAAGACAAGAGGATTGCCTTAGCCCAAGAATTCGAGAACAGCCTGGGCAACATGGCAAGACAGAAATACTCTTTACAAAAATCTCTCTAAACAAAATTTTAAAATTAGGTGGGCCCGGTGGTGCATGTCTGTAGTCCCAGCTACTCGGGACACTGAGGCAGGAGGATTGCTTGAGTCCAGGAGTTCGAGGCTGCAGAAGGTATGATTGTGCTACTGCATTCCAGCCTGGGTGACAGAGCGAGACCCCAACTAAAAACAAAAAGGAACCTATAAGGTTGATTGCTTTGACACGTGAGGTTAAACTTGTAGGTTTCATGTAGTTCTGGAAAATTTCTTCATGTTCTGATTACGCATTTGTGGGGTTGGGTACTTAAAGTTTGTACAATAATATATCATTGATTTAATTCTCTGAAAAATGAAAAAATATTAGGTGCTTAAAAAGAGTAACACTCAGCAATGGAATAATTTGAGCCACAATTTTGTCTTCTGATGAAAATTTATATCTTATTTTCAACATATAAACTTGTGAGATTTTGGTCTTGAAGTGTTAGATTCTGGCTATTCACTAGAGTAACACAACATGAAACTAAAAATATAATCTTTCCTGGCATTTTCAGCATCATGATGAAGTGTTTTAATTTCATCTCTCCTTTCCAAAAGTCATGTGAGCAACTTTCCTTTCAAAATCTCGGTAACTGTAGTATGAAAAAGCATAGTTATTTACTTACTCATTATTTCTTCATATAACATGAAGAAAGGAGTTATAGTAATTACCACAACTTAATTATCTTAATAATTTTTACAATTTCACCTAGTCCTGAATCATTCATGGTCAGGCGTCATATTTTCTTCACAACTGTTTTCTGTGAATAAAGTAGTGCATACATTGGCATTAATGTATAACCTATTTTATTTGCAATTTACCTCTTTTCTTTCCTTCATATTCAATTGGAGCATATGAGTCACCCATTTGTATCCTATGTCAGGGGCTGGTAAACGTTTTTGGCAAAAAACCAGAGAGTTAATATTTTAGGCTTTGTAGGTCCTATGGCCTCAGTTGAAACTACTTGGCCATTGTAGCATGAAAGCAGCCATAGACAAGACATAAACAAACAAAGGTGCCTGTGTTTAAAAAATAGCATTGTATTTATGGATACTGAAGTATTAATTTCACAAAATTTTCATATATCAGGGAATATTGCTTTTTATTTTATTTTAAAAACGCTTTAAAAATATAAGTCTATTCTTAGCTGGAGGGCTAATAGGTGGTGGGCCAGATTTGATCTGTGGGCCATAGTTTGTCAACTCCTGGCCTATATTATGGCTCAAAAAGAAAACCAATTAACCAAGTCTGTTCTCATGTAGTCTAGGTTTTCAGTGATAAACGAAACAAATAAAAATCATCAAATGCTCACTTTATATGTATTACATATATGCCCAAATCTAAATCATACATTTACCATTGGTAGTAATTTAACAGTAAAGTGAATTATCTGCTAACACAAAGAAGAAAATTATTGCTCTAACACTTTTATACCATTTATATTATATCTAACAGTGTCATTTGAAAAATGAATTTTACCAGTAGCTTAATTTTTTTTATTTGTTCATTGGCAGGCAGATATGATTTTTTTTTGTTATGGTAGCCTGAACAGACTAAGACATTGATATATTTTAATATTTCTATGTTTCTAATTATATTTTTACAGTTCATGTAAGGCATTCAGAAAGAAAAGCCGGCATAAACATGAGAAGGAAACCACTCTTGTCAGAAAAATCCTCGGTGGGAGCAAAACTGGATTTTTGAAACTTGGGAAGATAAAATACCTATAAGTTTTAAAAAACAAGGCCCTCAGTGACACAGGTGACCTTGTACAGAACTCAGTGCAAGATTTCTAAGATGCAAAACGAGGCTAGAAAGAAGGCAAGTGACATCAGGGAGAAACTAACATTTCAGGTTATGGAGTTTAGTGAATAATATATATTTTTTCTTTTTTTAATTATTTCAATAGTTTTTGGGGAGCAGGTGCTGTCTGGTTACATAGATAAATTTTTTAGTGGTGATTTTTGAGATTTTGGTGCACCCATCATCCAAGCAATATACGCTGTACCTAATATGTAGTCTTATCCCTCATCCCCCTGTCCCATCCTTTCCCCTGAGTCCCCAGAGTCCATTACATCATTCTTATGCCTTTGCATCCTCATAGCTTAGCTCCTGCTTGTAAGTGAAAACATAACAATGTTTGATTTTCTATTCCTGAGTTACTTCACTTAGAATAATGGTCTCCAACTCCATCCAAGTTGCTGTGAATGCCATTATTTAATTCCTTTTTATGGCTGAGTAGTATTCCATGGTATATATGTATGTATATATACCATATTTTCTTTATCCACTTATTGGTTGATGGACGTTTAGGCTGGTTCCATATATTTGCAATTGCAAATTGTGCTGCTATAAACATGCATGTGCAAGTGTCTTTTTCATGTAATGACTTCTTTTCCTCTGGATAGATACCAAGTAGTGGGATTGCTGGATGGAATGTAGTTCTATTTTCAGTTCTTTAAGGAGTCTCCATACTGTTTTCTATAGTGGTTGTACTAGTTTACGTTCCCACCAGCAGTATAAAAGTGCTCCCTTTTCACTACATCCATGCCAACATCTATTATTTTTTGAATTTTAAATTATGGTCATTCTTGCAGGAGTAAGGTGGTATCACATTGTGGTTTTTGATTTGCATTTCCCTGATAATTAGTGATGTTGAGCATTTTTTTTTTTTTTTTTTTTTTTTTTGAGACGGAGTCTCGCTCTGTCGCCCAGGCTGGAGTGCAGTGGCGCGATCTCGGCTCACTGCAAGCTCCACCTCCCGGGTTCACGCCATTCTCCTGCCTCAGCCTCCCGAGTAGCTGGGACTACAGGCGCCCGCTACCACGCCCGGCTAATTTTTTGTATTTTTAGTAGAGACGGGGTTTCACCGTGTTAGCCAGGATGGTCTCGATCTCCTGACCTCGTGATCCGCCCGCCTCGGCCTCCCAAAGTGCTGGGATTACAGGCGTGAGCCACCGCGCCCGGCCTGTTGAGCATTTTTTATATGTTTGTTGGCCATTTGTGTATCTTCTTTTGAGAATTGTCTATTCATGTCCTTAGGCCACTTTTTAATGAGATTTTTTTTTCTTGCTGATTTTTTTGAGATCCTTGTAGATTCTGGATATTATGCACTGTTTGTGAAGATTTTCTCCCACTCTGTGAGTCATCTGTTTACTCTGCTGATTATTTCTTTTGCTGTTCAGAAGCTTTTTAGTTTAATTAAGTCCTATCTATTTTTATTGTTGTTTCATTTGCTTTTGGGTTCTTGGTCATGAACTCTTTGCCTAAGCCAATATCTAAAAGAGTATTTCCGATGTTATCTTCTAGAATTTTTATAGTTTCAGGATATAGATTTAAGTCTTTGATCCATCTTGAGTTGATTTTTGTATAAGATGAGAGATGAGGATCCAATTTCATTCTTCCACATGTGGCTTGCCAATTATCCCAGCACCATTTGTTGAATAGGGTGTCCTTTCCTCACTTTATGTTTTTGTATGTTTTGTTGAAGATCAGTTTGCTGTAAGTACTTGACTTTATTTCTGGGTTCTCTATTCTGTTCCATTGGTCTACCTGTCTATTTTTATACCAGTGCCATGCTGTTTTGGTAACTATAACCTTGTAATATAGTTTTAAGTCAGATAATGTGATGCCTCCAGATTTGTTCTTTTTGCTTAGCCTTGCTTTGGCTATGCAAGCACTTTTTTGGCTCCATATGAATTTTAGGATTTTTTTCTAGTTCTATGAAGAATGGTTATGGTATTTTGATGGGAATTGCATTGAATTTATAGATTACTTTTGGCAATATGGTCATTTTTACAATATTATTCTACCTATCCATGAGTAGGGGATGTGTTTCCATTTGTTTGTGTCAACTATGATTTCTTTCAGCAGTGTTTTGTAGCTTTCTTTATAGAAATCTTTCACCTTCTTGGTTAGGTATATTCCAAATATTTTATTTTATTTTTTACAACCGATGTTAAAGGAGTTGAGTTCTTGATTTTATTCTCAGCTTGGTCACTGTTGGTGTATTGCAGTGCTACTGATATGTGTACATTGATTTTGCATCCTGAAACTTTACTGAATTCATTTAGTAAAGACCTAGCAGCTTTTTGGATGAGTCTTTAGGGTTTTCTAGGTATACAATCATATCATTGGTGAAGAGTGACAGTTTGACTTCATCTTTACCAATTTGGATGCTCTTTATTTCTTTCTCTTGTCTGGTTGCTTTGGCTAGGACTTCCAGTACTACGTTAAATAGAAGTGGTGTAAGTGGGGATCCTTGTCTTGTTCCAGTTCTCAGGGGGAATGCTTTTAACTTTTCCTGGTTCAGTATAATGTTGGCTGTGGGTTTGTCATAGATGGATTTTATTATCTTAAGGTATGTCCCTTCTATGCTGATTTTGCTGAGGGTTTTAATCATAAAGCGATGCTGGATTTTGTCAAATGCTTTTTCTGCATCTATTGAGATGATCGTGTGATTTTTGTTTTTAATTCTATTTATGTGGTGTATCACATTTATTGACTTGCGGATGTTAAGCCATCCCTGTGTCCCTCGTATGAAACCTACTTGATCATGGTGGATTATCTTTTTGATATGCTGTTGGATTCGGTTAGCTAGAATTTTGTTGAGGATTTTTGCCTGTATATTCATCAAGGATATTGTTCAGTAGTTTTGTTTTTGTCTGTTTGTTCTTGTTATGTCCTTTCCTGGTTTTGGTATTTTGGTAATCCCAGCTGTATAGGATGATTTAGGGCGGATTCCCTTTACCTTTTGGAATACTTTCAGCAAGATTGACACTATCTTCTTTGAATGTCTGATTGAATTCAGCTGTAAATCCATCTTGTCCTGGACTTATTTTTTGTTGGTAAATTTTTAATTACTGTTTCCATGTTGCTACTTGTTATTGGTCTGTTCAGGGTTTCTATTTCTTCCTTAATCTAGGAGGGTTGTATATTTCCAGGAATTTAACCATCTCCTCTAGGTTTTCTAGTTTGTGCATGTGAAGATGTTCATAGTAGACTTGAATGATCTTTTGTATTAATATTTCTGTGGTATTTTTGGTAATATCTCCTGTTTTGTTTCTAATTGAGCTTATTTGGATCTTTTCTTGGTTAATCTCACTAATGATCTATTGATTTTGTTTATCTTTTCAAAGAACCAGCTTTTTGTTTCATTTATCTTTTGTATTTTTTTGTTGTTGTTTCAATTTCATTTAGTTCTGCTCTGATCTTTGTTATTTCTTTTCTTCTGTTGGGTTTGGGTTTGGTTTGTTCTTGTTTCTCTAGTTCCTTGAGGTGTGACCTTAGATTGTCTATTTGTGCTATTTCAGATTGTCTATTTATGCTATTTCAGACTTTTTATGTAGGCGTGTAATGCTATAAACTTTTCTCTTAGCACCACCTTTGCTGTATCTCAGAAGTGTTGATAGTTGTGTCACAATTATCCTTCAGTTCAAATAATTTTTTTTAAATTTCCATCTTGATTTCATTGTTGACCAAAAAATCATTCAGAAGCAGATTATTTAATTTCCATGTATTTGTATAGTTTTGAGAATTCCTTTTGTAGTTAATTTCCTATTTTATTTCACTGTGGTTTGAGAGAGTACTTGATATAATCTTGGTTTTCTTAAATTTATTGAGACTTGTTTCGTGGCCTATCATATGGCCTCTCTTGGAGAATGTCCCATGTGCTCATGAAAAGAATGTTCTGCAGCTGATGGGTAGGATGTTCTGTAAACATATGTTAAGTCCATGTTTTCTAGAATGCAGTTTAAGTCAATTTTTTGTTGTTGACATTCTGTCTTGATGACCTGTCTAGTGCTGTCAGTGGGGTATTGAAGTCCCCTACTATTATTGTGTTGCTATCTATCTCGTTTCTTAGGTCTAGTAGTAATCATTTTATAAATTTGGGAGCTCAGTGTTAGGTGCATATATATTTAGTATTGTAATATTTTCCTGTTGAACTAATCCCTCTTTGTCTTTTTAAATTGCTGTTGCGTTAAAGTCTGTTTTGTCTGATGTAAGAACAGCTACTCCTGCTCAATTTTGGTTTTCATTTGCATGGAATATCTTTTTCCACCCATTTACCTTAAGTTTATGTGAGTCCTTATGTGTTAGGTGAGTCTCTTAAAGACAGTAGATTCCTGGTTGGTGGATTTTTATGAATTCTGCCACTCTGTATCTTTTAAGTGGAGGATTTAGGCTATTTACCTTCAACATAAGTATTGAGATGTGAGGTACTGTTCTATTATTAGTCATGCTAGTTGTTGCCTGAATACCTTGTGTTTTTTAAATTGTATTATTGTTTTATAGGCCCTATGAGATTTATACTTTAAGGAGGTTCTATTTTGGTGTATTTTGAGGTTTTTCAAGATTTAGAAATCTTAGCATTTCTTGTGGTGCTGGCTTCGTAGTGAGTTCTCTCAGCATTTGTTTGTCTGAAAAAGATTATTTCTCCTTCATTTATGAAGGAGATTATGTATCCAGTTTCACTGGATACAAAATTATTGGCTGATAATTACTTTGCTTAAGGAAGCTAAAGATGGGCCCTAATCTCTTCTGGATGGTAGGATTTCTGCTGAGAAGTTTGCTGCTAATCTGATAGATTTTCCTTTATAGGTTACCTGATGCTTTTGCCTCATAGCTCTTAAGATTCTTTCCTTCATCTTGACTTTAGTTAACCTGATGACTATGTGCCTAGGTGATGATATTTTTGTAATGAATTTCCCAGGTGTTCTTTGAGCTTCTTGTGTTTAAATGTCTAGATCTCTAGCAAGGCCAGGGAAGTGTTCCTCCATTATTCTCTCAAATAAGTTTTCCAAACTTTTAGATTTCTCTTCCTCCTCAGCAATACCAATTGTTTGGTCATTGAACATATATTAAACAATTATATTTGGTCACTGAACATATATTGAACAGTTATATTTGGTCATCGAACACAATCCCACATTTCTTGGAGGCTTTATTTATTTTTTAAAAATTCTTTTTTCTTTGTTTTTGTTGAATTAAATTAATTTGAAAGCCTTGTCTTTGAGCCCTGAATTTCCTTCTTCTACTTGTTCTAGTCTATTGTTGAAGCTTTCCAGTGTATTTTGTATTAGGCTGGTGCAAAAGTAATTGTGTTTTTGCCACAATACTACAGTAATATTTCTCTAAGTGTGTCTTTTATTTCCAGCAGTTATAGTTGTTTTTTCTTTATCATATCTATTTCTCTGGAGACTTTTTCATCTATATCCTGTATTGTTGTTTTAATTTCTTTAGATTGGTTTTCACTTTTCTCTGGTACCTCCTTGAGTAGATTAATAATAAACTTTCTGAATTCTTTATCTGGCAATTTAAAGATTTTTTCTTGGTTTGGATCCATGGCTGGAGAGCTAGTATGATCTTTTGGGGGTGTTATAGAACTTTGTTTTGTCTTATTACCAGAATTACTTTTCTGGTTCCTTTTTATTTGGGTAGACTATTTCAGTGGAAAAATCTGGAACTCAAGGGCTGCTGTTCAGATTCTTTTGTCCCATGGAGTGATCCCAGGTGGCTTTTGACCTAGCCACCCAGCAGGGATACCAGATGCTGGGCTGGTGCTACGGAATGTCTGCAAATGTTGTGTGATGTGGTCAGTCTTCAGGTCTCCCAGCTGTGGCTACCAGCACCTACTCTGGTGGAGGTGGCAGGGCAGTGAAGTGGACTCTGTGAGTCCGTGGTTGTAATTTTGTTTAGTGTGGTGGTTGTCTCAAATACTGCTTATGCTAGCACTGAAGTCATCACGTGGAAAGACTCAGGACCTCTCGTTAATCAGGATGTTGCAGCACTGGAATTAGCTGTTTTCTCCTTCTTTGGAGCAGGGTTGTTCTCTTATGGAGTTACTGTAATGGGCTGAGTTGGTTGGCCTCCAGCCAAAAGGTGGTGCTTTCAAGAGAGCACCAGCTGTGGTAGTAGAAGGGGTAGATAAGCTTGCCCTAAGTTGGCCAGAGTAAATATTTAACTTTCTCAGGCGACAGTCCGGGCCATCTAGGTAAGAATAGTTAATTGTGATATTCTAATTTTATAATAAATTTGTTCCATCCCAGCTCAGATACCTTTATACTTTTGGCACAAATTGTAGCCAAAAAGATCCCAGATTGAGCATAACTGATCTTTGAGAAAAATCTGTATTTATGAGAGGGTGTGTGTAGGGGGATGTGTTATTTAAATTTGATTTATGTCTTTTGTGAATTTTGGAAAATATTCAGCCATTATCTCTTGGAATATACTAAGTATATTAGTCTGTTCTCATGCTGCTAATAAAGACATACCTGAGACTGGGTAATTTATAAAGGAAAGAGGTTTGATTGACTCACAGTTCCACATGGTTGGGGAGGCTTCACAATCTTACATGGCGGCAGGAAAGAGAACATGTGCAGGGGAACTCCCTTTTATAGAACAGCATGGGAAAGACCCACACCCATGATTCAATGACATCCTACCAGGTCCCTCCCATGACATGGGGGAATTATGGGAGCTACAATTCAAGATGAAATTTGGGTGGGGACACAGCCAAACCATATCACTCAGCTTCCATTTTCCCTAATATTTCCTTCTGGAGCTCTTATTACTATGTGATGGACCTAAAATTCTATTTTCCATGTCTCTTAAACATTCTTAATTTTTTTACTACAATCTATTTCAAGCATAAGATAGATAAATTATAGAAAACAATATAACCCGCACCAGTAGGACATCTTTGTCAAACTATAGCATTTTGCTATAAATGTTTATTATACATATTTTTGAGAAATATAGATACAATTATATATAGATAAGCATATATGGATATAAAGATGTTTTTGAGAAATTATACATATAATTAAAATATCCTGGGTACTATCTCTGGATCTATTGTTCTTCCTGCTTCTCTCAAATTAACAATGATTCATGATTTTATATTTTTAGTGCATAAATATATCTTAAAATTTTATATCCAAGCTAAGCATTTTGATATAATCAGATATATCAATGTTTTCTTCATGTCATTTGCTTCTTCTGTTTTTGGTATATTGTTTAAGAAATTCTTACTCAATTTAAGGTTCATATATAAACAAATATATCTATATTTTCTTCTAACATCTAAAAGTGTTTTTCTTTTGACATTTATGTCTTTAAACCATCTGGAGTTTATATTCATGTAGGGTGAGGTAAAGATACATTTTTTTTGAAGATGAATAAACAATAGTTCAAGTGCAATTTATTAAATACGTTATTCTTTTCCCATTGATTTGAATTGTCAATTCCATTGTATGTCATTTCTATATATATGCTGGGGTCAACTGCTGGTTTCTGTTTCACTAGATTGTATTTCTAATTCTGAGGCAGTATAACATTACTTTAATTGTTATGTGTTATGTAAGTTATTCATTCCTAGTAAGACATGTTGTTTGGACATATTATTCTTCAAAAGTATTCTGCTTTCTCCCCAGTATAACAAAAGGCGTTTACTTTTTTATGGTTTTAAAAACCTTCAATAAAGTGTAATAGGTATATAAATTTGATTAAATATCAGTTGGTAGTTTGGTCATTTATATGTCATCAGAAAAAATACAATCATTTATTGAATACCATAATTCTGCACAGTTTCATAAAAACTGATTGATTTTACACGAACAGTCGCTATGCCTGAAGTCCTCTAGAGCTGTATGTTGCTATAGACAAGTATTCTAACAGATAATGTACTGGGACTGGTGGCAGTGGATCAATTTTCCAATAAAGTTTGTTTATCATATATTCATCATTGGACTTAATCACACTTTTCTTTTTTGGCTGCTTGTGCAAAATCATTACATGTTTAGATTTATTTGCTTTTGCACATACAGATCTGCATTTTACATTCACACTAGAGCACTTCTCCCTATTCATACTTCCAACTTTATTTTGGGTCACGGTATTTATATTGCCATTTTTATCACTTCTTTTAATGTTTAATGAGCTACTTTTTTTAAATAATTTTTTTAGTATTTATTGATCATTCTTGGGTGTTTCTCGGAGAGGGGGATGTGGCAGGGTCATAGGACAATAGTGGCGGGAAGGTCAGCAGATAAACATGTGAACAGAGGTCTCTGGTTTTCCTAGGCAGAGGGCCCTGCCGCCTTCCGCGGTGTTTGTGTCCCTGGGTACTTGAGATTAGGGAGTGGTGATGACTCTTAACGAGTATGCTGCCTTCAAGCATCTGTTTAACTAATGAGCTACTTTTGATAGATGGGTATATTTTCTTTGAATTAGAATGATAGCAATGAAACATGCAAATGTAACAAATTATTTAAGTGATAATATTCAATTAACTTGAAAACACTGTGAGCCCAAGAGACAATATTTCAGTTTAGTTGAATGTTAAGCAAGAGTTTCTTATTAATACAGTACAAACTCTTAAAGCCTATAAATTATTAGAACAGAATAAGATTTCAGCAAAACTTATAGTTAATCTTACATTTCAAATTTACAAAATATGTATAAATAATTGTTGTAAGTTTAAAAAACTTTTTAATTGCTAAACAGACAGATGGTCCTTCATGGACCATGAGGGACAGAGTCTGAGGTCAGCACTGTGAAAAGCCCTGTTCTTAAGCATTTGCTTCAAAAGTGCCATAGCTTTGTACTATGTATCAGAGAAGTAGAACCTTAATAATCGGAAGACATATACTTTGACAGAAGAGCTATACCAACCTCAAATGTAGTCAGAAGTAGACTCTAACATATTTTTCAATTTCACTCTGTTGCTCAGGAAATTCCCTATGATATCACACGATTCATATCCTTTCGGTGAACCACACACAGCCAGTGATCAAAGGATAGTCATTTTTATGATTTGAGAAGTTTGTGTGGATGTTTTCATAATATTTTAGAAGTTTCAAAGAAATCACATTCCTGGTTTAAAAAGGATTAAAGTGTTAAAAGGCTTACACACACACACACACACACACACACACACACACACACACAGAGCAGTTCCCATGATCCTTTACGCCTGAATTGTATTCCCCAAAAGCAATCACTTAAACCTTTAGCTTTTTTTCCCCTAGTATTTTACCTCTATATTTCTACCTATTGCTTTTTCCCAATTTATCAATTTTAAGCATTAATTTCTTTTCAGTCAACTTTTCCAGCTAGAATAAACTTGCTCTATTTATTTATTTATTTATTGTATTGAGACATGGTCTCCCCCTGTTGCCTTGGCTGGAGTGCAGTGGCACAGTCTCAGCACCACTACAACTTCTGCCTCCTGGTCTCAAGCAATATTCCCACCTAAACCTCCCAAGTATCTGGGACTACAGGCTGGAGCCACCATGCCTGGCTAATTTTTATATTTTTTGTAGAGATGGGATTTCGCCATGTTGCCCTGGCTGGTCTCGAACTCTAGGCCTCAAGTGATCCACCTGCCTTAACCTCCCAAAGTGCCGGGATTACAGGTGTGAGCCACTGCGCCTAGCCATATATTTTCTTATATTCCAAAAAGATTTTATGTAGATTAAAAGATATATAACTAATCTCTAAGTGCCTCCATTTTTAACCATAAATGGATATGATAACATAGGGTAACTATGAGAACTAAATGAATTAATATTTGCAAAGTGCTTAGAACAGTGTCTAGCATATGGTAAATTCCATATGGGTTTTTAAAAATAAAATAAACCATATAGCAAAAAGATGTAACTTCAAAATAAGTGAGAAAAATGATGCAAATAAAAAAAAAACAAAATGCAAAACACAAAATAATTCCCATGAAATCCTTTACACTAATGAGATATGGATCACAATCTTGGCTTTGAGCTTTCTGATACCAAGGCAGAATATGAATGACAATCACTTATATTGTTTGCAGAGTCTACAATTTAAAAACAAGAGCTAGTATGGTTCCTTACGTTAAGAAGAGAAAGAAATGCATCCTCAGATCCAAATATTTTCACTAAGTTTCTCATAGTGAACATAGTGTTGTTGGGCTGCATCTCATCATCCCATTCAGTCACATCATAAACAGTTCATTGAGCACATTCTAACACTGCTGAGGACCTGTGTAAGACCAGGCATTGTGTTTCAGTTCCACACCATCTTTACGGCCTGGGTTAGCTTAGGAGTAACTTTAAGAATGTCATTAGTGGCTGGACACAGTGGCTCACGCTTATAATCCCAACACTTTGTGGGCCTGAGGCAGGTATGGGTAACACAATGAGATCCATTTCTTTAAAAAACACAAAAAATTAGCCAGGGGAAGTGGTGCCTGCCTGTAGTTCCCGCTACCCGCTACTCGCTACTCTGGAGGTATAGGTGGGAGGATGGCTTGAGCCTGGAAAGCTGAGGCTGCAGTGAACTGTGGTCACACCACTGAACTCCAGCCTGGGCGACACAGTGACAACCTATCTCTAAAAAAGATTGCATAGAGTTGGTTGAATAACAAGTTGGTTTATTAAGCATGTAAGAATTGTATCTAAAATAGAAGCAAATAAGTCCTGAGAAATGGCCAGAGAGATTCTTCTTTGAGTAACATTCTGTAAGAGTATTACTTGGTTGTTCAGATAATTTTTTCATCTTCCTATTGATTCTTGGCTGTGTTCTGAATAATTGACTTTGCAAGATAACTGATCATGGAACAAATGCAATATTAATCTACACATGATACAATATTATGCTGAATAGGGTGTCAAAGGGAGAGCTTTCTTGCAAAATATTTCATGAGAAAGAGATTGCAGAATTGCTGCCGGGTGAGCCATCCTGTTATACATAATAGATCAGTTAAGGAAGAGCTCCAGGTGAATGGGGACCATATAAACCAAACTGTAGAACTGAATCATCCAAGGGTAGGAGACAGAGGTGTTGCAGGTCTGGGGCTTGGAGCTATAATGTCTTAGATATCCATTTGAAACACTGTTTGCCTGCCCTTAAAGCAAGAGTTTGGAGGTTAGTCACTGCTTCTCTTTATCAGTTTCATATTCCATGGGAGGAGTGAAGAGAAAGAACATTTTCTTCTTTCTTCCCTGAAATTTGGGCATATTGTCTCCAGTTTTCATTTAGTGATTTCATTATTACTATCAACATTTTAAGCACCTGGAGATACTTGGGAATGGGACAACAAAAGGAATGAACAATGTAATGCAATATGACCTTAAGAAGTTCATTTTCAACAGCATGAACAAGGATAACGAGGTCAATTTAGTTTTTCAAGTGGGTTGGTATAATTCAGTGAGCTTGAAAAGTGGAATGACATTCTCAAGAGAACAAGGAATGTATAGTTTGTAAAGTAAAAGCAAATCTTTGAGTTTTTTTCTGACAAAAAAAATTTACCCAATGTACTACTAACACAGTCAGAAGATAATTCATTAAGAATAGTTTTAGCGGTGGCTCGCTCCTGTAATTTATCACTGTGGGAGGCCAAAGTGCGAGGATCACTTGAGGCCAGGAGTTCAAGACCAGCCCTGCGCAACAAAATGAGACAGTATCTCTTACAAAAAGAAAGAAAGAAAGTACTTTTAGGCCAGGCATGGTGGCTCATGCCTGTAATCCCTACACTTTGGGAGGCTAAGGTAGGAAATTAATGGGGAACGGTGGTACATGTTTTTAATCCTGGTTACTCAGGAGGCTGAGGCAGGAGGATCACTTGAGTCCAGAAGTTTGAAGCTGCAGTGAGCTATGACTGCACCACTGCAGTCCAGCCTGGGTGACAGGGTGAGACCCCATCTGAAAAAACAAAACAAAACAAAAAAACCAGTAATTTAATCTTAGGAATTTTAGTTCATAATCTCTACCTGTTTGGATATATTCTTCCCACTTTAATCAGATCACCATTTGCTAGCAATTGCGCTCATTGATACTACTGCCAACTTCATGAATGAAATGGAGTATTTGAAATACTGACCCATTTATTTCTCTAAAAAACAAACCATTTCTCTTTATTTCTGAAATTTCTTCCCACACTTCCATTACCTTAGTCTCTATGAAGTTCTTACCAAATATCTAAATGCATCTCTTTCCTGTAAAAAAAAAAAATGAGCTTCAAAGTGGGTGATCATTACATTGTCTATTGGCTTGTTCAATTTACTTTAAGGTCATGCAAAAACTACATTATCCCAACTACAAATAAATTGCTTAAATTGAGGTCAGAGGTAGCCTAAGGAAGTAGCTTTCTTCATTGAGCCACCTGAGCCTACCCCCAGAATTCATTGACCCACATACCCAACACATGTTCACAATGGATTCAAAATGCCCTACAGTGAACCAGCCTCCTGCGACTTTCTTTGTAATCTTATCATCCACAGATTCCCAGAGAGCTCGGGAATCAACATGTGTGTCTATACTGATAAATGGCAGCAGGGCTTACAATGAAAATGGGAGCTAGGAAATGGGACTGAATCTTTGTTTATGGAGAACAGGAGGTACAGGGAGCACTCATCTCCATCTTACCAAAGAGTGAGGCTGGAGGAAGTTCTTACTGGAAAAAATTGCAACTGAGACCTCTTAATGTACTTTTTCTCTTCCTTCTATGGTAGAATCTGTTATTTACTATCAGGACATTTCTGGTTTTTTCTTTGTTTTTACTCAGTTCACTAAATTATTATTTTTTTAACTTAATTTTTTTGGCTGAGAGTGATGGTTCATACCTGTAATCCTAGTACTTTGGGAGGCCAAGGTGGGAGGATCACAGGAAGCCAGGAGTTCAAGATCAGCCTGGGCAACAGAGCAAGATCCCACCTCTACAAAAAATTACAAAAATTAGCCAGGCATGGTGGCAGTGTCTGTAGTCCTAGCTACTCAAGAGGCTTGAAGCAGGAGGAATGCTTGAGCCCAGGAGTTCAAGCCTGCAGTGAGCTATGACTGTGCCACTGCACTCCAGCCTGGGTGACAGAGTCAGACCCTGTGTCTACACATACATACATACATACACATATAACATATATATATATACACACACACATACATATATATATTTACTGAATAACATTAAAAAATTAACACATAGTAATTATAATTAGCGTATTTATAATCTTATTTGCATTTATCATTTCTTTCTATTGGGGACATTCAGTTTTCTCTTTCTGTTTTGTTTTGTTTTTAAACAGAGTCTCCCGCTGTCACCCAGGCTAAAGTGCAATGGTCAGAACTCACTGCAGCCTGGACCTCTTGAGCTCAAGCAATCTTCCTGCCACAGCTGTCAAGTGGTAGCTGGGACCACAGGTGTGCACTACCACGACCACTAATTAAAAAAAAAAAATAGTAGAGATGAGGTCTTTCTATGTTGCTCAGGCTGGTTTTGAACTCATAGGCTCAAGGAATCTTCCCACCTCAGCCTCCCAAAGTGCCAGGATTACAGGCATGAGCCACTGCACGTGGCCAATATCCTCTTTCTAGCTCTTTGAAACTATGTAACATATTATTATTAACTATAGTCATCCTCCAGTGGTATAGAACACTAGAACTTATTCCTCCTATCTAGGTGTAATTTTGTATCGTTTAACAAATCTTTCCTTATTTCCCTCTTAGCTCTCCTCCTTTCCAGCCTCTAGTATACTCTGTTCTATTTTTTACTTCTGTGATATCCACTTTTTTTAGATTCCACATAAGAATGAGAACATGTGGAGTTTAACTTTCTGTTCTTGGCTCATTTCACTTAACACAATATCCTCCAGTTCCATTCATGTTGCTGTGAATCACAGAATTTCATTCTTTTTTATGGCTGAATGGTATTCCACTGTGTATATATACCATATTTTCTTTATCCATGCATCTGTTGTTGTACAACTAGGTTGATTTAATATCTTGGCTAATATGAATAGTGTGGCAATTAAACATGGGGGTGCAGAGGTCTCTTTGATATACTGATTTATTTTCCTCTGGATAAATGCCCATAATGGGATTGCTGAATTATGTGGTAGCTCTATTTGTAGTTTTGTTTTTTTTTTTTAAACATTCGCACTCTTCTCCATAGTGGCTGCACTAGTTTACTTTCTCAAAACAGTGTATGAGTTCCCATTGCTCCACATCCTTGCCACCATGTTATTTTTTGTCTTTTTGATCATAGCCATGCTAACTCTGGTGAGATAATATACTATTGTAGTTTGATTTGCATTCTCCTGATGATTAGTGATGTCAAGCACTTCTTCATGTATTTATTGACTGTTTGCCTTCTTTTGAGAAATGTCTGTTCAGATCATTTGCCAAGTTTTTAATCGGATTTTTTTTTTTTTTGGCTATTGAGATGTTTGAGTTCCTTGTGTATTTTGGATGTTAAGCCCCTTTCTCATTTGTTTATTTTTGTTTATGTTGCTTATGCTTTTGAGGTCTTATACATAAAATCTTTTTACAGACCAGTGTCCTGAAGCATTTCCCCTGTTTTCGTCTAGTAGTTTTATAGTTTTGGGTCTTACATTCAGGTCTTGGATCCACTTGAGTTGATTTTTTTAATAGGTGACAGGTAGTTCCATTCTTCTGCATATGGATATCTAGTTTTCCCAGCACCATTTATTGAAGAGATTGTCCTTTACCCTATGAGTATTCTGGGTGCCTTGTGAAAAATCATTTGGCTGTAAATGTGTAGATTAATTTCTGAGTTCACTATTCTGTTCCATTGGTCTATGTATCTGTTTTTATGACAGCACTGTGCTGGTTTTGCTACTACAGCTTTGTAGTATATTTTGAAGTCTGGTAGTGTGATGTCAGCAGCTTTGTTCTTTTTTGCTTAGGATTGCTTTTTTTGTGGTTCCCTACCAATTTTAAGGTTTTTTTCCTATTTCTGTGAAGAATATCATTGGTAGTTTTGATATTAATTGCATTGAATCTGTAGATTGCTTTTGGTAGTATGGTCATTTTTACAATATTAATTCTTTCAATCCATGAACATGGATGCAAATGTCTTTTCATTTTTTTTGACCTCTTCAATTTCCTTCATCAGTGTTTTATAGTTTTCCTTGTAGAGATCTTTCACGTCCTTGGTTAAACTTATTCCTTTGTTGTTGTTGTTTTTGTTTTTATTATTGTTAAATTTATTCCTAATCATTGTATTTTCTTTGTAGCATTTGTAAATAGGATTGCCTTCTTGATTTTTTTTAGCTAGTTCACTATTTGTGTATAGATATGTTACTGATTTTTTTTTGTTTTTTTTTTTTGAGATGGAGTTTCACTCTTGTTGCCCAGGCTGGAGTGCAATGGCATAATCTTGGCTCACTGCAACCTCTGCCTCCCGGGTTCAAGTGATTCTCCTGCCTCAGCCTCCTGAGTAGCTGGGATTACAGGCATGTGCCACCACACCTGGCTAATTTTGTATTTTTAGTAGGGATGGGGTTTCTCCACATTGGTGAGGCAGGTCTTGAACTCCCAACCTCAGGTGATCAGCCTGCCTTGGCCTCCCAGAGTGCTGGGATTACAGGCATGAGCCACCATGCCTGGCCCTGTTACTGATTTTTGTATGTTGATTTTCTACCCTGAAACTTTACAGAATTTGTTTACCAGTTCTAAGGGTATTTTTTGATAGTCTTTAGGGTTTCCTATGTATAAGATCATGTCATCTGCAAATGGACAATTTGTCTTCCTCTTTTCCAACTTGTATGCCCCTCATTTATTTCTCTTGCCTTATTGCTTTGGCTACAACTTCCAGTACTATGTTGAATAAGAGTAGTGAGAGTGGGCCTTGTCTTGTTCCAGTTCTTAGAGAAAGCTTTTTCCTGTTCAATATGATGTTAGATGTGGGTCTGTCATATATGGCCTTTATTGTGTTGTTACACTTTCCTTCTATACCTGATTTATTAGGAATTTTTATCATAAAGGGATATTGAATTTTAGCAAATGCTTTTTCTGCATCTATTGAGATGATCATATGGTTTATATCCTTTATTCTGCTGATGATGTGATGTATCACATTTATTATTTGCATATGTTGAGCCATCCTTGCATTCCTGGGATAAATTTTACATGATCATGGTGTATTATCTTTTTGATATATTGTTGGATTCAGTTTGCTAGTATTTTGTTGAGAATTTTTGTGTCTATGTTCATTAAGGATGTCGGCCTACAGTTTTCTTTTGTTGTTGTGTCCTTGTCTATTATCAGGGTTATGCTGAGCCTCATAGAATGAGTTAGGAAAAGTTTCTTCCACTTCAATTTTTTGGAACAGTTTGAGAAAAATCGGTATTAATTATTCTTTAAAGGTGTAATAGAATTAAGCAAGAAAACCATTCAGTCCTGGACATTTCTTTGTTTAGAAGATTTTTATTACTGATTCAGTCGTGTTACTTGTTATTGATCTGTTCAGGTTTTCTATTTCTTCTTGGTTCAATTTTGTTGATTATATGTGTCTAGGAATTTATTCATTTTACTTTTAAATCTATTGGCATATAATTATTCAAAGTAGTCTCTAATGATTCTTTTTATTTCTGTGGTATCCATTGTGACATCTCTTTATCTTTAATTTCTGATTTTATTTATTTGGGTCTTCTATCTCTTTTTCTTAGTCTAGCTAATGGTTTGTCAATTTTATCTTTTCAAAAAAACCAGCTTCTTATTTCACTGATCTTTTGTATTTTTTGTCTCAATTTTGTCTATTTTGATCTTTATTATTTCTTTCCTTTTACTACTTTTGGGTTTTTTTTTTTTTTGGTTTTCTATTTCTTTGAGATGCATCATTAAGTAGTTTATTTAAAATCTTTTTATTTTTTGATGTAGGTATTTACTACAAACTTGCCTCTCAATACTGCTTTTGCTGTATCCAGTAGGTTTTGATATGTTGTGTCTCTATTTGTTTCAAGAAGTTACAACATTTTATTCTTAATCTCTTTCTTCATCCGTTGGCCATTCAGGAGCATGTTGTTGAATTTCCATGTATTTGTATACTATTTTTTGTTTGTTTTTCTTTTTGTTTTTTGTTTGAGAGACACAGTCTTACTCTTGCCCAGGCTGAAGTGCAGTAGCATGATCATAGCTCAAGCAATCCTCTTGCCTCAGCCTCCTGAGTACATGGGACTACAGGTATGTGCCACCATCCCCAGCTAATTTTTGAAATTTTTTGTACAGATGGGATCTTGCTATGTTTGCCCAGGCTGGTCTCGAACTCCTGGCCACAAGTGATCCTCTGGCCTTGGGCTCCCAAAATGCTGGGATTATAGGCATGAACCACTACATCCGGCCCGTTTGTGTAGTTTTAAATGTTTCTCTTGCTGTTAGTTTCTAGTTTTATTCCACTGTGGTTAGATAAGATACTTGTTATGATTTAAGTTTTTTGAATTTTTTTAGACTTGTTTTGTATCTTAACATATGGTCTATCTTGGAGAATGTTCTATGTGCTGATGAGAAAAATGGGTGTATCTCCAGCTGTTGATTGCAATGTTCTGTAAATCTCTGTTAGGTACATTTGGTCCATGCTACAGTTTAAATTTGATGTTTCTTTGTTGGTTTTAGATCTAGATAATCCGTCCAGTGCCAAGAGTGGGGTGTTGGAATCCCCATCTATTATTGATGGGGGTTTATCTTTCTCTTTAGACCTAATATTTGCCTAATTCTCTTTAGACCTAATTATATATCTGGATGCTCTCATGTTGCCATCTGGAATTTTTTATTTCCTTACTTATCTTTTTGAGAATACTAAACCACATGGAGAGCTACAAATTTTTAATTATAGGGAGGGTATTTGGGGGTTTTCCAAGCCTACCTATTCAAATATGAAGAATTGAAAACAATTTCCCAAAGTTAATTTATGTTAGTTATTGTGAAAATTATCATAGTTCTCTTTTATATGAAGCACTAGGGAAAAATGTTGAGACTTTAAAAGTGATCTTGTTTCTAATGATGGGCAAATAAGATGCTTGAACCTGTTTCTAAATGAATGCAAGTTACAAGTTTCAGTAGACTTTCAGTCTACTGAAACCATTTGAGTGGGCTGCCTTGGATGTCCAGCCCAACTGAAACTTTAGATCACTTCTGCCCTCAGGTGACCTCTAAACACCACTTCATGAGAGATCCCAAGGAAGACCCACCCAGGTGAGTGCAGTCAGTGCACACACCATGAGAGAAATTACTTTACTTTATTGAAATTATGGATAGGCATTATAGAAATAAATTATTGTTGATATATTAAAACCATATTAGTCCATTTTAAAACATTTTATTTCAAAGTTGAGCACTGAAGGTTGAACATAATATTCCTTTTTGCTAGACCATATGTTCTTCCAGGAAAGAAAATGGGCCTATTTAGTGTGGAATTTCCAGTTTTTAACAGAGTGGCTTGTACTTAGTAGGTATTCAATAAATGTTTGTTAAATGAATTACTTTTCCATTTTATGCTACATTCAGTCCAATTTTTCTACTCACTAAAATCTCTATTCTATTGCAGGTAGTTATTTTATAAACTGAATTCATAATACTATCCTGTGATTGCCAAAGAATGTGGTTCTGATGAGTGGACAAGTTTCAGCACATTTTAATGTAGTGATTAGTAATGCTGAAGCTTACATAAGGTTTTATTGACATTATACATATGCATATGTGTTTATACAGATGTTTACGCACAAAACAGGCTATAGATTCTTTAGCCCGATTTGTTGACCCCACTGATTTAAACAAAGATAATACAATTCATTTTTGTATTTGCTATGGACAAGGGGAAAAATTCATTTTTATAATAATTAAACAAGTGTTTGATAAGTAATATTATAGGATAAACATTTACATTTTAGTGACAGTATTCTCAAATATTTTAGATGCCCTGTTAGCAAACAATTAAAATGGTCATTTTTAGTGTTTATTTATTCATAAAAGGGAGTTAGCTTAATAGGGCTATTTGTTCAGACTTTGTTAGTATTTTCTTTCAAGTAGGTACTAAAATTCAGTGTAAACCTTATAGCAACAGTAAGACACTATTGGGCAGGATCATGGCTTCATATGGGGAGCATGAGTTTTAGAGTCCCAAGGAGTCTAAATTCTAATGTAAGCTCTGTCCCTCACTGATTGGTGATCAATCTAATTACTCAACCACTTTCCTCAGTTTCCTCAAATCTCATAGAGTTTGCAAGGTGCCTGCATTGTGTCTGGCCATAGTAGGTGATCAATAGATATTAGATCCCTTTGCTTCCCCTGCACTGGATACAGGATCAGTCTAGTTCTAGAACCAACTCCCTCCCTTCCATACAGCCTCCATTACTGATATCTCTAACAGGCAAGTATCAGAAAAAGTGATTACCATAAGCTTAAAGCCTTTCTGATTATAAAATCACATCTGTCAGCTTACTCTTGACTCCTTCACTTTTTGTTTCTTCTAGTTTCAGTTCTAGTTATACTCTTGAAGCATTACCAAATTGAATCCCTCCTTCCCTCCCTCCTTCTCTCCCTCCCTTCCTTCCTTCCTTCTTCTGTTTATACATAGTGGGCACAACTGTCTTCTCTGGGCCCAAAACAATAAATAGGAAAAATTTTCTTCCTTATGGACTTTACATCCTAATGCTGGAGACAGACAATGAACACATAAACAAGGACTGTAGTAAGATAATGAAGAAAAACAAAGCAGGGTGCAAGGGATGGGGTATCATTTTAGATAGAGTGGTCATGATGGGCCTCTCAGAGCCTGAATAAAGAGAAGGGCTTTACGCCTGCAAATATCTGAGGGAGGAGAGTGGATGAGAAGTCCTGAGGCAGAAGCATACCTGTCCTAGAAGAAGCAAAGATAGATGTGGTTAAAGTGAGAAGGGGGTGGGCCGAAAATTTAGACCATATCAGCCAGCATAGGGCTAAGGATTGTTTTTAACTTTTTTGGAAAAAAAATTGAACTTGCAGAAAACTTGTAAAAATAGTACAATGAACTTTTGTATATGCGTCACCTAAATTAATTATTAAATTTCTGCCACATTCAGGCTATTTATCTAGCTATGTATACACATACACATTACCATTATCTGCTGAATTATTTGAGAATAATTTGCAGACCTTTTACTTCAAAATATCTCAGTGTATGCCTCTAAGAACAAGGATATGCTCTTTAATAATTCATAAAAATTTAACATTGTATAACACTATAATCTAAGAGTTCATATTCAAATTTTATCCGTTGTCTCAATAATGTCCTTTAAGAACCATTTTTCCCCCTCATCAGGGTCCAGAATCCTACACTGACTGCATCTAACTGCCATGTCTCTTTAGTCTCCTTTAGTCTGGAACAGATCCTCAGCTTTGCTTTGTCTTTTATGACACTGCTCTTTTTGAAGAGTACAAGTCAATACTTTTGTAGAAAGTCCATCAATTTGTGTTTGTCTATAGGTTTTGAATTTTATTCTAAATGTGATGAAAACCAGGGGGGAGTTTTGAGCAGGGAGTGATTCTATTATGTTTTGTAGGTTCTATCTGGTTGCCACATGGCGAGCTGGAGCCCACAGAGGAGCAAGTGTGGAGGCAGGAAGGCTCGTGAATAGTGTCTTGCTATAGTCCAGGTTAGAGTCCATGGAGGCATGGGCAGGAGAAAGAGTCAGCAGGGAGACCTTTCGAATGGTCAGATTTGGAATATGTGTAACATAGTTTTCTGGTGAACTTAATGTACGGTGTGAGACGAAAAGAGACATGGCCAATTCTTTGAGCCACTATTTAAGCCTGAGCCCTGGTGAAGGGTGGTGCCATCGCTAGACACAGGAGGAGGCTGTGGGTTGAGCAGAGAGTGTTTGTGTGTGGGTGACAGGAATCAAGTGTTTGGTTTTATATTTGTTACATTTGAGATCTTTATGAGATATTAATGTGGAAGTGATATGTAGGTAGCTGGAAATACAAGGCTGGAATTCAGGTGAGAGACTGGGATTGGAAAAGCAAACTATCTAAATCTCAGTACTGATAACAAGAATACCTACCTTTATTAAGCACCATTGATGTGCTAGGTAATTTGGTAGGAGCTTTATATATACATAACACCCTCAAAACTCAACAAATACAGTGATATTAGCATTAATAGCACAACTTTCCAAGATTCTTGCCCCATCTGCCTCCTATAGATTCCACTCAGATACCTAGGTGTGAGTGCTACAGGGATGAATTACATGGGCTTTTGGATAAATCTTGCTAACTGGGTGGTGCCTCTGCCCTGTACCACTTCCTCCGAGTGTGCCTGTGTTCCTCCTGCTGTGCCCAGCTGGACTGCTGCTTTTCCTGAGGAGCTTAGACTGTCCTGGATGCTGTTGCCCAGCACTGCTGGGCGCTGGTGCTTTGCTTTCTCCTGCTGCGCCACACCACCAATGCCTTAGAGCCCCAAAGTGCCAAAAATTCAAGAAGGCCTGTGGTGAAATGAGGGAGATGCCCACTGCTCTTTTTGTATTATGCTATCTTACCTGGCCTAAGCTAAGCCAAAGGGATTCTCCCCTGAGGATGTGAACTCTCTGTAGGTGGACGAAACTATAACTCTGTGAGGTGGCCATGTTCCACCATGGGTACCTGCGAGGTAGAGAAGTCAGCTTGCCAAGTTCGAGAGGAGAAAGTGACTTTAGAGTCAGAAGCAAAGATGAGATCCTAACAGCTTCCCAGGCTCCATTCCTGCCCTTGGGTTCCACAAGGTACCTCTGTAACCATAAAATAAATCCCTCCCTTCTCCCTTCATGCTGGAGATAGTTCAAATTAGATTTTATTGACAAAACCAGTCTTGGCCAGTTATGCTCTCTAATGCCTGAGGGATCTATATAAATTTTAAGCCGGGCGTGGTGGCTCACGCCTGTAATCCCAGCACTTTGGGAGGCCGAGGGGGGCGGATTACAAGGTCAGGAGATTGAGACCATCCTGGCCAACATGATGAAACCCAGTCTCTACTAAAAATACAAAAATTAGCTGGGTGTGGTGGCGTGTGCCTGTAATCCCAGCTACTCAGGAGGCTGATGCAGGAGAATCGCTTGAACCCGGGAGGTGGAGAGTGCAGTGAGCCGAGATGGTGCCACTGCACTCCAGCCTGGCGACAGAGTGAGACTCTGTCTCAAAAATAATAATAATAAAATAAATAAATAAAAATAAATTTTAAAAACCATGATATGAAAGGATACATGGTTGCTCCCTGTCACTGCTCTTCTCCATAAACACCTCAAGCATTGCCTGTATTTTTGTCTCCCTAATCAGTGTTTCTATTAGCTGTATACAACTTTGTTAATCATCTCTCTTCCACCCTTCTCTGTCACTTGCTCCATGTTCCCTTTCCCATTTCTGTTATTTTTATAGTTTTTTGACATCTTTTCATTAGTTTTTTCCCATGTTGCCTTTTTATTGAGCATCTGTGTAAAATTTCTCACAACGCCTCTCACCTCTCCCATTTGAAACCATTTTAAGATCAGAGAGGAGAAGGGCATTGCTCAATTGGGCCAATTTAAATCTGTCAGCCTTCATGGCAGATGGCCTCTTCTCTTTCTTTTCTTCATTGTCTATTTCAAGCAATTCTGAGAAGATAAGAATGCTATCGTTGGCCTAGGCTGAGCGGGAAGGGATCTGTGGATAAGAATTACGGTGATGATGTGAGCACTGGAAGCCCAGTTTCCACACCTTTTTTATACAACCCTGTCTATCGAAACATTTCAGAGTGTCCTTTCCCAAAGTTCGATGCTCTCTATGCTGGGACTATGATTTGCCAAGGTGTACAATACATGACTAGCAGTGGCTAGCAATAATTTCTCCAGTAGTAGCTTTTCCTCAGAGTTCTTTCTGTCCCCAGTTTATCCCTAATTCCTGAAGTTATGTCCAGGGCAAATGGTTACTCACAAGTCAGTGTTATTTTTTTAGTAGGTGCTTTAAAGAACGTATGCTGGATTTCTGGGGTGGCTGCAGTGAGGGGGCCAGTAGGAAGCACCTGATATGCACAGGTTTTGCATTTGGTCTCATGCATTCTGCTAGGAACCATGTGCACAGCACATCTCCCTCATAGATGTGAATAAACTCTGCAAAACTGTGGCCCCGTCCTAAATTCTTGGATGTTCACAGGGGCATACATGCAAATTTCATTCTAGGAATAGCTTATAGGTTTGCCAGTTCCCAAAGGTGAACATACAACTCACTATCAATCTTAGGTCCATTTCTGAGTAATGCAGGTTGAACACTAGGTTTGTATCAGGTCCCATGCTAAAAACTTTAAAATGCAGCAAATTGAACCTCACAATGAATGTTGGAGGTGTGAATTTCTTTTAGAATTCTTACTGTAAAGATGAGGAAACTGAAGCCTAAGTACAGCTTGGCACGTCTGAGGCCACATAACTAGTAAAGTAGGTGGATTTAAACTCAGAACTGTCTACTCCACAGCCCAAAATCTTGACCACTATGGTATGCTGCCTCAAGGCAGAATATATAAAATAAATGACCATGCACAGATGAACCCTTCAAAATGGCCTGCAGCTCAAAATGTAACCAGAATGCATTCCATATTTATCATTTTGCTTTGTGAGCTCTTCCTGTCCTGTTGCTACCCTTCCTCCCAGCTCCCCAGGTACACTTCCCCAACCTTCAAATGTCATCCAGATTTCCAATTTGACAGGATGCTGAGGATCTTGTATGGCATGCTGCCTCAAATTATTTCACTCCTTTTTCCTTTTCCTTCCCAAGAAGGAAGATGAACATTCATGAGCTGACTCAGGCCGAGAATCTTTCCCTTCCACTTAGGGTGAGCCAATCAATAGCTCTACCCACAGTCCTCACTGTGCTGATGACCAACACTGCATTAATGGCATTGCTATTTAGCAGCGCAAAAGAAGGGCTCACTAGAAAATAAATTTATTGTCCCCCTCCATCTCCCCCTTCAGTGAATCCCACCTTACTGCTTCCTGTTAGAAGGCTTTGGAAACCCTGTGGGTTATCAAATAGCACCATTTCCCTTGGCGGTGTTACACTATTGATTGAGATAATGTTATCTTCTGAAAATGTCATCTATGGCAGGTGCAATTCCTACTTGGTTAATTCATCTGTGGCTAGGTCTTGTATATTCAATCTGGTAGCAGAATGCTTTTTTTTTCCTTCTGGAGTTGGAGTTTTCATTACTGAAATAAAAAATGGGTCATAGAAATATTACTCATGAAGAACTCAGAAAACATTGCCCTGTTGCTTTCTTCCTGCTGAAGTTTGATAGGCCTACTTTATTACATTGCAGTTGGCAGGACCAGTTTACTCAATTGGTTTAACATCATTCCAAGGAGGGTGAGGGCATCCATTCTGGCTTTGTAGAATGTTTGTTAGTGTATCCTGCTGGGTGTTGGTTGGATTTCACACATATTTCACCGTCAGGGAGCCATGACATAACCTTTTGGGTACAAAGGACAGCATATTCTATTATTTAGTTGATAGTATCAAATGGCATGCTTATTAGAGGTACCTGGGGGAAGAAGAGCAGAATTTTTTTTTTTTTTAAGTCTCGCTCTGTCACCCCAGACTAGAGTGCAGTGGCATGATCTCAGCTCATTGCAACCTCTGCCTCCTGGGTTCAAGCGATTCTTCTGCCTCAGCCTCCCGTGTAGCTGGGATTACACGTATTCGCCGCCACACCTAGCTAATTTTTGTATTTTTAGTAGAGATGGTAGTTTCACCATGTTGGCCAGGCTGGTCTCGAACTCCTGACCTCAAGTGATCTGCCCGCCTCGACCTTCCAAATTGCTGGGTTTACAGGCATGAGCCACTGTGCCCAGCCAAAGAGCAGTAAATTTAAAGGAAAATACCATCTAAATAATAACAATTGCTTTCATGTGACTTGTCCATTTGGAAGACATACAGAAAAGGGATAGAAGCAGAAAGAAACAATATGGTTTAGGTTTAGGTAACAATATGGTTAGGTAGTGAAATAATAAAGAACTTTGAAACTGCTCCTTGAACATCCTGATTACTTTCTCTGTGGGGGAGACATTGGTTCACATACAAATAGAACAGGGAGAAAATCTGCAGCAAGGTATCTTTGCTCAGAAAGGACAGCAGCAATCCAAGACTGTTATCCCAGCTAGTTCCAGACAATAGAATACTGCCAATGCTACAAAATTAAAAATAAACAAGATAAAAAATAAATCAGATAACAGGACTCTTAGGGTTGATGTCGCTGTTGGGATTTTGGAGTTGACGTTTCAGTCCCCAAAGAGCTGGAGTTCTGGGAATGAAGACAGAATGGTAAAGAATTATTTTTGACTTTAAGCATAAAAGTCAAATAGTCTATAGCACATTTCGTTCTGCTATAGATTATCTGCATTCTTTCAGCACAGACACATCACTGGGTACTCAGTGACTATGTCATTTCATCCTATTTTATGTGGTTCAGCTGATATGATTGTCTTTTTTTTTTTTTTTTTGCTCTGAACTGCTACATGTAAATAGTCAACTGCAATGGTTAAGCTTTTTTCTTTAAGAAACGATTATGGCCAGGTGTGGTGGCTCATGCCTGTAATCCCAGCACTTTGGGAGGCTGAAGCAGGCGGATTGCTTGAGTCCAGGAGTCTGAGACCAGCCTGGGCAACATGGTGAAACCCTGCCTTCAGTCTCTACAAAAAATACAAAAATTAGCTGGGGATGGTAGCATGCACTTGTAGCCCCAGCGACTCGGGGGGATCACTTGAACCCTGGAAGTTGAGGCTGTAGTGAGCTGAGACTGCACCACTGCACTCTGGCCTGGGTGACAGAGTGAGACCCTGTCTCCAAAAGAAAAAAAAAAAAAAAGAAGAAATGATTACATGTATGTTTATCCCAGTCAGAATCTGATCCATTTAGTATTCTACCTAATACAAGTAACAGTGCTTCTCTGTGCCTTTTGTTTCAGTTATTTTCCTAACTTTTCTACCCTTTGGTGTGTTTCTTGAACAAAGACCAACTTGTGATCTCTTGATGTCTCTTTTTAAAACCCAAGAAGTGAGGATTTGTTTTCAAAGCCAGAAAATCCTGCCTTCCCAAATCCTCCCCACCAGGAGGAAGTCGTTACTGTTCACATCACCTTAAAAAGAACTAGAGTGCAGGCTGTATGTCTTCAAGGGACCAAAACTGTTACTAAAGACAGAACTTTGGGACAATACTAGTGGACCAATCTCACTGATACGGATTTGTAACTGCTTAAAATTTCAAAAGAAAAAAAATGACAGTAATGCTATAGTTTTGAAAATCAGCGAATTTGTGGGCAGGTGGCATGACTTATCAGTAACCTTTAGGGATTTTATACAATTCCCCCTCCCCCGACTCCCTTTCTTCTGCAGCTCTCAGTTCTTCCAGCAGGTGTCCCTATAATCACAGAACAGACATTCCACAGCAAGGTATGTAACTTTATTTTTCTAGCATAATAATTTAAAGTATTTACACACTGCACACTCACTGTTTTACACAGATACGTATTCATATATCTATGAACCACATCTAAAGGTTTCTTTGCAAAGACTCGACACACTGTTGGGGGGGGGGGAGCTTCCAAGCATAACAAAGAGGACAAAAAAAAGTTTTGAGTCTTTTAAAGACAGCCATGTGGAGCATCTGTGAAAACCAGTGTTTCCCCCGTTTTAAGCTCCCCCAGGAGACCTCTGAACAGCTATAGCCTATCCACATGTTGGTATGACCTGAAATTCTTCTAGCTAAGGTTTCAAGAACCAACATGTGCAAGCAGCATTTTTTCTAGAAATCTCAAAAAAGGAGAAAATAAACCTGGCCCTTACGTAGAGAAATACATCTATTTCTGAAAGTAATCTGTGGGGATTGTTTTACAGGGACACCGATTACAAGGGCAGAATAGCAAAATACACTATTACTAGTGATGCAGGGTGCTTTTAAATGTCACTTCCAGCTAAATGATATGGCAAAATAACCCAATCTTCTTTTCCCAACTATCAGTAAGGGTGGTTGTTATTTTCCCTGAAAAGAGCAAAGGTATATTTATTAATGATACACACTCTAAACCCAGATCCTATAGAAATTTCTTCTATTGCTTTTACTTCACTTTCATATTATTTGCACAAAAATAGTGGTTATCCTCCGTATTTTTTCCTCGCTTGTACTACTCAATTATAAAACAAATTATTAACGATAGCTTCTGAATTTGGTACATGGCATCATAGGTGAACAAAAAAAGCCACAGTTCAGAGCTGATGGTCAGTCCGTCTCTAGTCCAGCTTCTATAAAAGGAAGGCGGGTTTAGGTTTCAACTCTCTATAGTTGAATCTCCATGAGTAAGAAGGAGATGCCTTCCTTATTTTCCCAGACTGCCCAAGATTATTCTCTCATCAACACAAGGTAGAGGTTTGCCACCTCTACATGAATTCACAACTCCACTCTGTGACTGGGTGGCACATCAGTTCGCTAAGAAGTTAAACTTTACAAAATGACGTCCTCTTCCTCTTGCCGGTATGGGCCTCTGGCAGTGTCACTGATCAATAGGACATGGCAAAAGTAACTACCTGGAGAACTAAAACTAAGCATAATCTTGGCCTGAACTACTACGGTAAAGATAGTATCTTTTATTTCTGTTTATGTAAACTTATCAACAAATTATTAAAGCAGAAACTCTATCACTTCTTGGAACTAAAGATTTACATCTAGCTATAACAATAGAAACCTACCTATCCTGGAGTTAACTTTCTCAGATTACTGCTCCTGACTTTTGCTGTTCTTTTCCTTTTGCAAGGGGGTGCCAACAATGGATGGAAGAGGCAAGGAGATCTTACTTTATAGGAATTTCTCCAAGTTACAACGAGCAACTGACCAAATCATATTCAACTACAGGTGTTGAGAGAGAGAGTACCTGACTTCAGACCACCTGGGAAGCACAATGCTTAGTTAACAAGAATATCTGGATTAAGCAGTGCCGAAGTGGCCGCACACCGAGTCAGGCCAAGGAAGCTCTTCTGTCATTGCCGCCCAACTCTGTTCCACTTTGCATGCAGACATATCAAAGACTGTGATGAAGATCATGGTGGACAAGGAAGAATGAAAAACTTTGTGATGGGATCTGGGCCTCTACATTAGAGAAAGAACCTAACAAACCCCAGTTCTTTGGATTCGTAAGGTGAGGCTGAGGAGGGCTTACTGGAGTTGGAGACAGGGAGAGCTGTGTTTCTGGGCTCAAAGCCAAGAAACGGTTAAGAAGAGGGGCTTGCATCAGTCATATAGATTAAAAAGAGCAAGGCATGATAATTACTAAATTTATAGTTTCATGTTTTAACACAGAAGAGTCAGAGGGAAAACTGACAATTTAAAACGGGGCATGGGATGAGAAAAAGTCTAGGAGTTACTGAGATGCCTGGTACTTATCTACAAAACTTCCATCACTAGACCCTTTTGACCTACGAGAATAGCAGTTTCTATGGTTCAACCTAATACACTGTATGGGCTCAAATATATAACAATTAGAATTGAGAGTAATCAGAATACCAATAATACCCCCCCTTCTGAAAAAGTAACAGCTCTTAGATGAAGAGAGCTTCTTAAGATCAGCGTTTAAGAGTCAAAGCACCTGTAAGGGAGAGTTAACGACCCTTTCAAATCAAGTGAGGGCAGAAGGGTGAGGGCATAGTTCAAAGGAACGAGGCAGCTCCACCGGAAGGTGGCGAGTAAAAGCTGCACACCGTGGCAAATCAGTAGCAATGGGAAAGGGCAGGAAGGTACAGCCAAGAATAGCTACAAACAACTGGTCACCTTCAAAGGAAACGCTGCATATGGATGTCTGTGTATATGTACTATACATATCAACCAAGCACACACATAAATATTTAATATATAAAAAATAAAGTGCTTTCTAACAGGTCCCTGGGCAGGGACATTATAAAACATTTCACAGAACTGCAAAACAAAATTGATACAATCAAAGAACACTACATCCAACATATGTGAAAACAGCCAAACACAGTATGTACAATCTGGTGGGTGTCCCAGGACAAACATCCTGTCATATACATGGTATATACATATATACTCTTTTACTCAATATATTATGACAATATATATTTTAAAATTTTGTTATAGACAAAAAATAAAAAACCAAAACAAAAGACAACCCCTACAAAAACACGATAAGGATCAAGCAGGTGAGTCCTAGACTGACAGACAAATCACTGCCTCCACGGGGAGTCCCATTGCCACTGCTGGGGAAAATGTGCCAGCGTTCCTTCCTTGGGTGCAGGGCCTCCACATCCTCCAAGGCACTGTGGGCTGCGGCAGTAAAGTTGGCATCACCAGTGGTGAGCAGGTCGAAGACACAGGACTGGAAATAGATGTCCTTCACTGGCATCTTCTCATGGCATTGAGTGTTGGCAGTCTCCAGTGTGTAGCCAGGCCAGGCCTGCACCAAGGAGGTGCGAGGCAGGCTGTGTCCCAGGATGGCAGACACCTGGCCCTGCCCGTCATCGATGCGTTCACTCAGGGGGCAGCCGTTCACGCACAGCTGCAGGTCCTGGCTCTCCTCGTAGGACATGGCCAGGTCTTCAGGCATACGGATGGCAAGGGTCAGGTAGCGACCCACCTGCCGCACAAACACTGTGGTCCCTATATAGCGGGCGTGCATCTCCACATAGTGGCCACTCTCCCTTTCCACGATACGCAGGCTCTTGGCATCGCTGTCCCCACCACTGGTGGTGCCATCCACAAAGGCGGCCGGCAGGTCATCTGTCACAGCTTGGTAGACTTTCTGATCTGTACACTCATGGTGGGCTTTGAAGATAATAGTGATCTGTGGGAAGGAGCATGTACAAGGTTTAACAGAATGGGAAGGAAGCAGAACGGGGTAACCCTCTGTAGCAAGAGCTCCCCGCCATTTTGAAGCTGAATGGCTTAAGGCGGAATCTCCAAAATGGACCCAACTGCTTGCACCTCAAAAATGGATATCACTTTCAGAAAATATTTTTTAAAGTCCTATATATTTAGAACTAAAGTTTAAATAAATCTGTGCATCAAGACAAAACTTTTTTACTTTCCTAAGAGAAAGAGTGAGCAAGTGAGCAGTGTTGCTATCAGAATATCGGTTTTTTTTTTTTTTTTTTTTTAAGTGACAGGGTCAGCTCTCTTGCCCAGGCTAGAGTGCGGTGGCACATTCATAGCTCACTGCAACGTTCAACTCCTGGGCTCAAAGGACTTTCCCACTTCAGCCTCCTGAGTACACAGGACTAAGGGCATATACCACCATGCGTGGCTGATTTAAAAAACTTTGAAGTGAGGGGGTTGGTGGGGGGCGGGGGGGATGGTGGAGGTCGGGGGTTCCTCACTACGTTGCCCAGGCTGGTCTTGAACTCCTGGCCTCAAGCGATCCTCCCACCATCATCTCCCAAAGTGCTGGGATTACAGGCATGAGCCACTGTGCCAGGCCAGATTATGGGCAATTTTTATTGATAATTTATATCTTGTCTGCTTCCAAAGTGGATGAGTCATGGCATAGTTCTGAGAAAAGAAAAAGGCTCGTTTCTGAGTTATTATGCAGAAACTTTAAAGGGCTTAATTAACAATATACCTAACAGAACTTTGCTTCCTACCAAGATTCTTCATAGGATTAAAAAACTGTATCCCATGACTCACCACTACAAACTTACTCGAAATACAGAGAGAAAGAGTTGAGGAGGGGGCACCCCAGTAACAGCCACCACTCATGTACCCCAGGAAAGATTTCTATTAGTCCCTTAATCAAATGTTTCACATCACTGGCTAATCCCTGCGACAGGGAAATCACCTGGCAAATATAGCTCCTAAGCACTGGCAGAGACTGAATACCCTAAACCTAGTTACAGCAAATGTTTTCCCAAACAGCACCAGAGTCCCTTAACTCCTCAGAAATCTTTTCCCAGCCAACTCTCGATTCTCCAAACTAAGCACATAAATTCATCAAAGAAAAAAAATTACTAATAATACAAAAGCTTCTCTTTTGTAAACCCATGTTCTTTCCTGCAGAATCCTTTAATTAGAACAGTTAGTTAAAAACCTTGCACACCTTCACCTCCAACATATCCAACATCTCTGGTACAGGTGGTGGAGGGAAGACAACTATGATAAGACAGGGGCTGCTGTGTCACACAACATGGAGAAACTATTTCAAAGAAACAAAAAAAGACCAGATTTTGAGAATTGTATCATTGCTAGTAACTGAGGCAACAGGGTTCTCTCTTCCTTCTTGAAAAAACAAAAAGTATCAGGTGACTTCAGTCAGGAGGAAGGTAGACAAGCCAAACACTCTATGAATTACTCGGGATGGAGGAAACCTTCTACCTCCTGCAAGGAAACTAATCGAAACAATAGACCCTTGTGAAAAAGACCAGAAAATGCACCCCCCTCCCCCCGCCTGCCCACCCGAAGTCCTCACCACCACCCTCAAGTTTATGTCTTAAGTTTTTCTCCAACTCGGCCAGCATTTGCTCACACTATTTAATTCCACTTGTTCCCACTGGTGTTACTTGACTGGAATTTTCCAGCCATTTCATTTTACTTCAGCCAGTTATAAAGCCAGATCTGAACCAGCTGCACTGTAGCAACCGGTTAAATTCATATCCGCTGTGTGCAGCTGCAACTAAAAGCCAGACAATGTACTATGAAAATGCTGGGTTTTCTCCCTTCCTAATTACCCTGAGCCACAACTTGATTTCACTACCAGCCTTCTCACATTTCAACACCTTCTTAACAACCCAAAGGAGGTGCATCAGAGATGATTTCAGGAAATTTGTTGTGCATCCAACCATAGGACCTTTCAGAGTGAATGGGGGTTTTGAGCTAGATATCTAACGGGACCATAAAATAGATTTATTTGGTGGCTCTAAAATCCGTTGACAAGTGTTTTTTTTTAAGGCATGCTGGGATCCCTTGGAGATGAAAAGATTGATTCAAGAAAATTTTGCACCTGAAAAAGTTGAAAGTCAACAATACAGATGGCTAAAATAAGAGTTAGTAATAGACTTTTTATATAATCACTATGCTCATTTTCACCTGTAACATCTACTCAAAGATTAAACTCTTCAATGACGGCTAAATAATTCGTCTTTCTAGTCTAACAAACCTAAAATTTAAACCAACTTGATATTATCTGCAAGAACTACTTTTTTGTTCACCTTAGGAAAAACAAAGAGGATTTACTTGTGTTGGGCCAACAAAGCAAAGATAACCGATTCCAAACAAGTTTCCAAAAAGCAAGCAAGGGTCCATATTGAGATGAGTGGAATGGTTCCATATGTCTCACCACGGCTGTTTTTTTCATTAAGCACACCAATTCCAACTCAGGAACTCAGGATTCATTTCAAACACCTCCCACAGTATTGTCCTCTGCTATGCCAGTGACATTAACAATAACTCCTACCTATCTAGAAGCTCAAAACTTGTTTTCTGCTCTAGTATCTACACCTACAAAATATCCTAGTTAACCTAAAAGATTTGTCTTTCCAATTTACTAGTAGTGATTTGCTGTGAGACAAGTGGATATTTCTCTTGTTGTTTCCCAACCAAGCAAGGTAATTCTCACACAGAGCATATGTGTAGAATTATCCCTTGAATCAAAATGCTGAGGGGGGTGAATTGATTGTAAAGCATGAGTGGGTTTCCTGAGTAGTCCCTTGTAGTTTAAATATGCACTGAGCAGGTACCTAGAGATATAATCAATGTAAATTTAGAAAACACTGGGTAATAGTTTCACATGACTTAAGTTTTATAATGCACTTTCATTCCTCATAACAATTACAACATGAGCTTTTAAAAGGCAAGTACTCAGCCAATGAAGGGCAAGAAATTCATTTCAGACTGTCTTCCTCTTCAGAAAAGCAAAATTTATTCATTCTTAATTCTTACTTTAGAAACAAGCACAATTTAATTGGAATTTTAAAAAACACCAAACTTTTAATATTTCCAGCTAGCAGCCACTAGAAAGTAAAAACTGAATACATAAAATTGTATTTCAAAAGCTCACAGATAATTTAAAAACGTTAGCTATGCTACTTACTTTTCCCCTCTATGAACTAATATATATGCTGTCATAACTCAATTTGGCACATCTGTTCTATGCCACACCATTTATTATTGATAGATGGCATTTCTGTGCATTTAAAACATCAATGCCTTTTGTTAAACCTCCTCCACCCAGCCCCTCTCAACCCCCACCTTAGACAAACTACTTCAGTTCTCTTCATTCATTTTTAATGTTTCACTCTCCTAGATCTTCACCACCCACAAGGTTTATTAGGAAGAGAAAGACAGCAGCTACAAATCAACCTTTCTACATGAAATAGGCAATAAGAACTTACGAAGGTTTGCTGTGAAATAATTTTAAGAGGCACCTGCCTCTCCTTTCCACCGGGAGAAAAAAAAAAAACATATTAAATGAAAATTAGGTAGCCAACAAAGAGGGAAATACACAGGTACTGCCTCGCCAAGAGGTACAGAGATATCTATCCAAAGCACAGCAGCCTTGCAAAATGCCACAAACAGGTTTTAAAACAGCAGACTTCTCAAATGGCTGTGCACCTTGACTACTTGTGCGTAATATATTTTGGAAGAAACATTTATCTGTGTTTAATCAGGCCATTTGGCACTGTGAGTGTAGGACTTTTCTGGAATCCTCAAAACATGAGAGCCAGACTTTAGGAGCTCTCATCTCTGGACTCTAGACTGGTCAGTAAACTAAACTGAAGAGGCACAGAAACTAGCTTGAAACACATGAAAACATAATTTTGATATGCACCTGGTTAAAATTCTGCAGTGTCAAAGAAGTCGATGAATTTTATTTCATATAATTAGCTGATGTGTCTACTTTGCCATATCATCTGGGTGCAATGATAGGTTGAAAAATAGAAGACTCTAAGGGAGAATAAGCCCACGGTGCTCACAGCCCCTTTTACTCTTAACACATGGTTAACAGCATGCAGCCTCTACAGTCTTCCCCAGTGAACAAAAAAGAAACCATTCCAACAAGAGCACATGTTTCAAAGGAGAAAAACATATACATGCTCTCTCTCCATTCCTAAAAAACCCAAATTTTACTTCCAAGGGTCAATTTTTCTAAATGTTACGAAGTCAGAGACTAGGATGCTCTGAAGCACCTAAAGGAAGTAGAGGCCTTTGAAAGCACCTTCCTTCAAGTGTCTTCCCTGGTCCCACTCCTCCCTACCCGCCAGGGTAATTCTGAAGTGTGGATTTTGGCCAGAGCAGAGGTACTCTGTCCACGCGGGGTGGCAACTGTCCCCTGGTTACATAAAAACTGGGGAGAACTCTGTCTCTCTCTCGAGGGGGGAAAAGAGGTATATTGATTTAGAATAACTCTTTCTGAACAATTTCATGCAAAACCCAGGAGAGTTTTTATATATGCCATATTTAAGAAAAAATAATGGACTAGAAAATACTTGATGTCATTGATAATTTTCCTTTAAAAATTATGAAAAAAACTGTTAGGAAGCTATGAACTCAATGAACTGGGATGTAATTTTACAATCACCACTCAGCCTACATATCAAATATCTTATAAAACAAATATCTACAGGAAGCTCAACTTAAGATCCACAAAAATACATTTTGTTAAACAATTTTATTGGACTAGGACAAGATACTAACAGTAAGACAGTACCTGTGTTTACGAGGTGAGTGGCAGATTAAAACTCATACTGTGGACTCCTTTTAGGGCTTGAATGAGACTAAAAAATCAGCTACCTTAAAAAGAGGTATCAGTTTCTCTATCCTCATGTCTTTTTCCACAGAGCTTGGAGCACTTACAGGATCCAGAGAAATGGAATGGACCAAACTTATTCTTCAGTGTTGCCGTAGGTAATAAATACATGCAAAAACAGGGGCTGCCTTGGCTGCTGAAGGGGTACTTGGCAGCAGATAGAGAATGAAGAAACCAAACCAGAGGGGAAGGACACGCAGAGCTGAAGGCAGCTAGGGTGGTCTAGAGAAGCAGCATCAAGCTCAGTGGCTAAAACGAGAATGAAAGGGAAGCTGGCCCAGGAAGACACATAAAAGGAACAGGCACAAAAATGCTGCTTCCCAAGAGTAATTTCTGTACAATTAAGACAGTGAATGCTGGAAGCATAAATAGCCACAGAGACAGGCAAATTCGCCAACTTCCTTGTATTAGGGTGAGCATGAGGAAAGGCCTTTGTCCTGTAAGTCTTGGTCACTCCAAAATCTCCAAATGGAACCTCTCCCTTAGCTTGTCTGTTGTGTTCGGACTCCACATTGTGAGGAGGCCAGCAAGTGTAGGAACTCACTATATGCCCAGATATGAAGGCAGGCCTGTGTGGACAGTATTATAGGCCTAGGCTGCCACCTTGCTTCAGACTAGAGGCTAAAAATATTCTGAAAGGTGAGAGCCAGGGCTGGTGGCAGTAACTCTCAGCCGAATCTGTCCTAGCAGGTCTTCCCTTCAGGCATTCCCTCTCCTGGTAGAGAGAGGTGGCAGGACTACAGACCCGAGGCCCTGCTCTGGGCCTAGGTTCAGCACAGCTGTTCTCCAAACCGATGGGATTAGAAAACCACAGGCTCTTTGATCATTTTTCAGCTTTGGGAGGTGAGCAAAAAAAGTAAAAGGGCTTGAAGATCTTCACAATACACTCACACTCTGAAAAAGAAAAGACCCATGAGAACTCAGGAATGAAGTGGTTAGAATGGTTACCATGCATTTCAAGAAGTGAGTTAACCGAAATCCTACAAAACAATATCTTTATGTCTGCATTTTCCTTGGTAGGGTGAGGGGAAGACCTCGATACCATGTAAAAGCACATGCATGTACATCTGTGCATGCACACACATGTCTTAAATGGAAACTGACCCCCATTTCAGGAGCACATGCAGAGCAGATGAGAAGTGAGTTTTAGATGGTGTCATATCATCCTATTCACAGTATACATGCTGTGTCCCAACATGAAAGAACCCCCATGTTCTTTTGGCTCCAACTCTTAAAGTAAACAGTTAACTGGGGCATAAAAAACTCCTCTCTCCATAGAACCAGTTTCACCTAAACTTCTTTCTAGACCCAATAGCACTGTGATTTCACTGCAAGGCTGTCCAGTTAAAGTCTGTAACTTAGATGTATGTTAGCTTTTCTTTTATTACTTACTGACAAGTTGGCCAGCTTCCTTGTCAGTATGAAAAGTCCTTAAGTTACCCCACCCACAAGAACACAAAATTCGAAACAGTGGAAGAGCAAGTTCTACTGCAGTCAAAACAAATAAAAACAAAATGGATAAGGTAGCAGTTTTCATTGTTCAACAATGTAGGTAACTTTTTATATGCCACATTCCACACGAGCAGAAACTGGTTAGCATTAATAGAAGCCAACAAAAAAAGGACCAAACATCCAATGCTTCCTTCTCACCCCTTCCCCTCAAAATGTTGACTCAAAGAAAATTTAACCAGGCAGACATTTGGAAATGTGACAGAAAAACAAGTTCTAACTCTCAGCTGTGTATCAGACTTGGCCTCATGCCTCTGGTTTAAACTATGGAAGAGTGTGGATTTGTTTTAAAGCAGCAGAGCCCCATAGCACCCTCACGGAATCTTGCCTGGCTCACACAGGGACAGGCGCTGGGTTAATTTCACTTACAAATGGGGGGCATTCTGAAGGTCTCTTCCTCCTTCCAAACCACATCTGGGACAGAAGGAGTGGCACAGTCAGGGAGATTAGAAAGATGGTAAAAGACTCATTACCCAGAATTTTTAATGTGTATGAATGAAACAAAGGCAAATCTTCTTTGAAAAGTATAGCATAAAGAATAAACAGGTAGCTCATTTATCTTACAAAATGATTTTTCAGACATAGGTTCATTACACAGCTAGCAATTTCCCCATTTTTCTCTGCTTCCTTTCCCCACATCCACTTGGAAACCTTTTCACCTCCAGGCAATTTACTGAAATGATATAAAGCAAAGTTGAGTACTTCCTGGGCCTAAGATCTTATAATCCAGTATGCACAACAGCTGCATGATAAATAGAAAAGGACAAATAATTAGACTGCCACCTGGAACTACAGCTGATTTCTGCTCTTTTGAAAACCTGGCTTTTAATGTTTCAATATTGTTTCTATAATAAAAAAATTCAGGGAGGTAAAAATAGCTAACATATGCTTTTATGAGAATTTTAAAGATGAGATGAGGCTCTGGAAAATGAATTTAATTAAGAACTGGCGACTATGACAGTCAAATTCTAGAAAGCTTTTTGGTATAACATCAAAGATCAGCAGTCTTTCAAAAGTGGGAGCCAGGGTTCTAGGCCCTGCTAGGTTGTATGCAGATGAGGAAATACAGATGCAGGTGAGCATTCTTACTGTGGGAGGTGGAAAGAGACTGTGCCAAATCCCGGGAGTAAAGACAATGATTTGGCAAGGAGGGGTGTTAGCGTGGGACAGGCCTTTGTAGCAGCCCACTCTTCTGGCTCTTCTTGACACCCCTGCCAACTTGCTAAATGAATAACATCAATTGGAACCAGCTTGTCAATGTGAAAAGAACCCTGAAAATGCTGGGTTTACACACAAACCCCGTGCTTTCCCACCAACTGCTGCAAATTTTAGTTATGTGCTTAGATTGAGGCAAAGGCTGCATTCACCTCTACATCTCCCACAGTGGGCCCTTTAGTACCTTCTGTTTCAAATGCAGCACCAAATTAACCATACATTTATCAGAGAATGATTATCAGGGAAATAATTACATTAAGCAGGGAGGTGTAACTGCAAAATCCTTTCCATCTGTTCCCAATATGCCTCAACCAGTCAGAACTTCTTAGCATCTTCATAAAGCAAGGAGGGTCACAATAAGGAGCAAATCTCAAAGAGATGCCAAGAATTACCCATGCAACAATGTAATTGTAACAAAAATAAAGAGCGATCTCAGATTATAAGAATTAGTTACAATGTATCACCAAGAGAGTTGCAGTTTCCTTGTGGAGGGAAAATGGTCTATTTTTCCCCCACAAATACCATGCGTCCCCCTCTTTATAACACTGCATGCAAGAACAGTGTCCATAGATTCAAAACACAGACCTATCAATGGAAGAACCATATCCCTTAGTCCAGAAAAATAATGATAAACACTATGTAGCTCACATGGTTTCCATAAAGATGCTAAAAACATAATGGGTTGCAAAAACTTAGCTACAATAAATGTACTAGGTCTGGGGTCAACAGAGAACAGATTTCCAAACCTTATGCAGAGATATACTTAAAATGACAACTGAAAGCTGTTGCAATGCAGGCATGTCTGGTTCTGATTTTGTAACCAACAAAGAATGACCCAGAACACTGGTTTACATGCCCACATGCTGTTGTAGAACAATAACTCCCTGCTAAGGGGCACCAGAAAGCAGACCTACCTCATGCTCTAGGAGCCTACAAGGTAATGGTGTTTCTTACAATGGAAAACTGTAGGTTACAGAGTTTGAAGAAGACATTAACCAAAAGCAAACCAAACTAAGTCTTTCTACATCTCTAGTATCTTCAACCAGCGGAAATTTTCAAGAATTCCCAAGAAAGTAGCTACAGAATTTGAAATTCAGGGGTAAGTATGGAATTTAGACTATCCATAATGCATGATGGGTATGCTACTATGCTTTGGACAGGCGATGAGTGCTGCCCATAGGATTGCCAGGAGCTGGTGGCCGTTGGCAGCACCAAAAACGTACAAGATAGGCACCTCAGAGCATCTGTCCATCTGCCTAACAGTCATCTTGCTTGGTCAAGTACGATGAGCACAGCCCTTTCCCAAATTCAAACGCCTTAAGGTAAACTACCTTCTCTCACTCAAGGGTGAGGCACAGTAAAATGTGTAGCAGAAGATCTGCAGTAGGACCTGTTGTCATCCCCAGTCTCCACTCCTACTTTTTATTTTGTGTTACTGAGGTGGAAGGATAGAATAAGAAAGCAAGAGTGGTGAAAAAGGATACAACCACATTAAAACAAAAGGAAAAATAAAATGAAGGCATTCAAACTACTTGTACAAAAATAATTACTAAAAACATTTCCATTGTTTGTTTAGGTATGCAACTTAATAATAAATGAATTTCAGAATTGTTTTTGAAAAAGGAATACTTTTGAATTCCCTGGAGACTGGCAATTTTAATATATGCTATTGGGAATACATTTGCAAAGTGCAGAATCTTTCATAAAAAAATTTATTCCCCAATCACCTTCTGTGATCATGGCATATACAGATTCTTATTGAACCCACTTAAACAGAGATATAAAGATCCACAGAATGAATGAACAAGAGTTGAGACTGAGAGGTTGGCAAAAATAACATGGAAGAAGTCAAGCATCCTCAAAACAGATCATCTGGTTTATCTTGAGTGTGTGAGGCACAGGACAACTACTGACATGTGCCCTCTCTGGAGCCTGTGAAGGGTGGGCTACTTCCTCCTGCAAAACAAAACCTGCCTTTCTTCTCAGTGTAGCTAACTCTGCCAGTTCAGAGCCTGTCCCTCTCATCTCATTCTGAGTGCCTACATGCCTGTAGCCGCCTCTCACAGCCAAAGGTGGGGAAGATGGCCCAGAGCTGATGTGGATGTCAGCCGAGGTATGTGTGTGTGCCAGACACCCCTGCAGCCCCCGGGGTGGAGAGATGAAAAACCAGCCCTGGCTTCCCCTTCAGAAACACATCTACCTGGCAAGGTAGCCAACTGGCACAGGTTCCTCCAAAGAGAGGGAGGCAGGCACAGGGCAAAACTAAAAACACAGAGGCCTTGAGAAAGCATACCTGTGCACACCATGACCAACAGGAAAACAAACCCTACCTTTCCCAAGGAAGGGGAGGAGAGGGCCATGGTGGGGAAGAAAACAGTAGACCAGGGGAGATGAGGCAACATCATTAAGCACCGCAGGCATGTCTGCCTTGAACTCACTGCTTGCCATGTAGAGAAAAAGAAAAGGCTTAGCTAATATATGGCCCCGGGTGACTTCATTTCATTCTATGGTGTTTAGATTTTTCCCCCACTTTGTCTTTTTGTGATAAGGAAAAGGGGGGTACCTAGGAACAGGCAGAGCTCACAAAGTTGGGCTTGAAGACGGCTTGCTCAAGAGGCCAGGTTCCCAGGACTGAGAAGCTGTCTTAGTAGCCTCATTGAGCAAAATACCCTGGGGTCTAGTGCTTCAGTGCAGTGTTAAAGGGAGCGAAATGAATGGATGTTTCCGAAAATTTCAGTATCACAGCTGGCCAGCTAGCCAATGACATCAGTCTTTCAATCTAGTGGCACTGAGCACGTGGGTTATTAAAAACACTTGACCACACAAGGATGATCTGGTATCTACAAGGCACAGTACTAGGTTACCCAACAACTGGTCTATGCACTTGCTTAAATTCTCAGTAAAGCTGGGATTTCCATGAAAAAATTTTTCAAAAGATTTTTTAAAGAAAGTATGGTGGTAGACATTAAGGGAAAATTTCAGATCTTGTTTAGAACTTATTTTATAAGCACTTTTATGCCTCTTATTGTTTTTATTTTTATCACCACCACTTTTTTGTGCTGAAGGTTTTTAAAGGTTTTATTTTGGTCCTGGCTGGGTAAAAGGAACGTATTGTAAGATTTAGGCCTTTCTTTGGTTTCACCAGCACACGTCATACTAGTATTGAGACAGGTCTTCAAGAGCAACCTTCCAGATGCTTATGGGGCTTTGGAGAGAGTTACAAAGAGAAGGGGGATGGGGAACCAAACCCAACAACTCCTAGAGGTTGTGAAGTGAGGCTACAGAATAGTTTGCTGCTGAACAGCATGGTCACCAGATGTGGGAAAATACCTTCCAATAGTGCAATTAAAGACCAAGCATTCTCATCATCTACTTGAATTTATGTCAGAGGACCACTTTCTCCAACTTTTTTTGAATGGGTAAAACCTTTGATCCTTATTCCAAACTGAGGGAGAAAACAAGATTGTCCTTTTTATTTATTTGCTAAAAATTACAACAGAATTCAACTGAAATAAAATGATCTTAAATACTTCAGTGTAAACTGTTCCATATATATAGCAATATTCATAAGGTTATCCCCCACATATTTTCACCATAATCAGTAACAATAGAATTCTGAAAGACTGAATAACAGAAGTGACATGACCGGATGGAAGGCATGAAGAATAAAATTTGAATACTGCTTCTTGTGAAGAGAATGAGTATTTCCCCATTTACAAGCTCTGATTAATCTCTATAGTTTTGTTCGAAGGTCACTCTGCCAAGTCCTCAATTATTTGCACAATTGATGACTTTTTCCATTCTCAATGGACTGCCTTCTTTCAGTTACCCAAAGACTATTCCCAGCTTTCATGTGCCATATGACTCTGCAGTAATGATGGATTTGGGGCCATCGTTTCTCTTATAACTTCATAATTCTATAACTTTATATATAATTTATAGCAAATACATATTCTGAGATATTTATAAAAAAATGATTTGAGTACATACAAAAACCAGAGGGAGAAAAGTTTATTTTGAGATATGGAATTTGGTAAGGCAAAAGACAAGCTTGAGCTTTTACTGAGAGTTGAAGTATAAACATTTTGGAGTTCCCCTAAGATGTCTAGACCAGTGTAACAGTCGTCTTTGATTAGGGCAATGACTTCTAGTCTTAAATTTGTGACACCCCAGGGTGTCTGCAGATATCTCCCGAGGTGTTGTAAAATTCCCTCCACAAAATGCCAAGTAAAATAAGCTTTAATTTATTTAAAAAGTATACCACACATGTTTAGACACAGGGGAGGGTGTCCTGGAATCAAGAGAACAGTCGTAAGTATTTCAAAAGCTTGAGTCTTGTCAATTACATTAAAAAACTAAACCAATTTTTTTGGATACAATAAATGCAAGAAATAAAGTAAGATGAGATGGTCTATGTGTGTGGTTTTGTGGTTGGAAAAGACACGGAAGGAGGTGGTTAGTCGGGACACTATTTTAGTGGAAAAGTGACTTTACTTACTAATGGCTGAATTAGCACTGACTGCCAATTAGAAACCTAGTTCATAGGTCCTCTCTACCTGCTTGCACTAAACACTGGTGCCTTGAAGTTGGTGTCAAAGATCTCTGTACAGTATTAGTTTCTTTAAAACAAACGAACACAGACCACATAAACTGGCAGCTAGTCATGGTAAGCTAAATTTTGTCAGTGTTTCTCTTAGCTTCTGACTGAAACTGTTAACCTGAGGCCCTGAGATTACACACAGGTTACATATTGCTGCTCTGCAATATCCAATTATTAACCTCCTCGGTCATCAAGAGGTTAGTAACTAAACCACCACTGTGGGTTTACCACTGGGAAGTTGGCTTATTGCCATTATGTTTTACTATAGCTTCCAAATCTCCAATAAAATATGTTTCCTGATACGTCACTGCCTCAGGCCTCACAGCTTTCTTTATTCAGAACACCCACTTCAATCATCTGATAAATCTGAACATGGATTTCTTCAAGAGTCACACACATATGCACTCAAAAAAAGACATCACTGAAAAAAGCATCCTTTTTTTACTAAACAGGTCTGCCTTTTCCCTGGAGAACTCAATTTCACTGTTTACTTTTTATTCTTTATATCACTGTCTATTTAAAATTAGAACCACGTTTACATTCCAATAAGAAATTCCTTACTAGATAATTTTTATTTAACCCTTTATCAACTGTTAATTGCTTTTCAAAAGAAGTTCCTTTTAAACTAGGCCCTTTATAGCACATTTCAAAAGTTATCTGAAGAATCAAACATCTTTTGAAAGTTGAGTAGGGAGAGGGAAAAAAGAAGGTATACTTGCCTTATTTGTAGCAGTAGCACTGGATCCAGGGACCACAGGTACGTTTGTCACTTGAACTGAAAGATAATTATTATCTATGAGTGGCCAGGCCCCTTCTACTTTGCATGTTTGGAAGTTATCCTTGAAAGTTCTGAGGTGAGGATCTCCAAACAAGCCACAAAAAAGGTAACTGGGAGGGTTCTGGTCCCCTCTCCTGTGTTCCCTGGCTCCAGCGTGGCTGTGATAGTTGCAAGGATCATGGGTCACTTCGGGGTTGGTAGAGGATGTGGGTCCATCCTTGGAACAATTCCTCTGGCTCATGAGGTCACTGATACCCAACACGGCAGAATGGTATACCAGGTTGCCACGGCAGGCTTTTGAAGTTCGCTGGGTGCAGCCAGCATAGGCACGCAAGGCCTTGCAAAACTCAGAGTCAAAGCCGTCAACGGCAGAGTTCAGGTGAGAAGTCAGGGACACGAAGTCCGTGGTGCATTTCTGGATTCGACATTGGGCTGGCTGTTGGCAGTCACCTATGGGAAAGAAGATAAGACCAAACATTTGTAAACTCTTCATAACTTCCTGAGCTACATGAGAAAATCACATTGTTCTTTGGGAATTGTTTGTTCTATTTTATACACTGTACTCCTATTTTAAGAAGCCTTCAGATACAGGGTTTCATTGTGTTCCTGTGTCTTTCTCAAACTAAGCCACTGGAAGAAAAACTGCATGCAATTAGTTAACTTACAACTTTAAAGCATGAGCCACTGTGAGTGAACATGAGTCTAGTCCAGTGATCACAGGTTGAGATTACAAGGGAATAGTAAATAAAATATTTTATAAATGTTGCTATTTGTTCATAGGTTTTGAAAAAGATTACTCTAAGGTTACGCCAAAAACATGAACATTGTTTTGATTTTCCAAAATTGCATAACTTCCTTCAGAAAGCATTGGAAAAGCAGCACTAGGCACAAAACCATGGTTAAAACCTCCCCACTTCAGGAAGGTGTAAAATCCTAAATTATAGTATAATTAGTTAAAACACCTTTACTTGATTTACCTGTATGGCTACAGAATAAGAAAAAAAAAAATCCAGGTACTGTCATTCTACTTCTCCTGAGGCACGTTTACCAAGAAACTGTAAATAAACTGACACAATTTCCTAATTTCTACAAAATGTAAATGCTCTAAGAAAAAAAAAAACAAGATTCACTTGACCAAGCTATATATTTACTTTTTCCTTACTGTCTATCTCCATTACCCTAGGATCCTAGCTCCCAAGCAGATCACAAGTAAAAGCACACTAAATAAAAACAATTCATATAAACATTATGAAAAACCAAAGTATCACTGCCCTATTAGTTTTAAAAAAATCAATTTCCAAATGATGCTTTTTACCACTAGTTTCTCAAACAAAAATTTATAAAATCTCCTAAAGCACAAAAACTACCAATACTAGGTCAGTTGTGTGTCCCCAAATAATTTAATATTCTGTTCCATAAAATGGAAACAACAGACTTAGTGAAAAGAGACACTGTTCTTTGTCATCAACTGCAAATTTTATATAAATGAACTGTAACACATTATTTGTGTTACATAAAATCTTTATAGGTCTTTAAACTATGGAGACGTCTCTTAATCTCTTTAAATGTGAGGGTCCTCATCTGAGAAATGAGGAAGCTATTCTAAGACGAACTTTGTATTCTTTTCCAGACAGTAAATATCTTATGATTTGTATTCTGGATGGGGGAAAAAATTCAGGGCCAGTAGATTATTATTAAATATATAATTATTTCAAGATGTGGATGCAATAAACTTCAGGATGATATCAAGATTTAGGGAACTCCATCTGATAAAGACTTAAAATTTAGCCTAATATTGTCTTAGAAAGCTATTTTAACATTTTCACTAGTAAACTGCTCTTAAATCTGAATTTAGTAGCTTGTAAGCTCTGTTTCTGGCTTTGGCTGGGAGAAACAGGTGGGAGAAGACAACTTCTGAAGACAACTCTGTCACCACTTTTAAATTTGCAAAATTTTAAATTTTAAATTTTAAATTTCAAATCTTCTTGGGTTCTTCTGCTTTGGCTAAGGCTTCCAACAGCATTTTGCTACAGAGATGATGGGAGGGAAGAGGGCTAAATACAGAGAAAGTGTGTTTGGGTCAAAAAGGGGAAAATACTATATAGTCTAGGCTTGGTATTCACTTTAACCTGAGTCAAAGATTAAAACATTTTAATATGTTGGAGCTATGGATTTACAGCAATCATCAAATCATACTTTCAAAAAAAAAGTTACAAAAACATCTTTGTGTGGAATCTACTTTATGTTTGCTCATTCCAAAGCTGACAAAAGTAGCTCCAGTATTTACTGAATTTCTCTTTCCAAAGCAGATCAAATAATTTTCAGCTATTTTTCACTAGAACTCAAATCAAACCAAAACAGAAATTAACCAACTAAACAACTCCAAAAGGCGTTAAAGCCATTTTGCAGATGGGAAATCCAAGGCAAAGGGATATTAAAGGGCTTGTTCTGGCAGAATCATAAAACAGCTAGCATCATTAAGCCAGGATGTGGTGCCTTCCCTCAAAACTTGTTGTTCTTCCATCACAGGTCACGTCTCCTCTTATTTCCTAACTGCAATGACAGTACTTGATGGCTGAAAAAAAGACTTAAGTAGCTATTGCATTTTTTTTCTTTTAAAATCAGATACACAGAAAGCAAGAAAATAAATATGGGGCCAAGGTCTCAGTAATGAAGAGCTCTTAAGACTACGGATAAATGACAGCACAAGAACTTCCCGCTAAACTTGCAGTGCCTATTTGTTCTTTTTATGGTCTATAAAATCTATCCGAGCATACGTTTCTTTATAATTATTTCAAATAGTCATAAAATATCAAACGAACAGTATGGAAATGCAGATGGAACCATTCAGAAGGAAAGAAAAGTGGAATTTAGATTCCCAGCTCCCTTTTCATACCTTCCTTGCAACCCCCCAAACCTTTTCCTTTCCTTTTTTTTTTTTTTGAGACGGAGTCTTGCTCTTGTTGCCCAGGCTGGAGAGCAGTGGCGCGATCTCGGCTCACTGCAACCTCCGCCTCCCAGGTTCAAGCGATTCTCCTACCTCAGCCTCCCTAGTAGCTGGGATTACAGGCACGCGCCACCACACCCGGCTAATTTTGTATTTTTAGTAGAGACAGGGTTTCTCCATGTTGGTCAGGCAGGTCTTGAACTCCCAACCTCAGGTGATCTGCCCGCCTCAGTCTCCCAAAGTGCTGGGATTACAGGCGTGAGCCACAGCGCCCGGCCTAAACCTTTCCCTCTTTCATAGCAGGTAGGTGCTGACTGCTTAAACAAATCTCAAATCAAACAGATCTCCCGGGGTTCTTTTGCTTTGGCTAAGGCTTCCAACAGCCTTCTGCTACAGAGATGATGGGAGCGAAGAGGGCTAAATAGAAAGTGCGATTGGGTCAGCATTTTCAGCTGCCTTGTGGGCTTCTATATAATGACTAATTTGTAGCATACACCCAGAAATATCCAGGCTTCATGAATTTATAACGACAACGCACACTTTGCCTGTTATAGGCGGTAAAGTAAGCCTCCTGTCAAAATGCCAAGACAATGCGGAGCAGAAACAATCTCAAGGATGTAGCCAAGAAGGCCATGAAGTGTATGAGTAAGCAAGTAACTCCCATATTGGATCTCTATTCAGGAATTGCAGAGGTTTGCTTAAAAAAAATAAAATAAAATAAAGCAACTAAAGGTACTCTTTTCATACTCTTTTCATTCCCCAAGGGCAGAATTAAAACTCTGCAGCTACAGATTTCTCTATTTTTGGGTCAGATTATCTGTGATCAGTGTGACAGTATTTTCACACCAGTTACTGAACATGCTAAAGCATTTGTGGGTCTAGAGCTTTCATTTCATCATTTTTGAATGAATCAGACATAAAGACCTCACCATTCAAGACAGTTTCTTTAACACCAGGACTACACGTGTGAATCTGCAGCACAATCACCAGTTTATAATAAAAGAAATGAGGTATTCTGAAGCTGAATTAAGTGAAATGTGGAGCCATATGGGGTGCTGAGGCAGATGATAAGGATCCAGGCATAAAACATATAGTAGTCCATCTGCAAAGAGCACTGGCACTCTTGCTGGGTTCCCTTATCTGAGAAACAACCCGGGCATTTAAATAGCACCACTCTTCAAAGAAATCTCTCAAAAGGAGCGTTCTTTTCTTTAACAGGATTAATCGCTTCACTCCAACAAGTTGTCCATAGAAATCGCTTACCACATTGTTGGGCTGAATCTAATGGTGACTTAAATGAGGACACATGAAGATACTGGGAGCTTCACATTCCAAATTCTTGAACGAAGACACCCTACTTTTCTAAACCTTTAAGCCAACTTAGTATGCCTTTCACGGGCTAGCAAAGAAACCTTCAGGGACCACATTCCAATTCTGTCACAGGATCCTATGGCAACTATGGGAAACAATATCCAAGCAGCCAAGGGGGACACAATCCCACCTAGCACAATTTCCATTTCATGAAACTTACATTTTGGTATTATGGACACATATTTTTCGCACAAACACTCCTGAATATATCTTTTAACATGTCAAGAAAAATTTTCCACGTAACTACATGCAGATTGACACTATTTTCTAAGGTTCTTAGGTTACTAATTGAAAGCCGTAATCATCCTAAAACTTTCTATTACACTTTTTTATTAAGCCGTCTTTTCCCTAATTGTCGGTGTTAAAAAGCAGCTATTACATCATAATGCAAAGCTACGCAAAGTAAATTAAGTCTCCTCAGATGTCACATTTTCCCCCCCATTACTTAAAAGACCTCCCTGATTTTTAGCATGGCGGGTATGGTTTAATAAGTAAAAATTACTCCGCACAGTTGGGTGGCATCGAAGTTCAGGATTCTCCAGACCAGAACGTTGTGAAGTGTCTCATATATACAGGACAAAAAAGGTCTGGAAGGAAAAGAAACTTATCTAATGCTGTTTGTTCTCAAGACTAAAGGAAAATGACCCTTTCAACCTTAGCATTAAAAAAAATTCTTTGTCTAGGCAAATTCCTAGAAAAAAATAGTGTGAAGAGCGTCCTGGATTTTCATGAAACGATTTTTTAAAAAGAAAAATAGGTATCACATGGTAGAAGGCTCATTTGCAGGCTTACTTCCCTTGGAACATACGCCTCAAGGCTGGGGAAGCGCCGACCTCCAGAAGGCAGCATGGTTATCTGTCAACCCCTCACGGAGCCCGAAGACACCCGGCTAGTCACAAAACACGAGCTTTTCCCGGGAGGCTGATCGCTGAACAAACGCAGCTTTTGCCAAAACGAAAGAAATCCCTGCTCAAAAAAGTTGACGTTACTTCGAGATTAACTCCCAGGTTTGCAAAATCTGGTAAAAATCTTTCCATCTGGTGTACTTCCTTCGCCTCGCCGCCACCCCCAACTCCAGAAAAGCAGCACAAGGCTCCTTGTCTCCCTCCGAGGCGGCTGCGACGGCGGAAACCTGATCCGAGCCTGACTTTCAGTAAACACCAGCGCAGAGAGCAATAAAGCATCCGGAACATTTGTCTCGGGCGCGCGGCCCCCGCCCGCTAAATGTTTGATAAGCGGCTGTCGGAGGGGAGATTTGTCAGCGGTCCGAGCCGAAGGCGGGGAGGGTGGAGAGAAGGCTCGTCTCTGCGCCCGGCGGCCGCCCGGTGGGTGGCTGCGTTACTGTGGCCCGGAGCCCGACAGAGGTGCGTGTCAGGGGCTCGGGAGGCCTTTCCCGTTGCGCCACGCCGCCCTTCCGCCCCGGCGAGCGCCTTCGAGACCTGGGGCTATTTGGGAACAAAGCCCTAGGCCCCGGGGCTGGCTCCCCTCGCGCGCTCCCGTCCTACCTGCGTGGAGCAGCCCGAGGCTGAACAGCAGCAGCAGCAGCAGCTCCAGCGGCGGGGGGCAGAGCCCGGGGCTGCGGCGCTGCTCAACCTCGGCGGCGGCAGCGGCGGCGCTGGAAGGTGCTGCTCTCAAGCCCATGCCCGTCCATGCAGGTCTCGTGGGCTCCGGCGAGGGCGGCGGCGCGGGCGCCGTGGCGGGTCTGGGCCCGTGGCTGCGGCATGGGCCGGGGGGCGCGCTTCGCTTCCTCTTCTTCCTTCTTCAGGCCCGTGTAGCAGATGGGGCGCCACCACCGCCGCAGCAAGCAGCGCGCAGCCGGCGCAGCCAGTCCGCGGCGGCAGCAGCGGGGCGCAGGGGCATCGTGGCGGCCGGAGGCGGCAGGCAGGGAAAGGGGCGGAAGAGAAGACACAAAGACCGTGAGCGACTGCTGAGACGAGTCCCGAGCGCGCCGGCACCCCGGCCCCAGCCAGCGTGGGCTCGGCGGGCGTGGACCTCCAAGAGGCTGGCCCAGCCCTAGCGACCACCCACCGGCGGCCCGGATATCTCTGCGCGGCAGCCCCCGCGGTCGATCAATCTCAGTCCCGCACTGCCGTCCCGCCCCGCCCTGTGCCCGCCAATCCACGACGCCATAATCCCCCGCCGTGTCCCTCCCTTCCTCCCCATTGGTTGTGACCGCACGTCAGCCCGACTCAGCCTGCCAATCGCAGGACCCAGAGGGCCCTCTCCCCCGCCCGCTCAGTGTAATTCGAGTTCCCTGTCCATCGACTCCAAGTCCTCTCTCCTGCGCCGCATGCTGCCTCGCGCTCCCTTTCCTTCCCCCTCTACCCCCTTCCGCGATTTACTGTTTCCTCGCGCCCAACAGAAATGGGCGACCGCAAGTCTTACTCTCGCCGGCGTTACAAAGGTACCGGCCTTTGACCTCTCCTTGAATTAATGTGATCCGATTCATCTTCCCTCCAAGTTTTTTTTTTAATTTAATTACCCCTCCCTGCCCTGGCCCTGCCAGCTTCAGCTCCACCTCCTTGGAGGAAGCAGGCGCTTTTACAGAGCGCCGCGCGGCAGGTCCCCTTTCAGCCAATCACATCTGCGGAACCGCGTTCCGAGTCGTTTGAGGGTGTCTGGTAAAGCAAGCTCGGGGCGGTGTTGGAAATCTGAATGTCACCCGCGGTCCGGAGCAGATAGGATGGGCTGGGAAGGTACCCGCGAACTGCCGCCGGAATTCGCTGGCAGCTGTGCGAGGCTCAGGTGTTCTAGTTTGACATTTCCCTTCCTGAAAGCGGCAAGGAGAGGTCTAAGAGTGGGCAAACTTCAACGTTCGGTTACAGTGTAATTAATGAGAGTGGTGGGTTTTTATGCAGTGTAATTATGCCACGATTTGTTGTTGCTCAGTGGCTTTTTCACAAATTTCTACAGATTATTTAAATTTTCCACAAATTTCTACGGATTAATTCAATGGCAGCTCACTTTCTCCTTTTATGATCGGATGGGTCCGAAAGTGAGGAAAAAGACAATTGTCTACAAAGAAAGAGGCTGCCAAGTGGAGACAGAAAAGCAGTTATGAGACTGATGATAGATTCCAATTTGTTATCGGTAGGTGTGAAGTGGTATCTAATCTCAAGAATGACCTCAAGGCTGAGAGACACTTGATACCGCCCTCGCCTTTGCCTTTCCCCAAACAGCACAGGGTTGCCATTTAAAATCCACTAACATCCAAATCGTAGTTGGCAACTGTACCCGCTATGTTACTCAGAATCTCTAATTAGGAATTTCTTATCAACCACGGACATGCTGATATTCCACACATGTTTAAATGAGCTAATCAATGGACTAGGATAATTGAGGGGCAAACCTTCAGTCTCACCAGCTCACTTATTAGACACATTTTGAATTGCCCAAACCACTAGGTCCCTAATGAAGGATGCCTATCTGTTTTTACTGTAACTTTTCATTACTTACTTGTTACATACTATGATGACTTAAGGGGTAAACACACCTTTCACTATCCACAATATAATCCAAGCCTGTGTATATCCATAATACGCTTAATAATAGCTTCACAGTTGCCTGGAGAAATGACTTTTGGGGAGGAAGTTATATGACATTTTTAGATAATGCTGCGGACTAAGTATTATTAGAGCAAAAATTTACTATCTTGCAATTACTTCATATAATTAGATACAGTTCATGACATACTAAGAAGCATCTTAAAAAAGTAATCAAACATAATACTGATTTTCAAAGTATTTGGCTAACAAAGACTACATTTTTTTCTCTTAACCCAAGATTTAATTCGACCCCTATAAAAGCAGCATCTCACTTTATTGATCATACTTCAAAGCATATACTCAATAGTTAAGGATCAATAATTTCTGTTTGGTTTGGGTCTTTCCACTCGTGACTTTCTATGATTTTTTACTCCCCTCCCCCTATATCCTGTTCCATAAGTACACGGGTGCTCTAGATTTTCCTATCAATAGAGGGCGTCCTCGAGTCATTGCAAATCCTGGTGTCGTTAAACGGAACTGTTCTTCAGAGGAAAAACTTCATCTCTATAAGGTGCTTTATTGCTCCTCTGTTGTAAAATTTGACAAGCTCGAGATTTATAAGCCTAACAATTCACTTTTTATTGCTGCATAAGTGTTCAGCCGCTAGAGGAAAATGCTAATTTTCACAAGTAAACCGCAAGGTGGTTCCTATTTTCAAGACATAGGTCAGTTGACACACTCGCGGGTAAATTCGTACTGTTCACAAGATCAGGAATTGGCTTGGAAAGCAAGAGCGTAGTGAATAGTCGCTTATACCGCAGCCACTCCTCAAGCCCGTGAGCTGCAAGTTACAAACGACTTTATATTGTACAAAGAAAAATCGGGGAGGGAGCTAGAACACAAACAAAAAAATCGGTGACTTATAAAAGTTTTATGTTTTAATCAGAAAAAAAATCATGAAGTGGCTGATGACTTGTGTAATTCACACATCCACCCTGTTTCTTGCCACTGGTACTCTTTCTCCCTTTCTCTTTGTTTTCAGAAAGGAAGGAGGAGACCTGAACAGTACATCCGGAGAATCCAGCAAAGCATACTACGGCATGAACGTGCAAGTGGACAGAATTAAAACACATGCCAGAAACACTAATGGATTCTAAACAAGATGCAGTTTCATTTCCTGAGCCTATACGTGATGTTTTTAACTGTTCTCCAGTTAATATGTCTCCATTTCCAGAAATCTAACAGGAGAATCTCTGACTGCTTAACAGATCACCTAAGCTTGCGATTTGTGCAATCCTTTCTAGAGTAAGGGCTCCCCGGCTGCTCCCCGGCCACTGTGTACCCAAAGCAGCGGCTGAAATAGCCCGGAGTCCAACAGCTCAGCGTCAAGCAGCTCGTGGTTTGTACTTACATCATTTTTTTTTTCAGAGCAAGAGTGAAAGTTTATTAAAAAGCGTTAGAACAGTAAGGAAAGGAAAGGAGAGAAAATAAGGAAAGTACAACTTGGAAGAGGGCCAAGCGGGCGACTTGAGAAATCAAGTGCCTGTACTTACATCATTCTTAACCCTTTCGCTCCTGGAGGGGGCTCAGCGGGATCAGGGGGCCCCTGAACTTCGGAACACGCAGGACCTGGGTGTGAGAGAAGAGTCCCAAAGCTTGGCGTGAGCAATGCACTCGCGGAGGGAGAGAGCCCGGGGCTTGCGGGGGGCTCATCACCCGCTCGTAGACAACGGGCCCCCGCAATCCCTGCGGGCTCCGCCGCTGCTCTCACCGCTCAAAACGGCAGGTGCAAAAAGCATTTGGGAGCCGCTTGCCAGCGCGCGGAGGTAATGCGCTTCCTGTCCATTTATCTCAGGAAACCAGTGCAGCCTTCCCTTCGAAACAAAATTAACCTCTCATTAGCCAGCCACTCGCTCCCAAGAAGGCCTTAAAAGCTTTACCAGCTCGCTAATGTATTTAGGCTTTTCTTCCAGGCAAACGCAGCCGCCGGTCTTGACTGCCATCGCCCAAGGGGTTCCTCTGGGCTCTCCCGCGAGCCAACAGCCGACCTCTCTCCAGCCTAGTCTGGGAAACTCCAGCCAACCCAGGATCCCATTTTGTAGTCCCGGGCAGACCCGAAACCCCTGAAAGAACTCCACTCCAGAAGACGCCAGAACAAGTTCCCACGAATTTCATGGGCGCCCTTCACATGAAAACCTCAGCTCCCCTATCCTCAAGGAACGGGGAAGGGCGCCGGGGAGGGACTTCGGTGGCCAGCTGTCCCTGGGTCGTGGGCGCTGTTTGCTCTGCGGAGCGCCAGCCCTGCACACAGCGGGTGCGGGAAGCGTTGATGGGAGGCTGGAGGGCGGGGTGAGCGTAAACTAGGATCTAGCCGGTTCCAGGCGTGGAGAATCAAATGTGGTCCTAGATCTGTAAGTTGCGAAAAGGGGCTTTTGGGAGCGTCAGAGCTTTCTCACTCCGGTCCCCCGCCGCCTTGAGGCTGGCAGATTTATACCCCACAGGTGGATGGAGACCTAAACAAAACAGTCCCGGCCGCTGCCTGCCGCTCGCCCCCCACGTCCCCCGGGCCCACCGCAAACTTCAACAAAATAAACAACTCACCACAGGCATTCCCTTGTCTGCAGCGCGACGCTTGCCAGCTGGGAAAATAAGCCGCAAGCCACGCGGCCGAGGCGCGGAGGGAAGGCAGCGCGGCGCCCGCCCCTCTCCCCCAGGTGGGGGGCAGCGCGACTCGGGGCGGGAGGGAGGCTCCGCCTCGGGGGCCGCTCTCCCAGTTCTCCGACTCCAGAATGAGCTCTGGGAGAGGAGCTGCGCCCTTCCAGCTAGCCCGATTTCTCCGCCATCTAGGGGAGAGGGCGGGGAGCCAAATCCCTCAGCCCCCCGCACCCCAGCAGCTTCCTCCAGGCAGCTTTCTCCCCAGTCAGCCTCAAATAGAGGTGAACAGAGACCCTCCTCTCCCCCCGGCAACCCCTATATCGCCACACTGCCCCCTGCCGGCGCTATCCGGCTCATTCCGGCACTGCGGACGGCTGGGGGCGTGGGGGCGTAGGGGCGCCGCAGACCCCCGCGTCCAGGTCCTGGATCAGTTCTCTCTTCGCCTTCCCCCCACCACACTCAATCTTGCACAAAGACGCCTTTCACGCCGCCAGCGCCACCCTCCGCGCCGCCCTCCGGGCCGGCGGCGCTGCCTTCGCCCACCCGCGGCACCAGCCGATTCCTGGTGGGCGATTGTGCCACTCGTCGCCAGGCAGGGCGGCAGCGGACGCGTGCGGGCTGTTCCCACTCCGCGCCCCGGCCAAGGCGCCAGATGCGCTGCCCCCCGCCACGTTCTCTAGCTGCCCGCCGGCAGCCGCAGAATGCACACCTTTCTCTCCGTAAATGATCCTTAAGGGTCTTCCAAGTGTTTCTAAAATGGGTACAGTGGCGGGAATGGTCCGCTGGACTTTCGCCGAAATAAGGAATCCAGCGATCTTACCTGACCACCTAAGGTGCCAGTGTGCCTTTACAGCTTAAGAAAGCCAAAGATAAAGATTTGGAAATAAAGAGGGGAGAGAGGGTTTAAAGAGACACCTAAGGCCCAGAGCAAGTGTGTTACAAAGAATGAGCCCACGAAATGTTCGAGGGAGGACGGTCGCTTCGATCAGCGTGGAAGGCGTGGAGGGCAAGAAGAAAGGGATTAACTTTCTACCTTACATTGATCTTCCAAAGTAGAAAAACAAACAAACAAAAAACATCCCAGATACTCAGCGGCAGCTAATTGGCGCGTTCAACGCCTGGAACTAGCGGGCTACTTCTCTTAGTCAAGTCAAATGCTCAAGTATCCTGACTCAGGGAGGTCACTTCTTGCCTCCTTAGGCAAGAATCTACGACCCTCTCCAGCTTTTCTTTGCCTTCTCCTCCCCTAACCCCTCCTTACAGTTTCTCCGGCTAACGCTAGAGGCAGCATAGGGCAGTGTAAAGAGGACGAGTGGGAATCCACAGAGGAAGGTCTAGTCCTGACTTTCTGGGTCTGGGCTTTAGGCAACTGATTTAACGTCTTTGGACCTTGGGGTCACTATCAAGAAAGGATGTGTAAGAGGCATTAATTAGTAAAATTTACATATCCTTCTCTTTCTTAAATTCGATGACAATGAACGCCCTTCCTCCAAACCTCTGCAGGTTCCTCCTTAGTATTTTTTTCACCTTGCTTTATCTTCTCCAAGTGCCAGTCAAATGGAAAAAAACATACTGAGATTGTTTCAAGGTAAATGTAAGACACATTGAAACATACCCTTTTGCATCTGAGAATTTAAAAAGAAGAAAAAAAAAACCCCAACTCAGCTCCTGGTTTACAAAAGCAAGGAATTTTAATGTCCCCACTTGTTTTGCTTTTGAAAAGCCACTCCAGCAGTCAGCAAAGCACAGCTTTGATTTAGAAACTAAAGGCTAGTCTCTTGTGTTTTTCTTTTCCCTTCCACCAACACAAAGACAAGCTGCAGCATAAAATAATGATGAACAAGAGTTCAAAGCAAGCCCAGTGAGCCAGCCCAGAGGATGTTTTTTAATGCAGCCCCAGTTCTTCGTCCCTCTCCTGCTAAGCTGAACGGTACATAAATAGCAGGCACAAGCTGCCAGAATTCCCTGTCTCCTCCACTCCTTTCCCATAAATATTGCTCAGTGGAACCTAGAGGCTAACTTGTCAATCATCACATAAATACATTCATCAGATCATACGTTTAATTTTTCTTTAGTTTCATAATATTTTTCATGATTTTCAATTCACCACCCACTTTGGAAACTTGAACATTAGTTCTCCCTCTGGGTAAGCTTGTCTGTTTTCTGAGAACTTTCTATGCAACTAAGGCAAAAAAGGGTAAAATCTCATAATGAAGCACTAACTTTTAAATTACAAATCTCTTGCTTCAATTTCAACAACAGAATTTTAGAATGGCTTGGCTTTCATACAATGCACACTGTTAAAAGTTATCTATTAAAGAGGATTCTTAAGTATCCCTTTGGGATACTTTTTTGGGAAAAAAAGTTTCCTTAAACAATAGTGGTGGCAAAATATTCTGAGCTTGTCTAATTCTGTTGCTTTCATTTTTTTTTAAGTTATATTTTAGGCTCAGTATGATGGCTCACACCTGTAATCCCAGTGCTTTGGGAGGCCAAGGCTGGAGGATCACTTGAGTCCAGGAGTTAGAGATGAACCTGGGGAACATAGCAAGACCTTGTTACTACAAAATTTTAAAAAATTAGGAGACGTGGTGGCACACGCCTGTAATCCTAGCTACTTGGGAAGCTGAAGTAGGAAGATGACTTGGGCCCAGGAATTTCAGGTTACAGAGAGCTGTGGTCTGGTCACTGCACTCCAGCCTGGGCAACAAAGTGAGACCCTGTCTCTAAAAAACAGAAGTTATATTTTAATTGGCAAATAAAACTATATATAGTTATGGTATACAACATAGTGTTTTGAAATATGTATACATTGTAGAATGACTGGATCAAGCTAATTAACATATGCATTACTTCACATACTTATCTTTTTTGTGGCGAGTACAATTAACATCTACTCTCAGTGAATTTCAAGAATAGAATACTTTGTTAGTAACTATAGTCAAAATGTTATACAGTATTCTGTTGCTTTCAGTTGTATCAATCTCAACACTCCCATTGCCTCATTCAAATATGCTAAAACATTTACATTTCTAAATAAACCTTGGATGTTTCATTGGTAAAAGGACATGGCTTGTTTCTTCTCCCCATTGTTAAAAAATCTTGCTCAATCCTTTACAACATTGCCACCTTATCTCATTTATATTTTTCTTTCTTTCTTTTTTTTTTTTTTTGAGACAGAGATTCTCTCTTGTTGCCTAGGCTGGAGTGCAATGGCACAATCTCGGCTCACTGCAACCTCCGCCTCCTGGGTTCAAGCGATTCTCCTGCCTCAGCCTCCCAAGTAGCGGGGACTACAGGCATGCACCACCACGCCCGGCTAATTTTTTGTATTTAGTAGAGACAGGGCTTCACCATGTTGGTCAGACTGGTCTCGAACTCCTGACCTCAGGTGATCCACTGGCCTTGGTCTCCCAAACTGCTGGGATTCAGGCATGAACCACCACGCCTGGCCTTGATCTTTCTTTTTCGTCACATCAAGCAAATAGAACAAAGTTGGGAATAGAGAAGGGACAAAAAGTCCCCTTTCAGTAAAGTTGACTTAGCATTTTTCTATTGACTATAAAGAAACTTTTTGCTGATACAACATGTATGTGCACCATCTTCTGAATATTCACTAAAAGGTGATAGCACTTGAGCTTTTAGAACATTCAGCTAACGTGTACATCTAAACCTTCAGTTGTCAAGATCATAGCTTGCTTACTCCTGATGTTCCTAAGTATTTTTTCATTTGCAATTGTGGAAGTTATCTTAATTATCAAGAAGCATATGAATCCATTTTCTAGTTTTTCTTTTTTTACTTTTCTTGCATGTTTTTAAAAAAATTATTCTCTAAATTATTTTCAGATTGACGCCTAACTTAATAATTCCTTTGTTTACTCATAATGTTTGAGAATTATTATTGTTAATAAATTACACTATTTTAAATATTAGTAGCACTAATAGTGTTATTGGCAAGGAACAGAATATCAAATGGGCTACATTTGGCTGCATGAGCCTGCAGTTCCAACTACTTTGGAGGCTGAGGCAGGAGGATCCCTTGAGACCAGGAGTTTGAGGCCAGCCTGGTCAATACAATGAGACTCTATCTCAAAAAAAAAAAGAATACTTATAAAATAATATTAGAAGAAAATGTTGCTTTCTAGATGTGATTTAATAAATGTTTGTTTAATTAAACATTGAAGTTCATAAAATTCTGTTTTGTTTTATAGGATCAGTGTTTAAATAGAGTGAAAACAGAAGATCTAAGACCTACTTGTACTTTTAAAAGGGTGAGGATTTGCTTTGCTTCCTCCCCACCCTCAAACAAAGATACAGGACAGTTGTCTTGAACGATTGGCTCATGTGATAGTTAAGGAAAGGAATTCTGGTAAATTGCAAATTTAAAAGATAAAATGTCTAACCACAAGCCCAATGAACAAAGAAAAGTAAAAGAAAAAAAAGGGCTATCCTGTAGAAGATGAACACTATTATATTCTATCAGTAATGCAAGCCTGATTTTCAAGAGAAATCCTGCAGTTCTAAAGTATTCCTACGTATGTGTACAAGAAAAAGGCACATGAATACACATTAAATTAGTAAAGTCAATATTTATAAAGAAGTAGCGGGATAAAAGGTTTATTTTTGGTCCACTTAGTATTAGAAAAGCTCTTCTCATGAAGAACTTTCTCTCTTCATCTTTCCATCATTGGCTGGCATATAGAAGCTCTCCCTCCCTCTTCTCTCCCTCTCTTCATTCCTTCATTCTTCAACAAATGTTTCCCGGCTGTTAACCAGTGTAATTGGGCACTGATTATACAACAGTGAAAAAACAGACCTGACCCCTATCCTCCATGTACCTTCAGCTTAGTGGTTCCTTTTCTGTCAGGCTGGCCAGGAAAAAATGGCTCCAGCATCTTTCCTTCTTTGTATTCATGGAATAAGGGCTGGAAGGGGCTCCTTCACCATGCTTTCCTTTTATACACACACACACACACACACACACACACACACACACACACACCCCTCTTTCCTTGGCCTCGCTCCCTTTCCAGTGTTAGTTTTTTTTTTTCTAATAAGTCTCATTTTTTTAAGGAAAAAAAAAAAAACCCAAAGTGAAAACATTTTAGCCATTCAGCACAGTTTAAAATAGTAGAACATAAAACAGCAAGGACTGGACTTTTTTTCATTGTATCTGCCGATTATTCCAGTTGCAATCATGTAGACACACCCAGATATACGAACACACACATATACAGTCTTTTCTAGATCTTAAGTCTAAAGTGACAGTTTATACATCCCAAAGATATCCATATTTCTCCATTACATTTGCTTTATAAAAATGAACTCCATGAAGTTAGAAAAGAACCATTTCAGTGAAGTAAATAACTGAAGGTGCCCATATGAGAACCAATTTGGACCTATTGCTGTAATTCATAGTTTCTTTCATAGGCAAAATCTGTATTCCCGCACTCACCTGTATATACAATGGCAAGAATATTATAAAAACACGACAGAATGGAATATGCAGCAATCCTTAAAGTACCATGAAATCTAAGACATATGGGAAATTGAATACTCTTGATTCTTATAGCCAATACTCCTAATTAAGAGTTTACATTTTAAAAAACCCTGCATATTTTAATATACAGATAATAGGTATTTATACCTTACCAATACTAGCAAAATTTCCAAGGAGATATGTTTTAACACAACTTAACAAAATTGAAAAAATAATAGGACCAAGAAATCAGTGGTCAAATAATTACAAGTACAAACATATTAAATTTTTTTTTCTTATCTTCTTGTATTTCATTGTCCTATCATTTCAAATTGTCTGAGCCACATGAGAAGGCTCAGGTAGGGTTTGCTCCAGAAGCAAGATTAAACTCAAGCCTGAGAATGAACTCAGGAATAAAAATAGCGCATGTTTGTCAGAAATTTATGTGACAGAAATCCGGCTGAATTAGGAGTGGGGCTGGTTTCAAAAGAAGAGGATAACTTGGGAGGAGGAAGGGATTCTCTAAGGTTTGGACTCTTGCTATCGAGTTGTTAATGCGCTCTTCAGCTGTCCCAGCTGGGTCTGTCCATCAATGAAGAATGTGAGGAATGCATGACTGGTGCAGACTTCTATGTGAAATAGATGAAGTTTCCTTTTCCCCTGGCCCTGGGGGGTAGGGACTAGCAGAGAGGATGGGGCTTCTTGCCCCTACATCCCCTGGTAAGCAGTCAGCATCCAGCATACTTGCTCCCTGTCAAAAAAGAATCTGATGCTCACTCATCCTCAAATAGAAATTTTTAAATTTCTTTCATTAAGTAATGTTTTTGAGCACTGACTAATGGTCCTGGCAATCTAAGTCCTGGGGATACTGCTGTAAACAATTCAACAGGCTCCCATGAATGTACATTCTGGTGGTGGAAATAAAAGCAGGCAGCCCGGTGAGGTGGCTCACGCTTGTAATCCCAGCACTTTGGGAGGCTGAGGCGGGTGGATAACTTGAGGTCAGGAGTTCAAAACCACTCTGTCCAACATAGTGAAACCCCATCTCTATTAAAAATACAAAAATTAGCCAGGCGTGGTGGTGCATGCTTGTAATCCCAGCTACTTGGGAGTCTGAGGCAGGAGAATCTCTTGAACCCCGGAGGTGGAGGTTGCAGTGAGCCGAGATGGTGCCATTGCACTCCAGCCTGGGCAACAGAGTGAGACTCTGTCAAAAAAAATAAAAATAAAAAAAGGAAATATAAGCAGGCAAACAAGTCAATATTCAATAATGCTATAGAGCTTAAGGAACAGGGTGTTATGATAGAGAGTAAAAGGGGGAGAAAGAGCCACCGTTAATGGAAATAAATTTCTGAGATCCCATGCTAAGGCCTGAGTACAAGATAGTTATGTAGTAAAATGGGGAAAAGCATTCAAGGTAGAGGTCAGTGTCTCAAGGTGAAAACAATTTTGGAGTGTTCAAGGAATAGGAAAAAACTATGGCAGAAAGTACCATACCCAGAAGACTTTTTAGCAATCTAAGGCAGAGTCCTTTAATTCCAATTGGCATTTGAATGAAGGAGTTTTTTTTATTGTTTCCAAACTGCCCGGGAATAAGGAACCGAAGAGGCATTTATTTAATTTAAATCTATTTAATTTAAATCCACTTGGTGTCTGGTTCCTGGAGATCTAAGTGTATCCTCATAACCTCTCTCTGAAGCACAGATTATTGTTCTTATAGATGAAAAAATTTAGGTTGAAAGATTTTAAAACCTGTCCAATATATTACAATATATAAATGTTAGTATATATAATATATCATATAATACATAAATATAAAATACATTACAAAGCAACGATAATTAAAACAATACAGTACTGACATGAAAATAGACATATATACTAATGGAGTAGAATGGAGAGCCTAGGAATAAATCAACAAATATACAGTCAACTTATCTTTGACAAGGGTGCCAAGAATACACAATGGAAAAAGAATGGTATCTTCAACAAATGGAATTGGGAAAAATGGATATCTACATGGGAAGATAGAAATTGAACTATTATCTCACAACATACACAAAAATCATCTCAAAGTGAATTAAAGATGTAAACATAAGAAATGAAACTGTAAAACTACTAGAAGAAAAAATAGGGAAAAAGCTCTATACTACTGATTGGTCTTGGCAATGATTTCACAGATCTGACACCAAAAACATGGACAATGAAAGCAAAAACAGACAAGTGGAACTACATTGAACTAAAAAGCTTCTGCACAGCAAAGAAAACAGTCAACAAAGTGAAAAGGCAAACTGTGCTATTGAAGAAAATATTTGCAAGCTATATATCTGATGAGTTAATCTTCAAAATATATAAGGAACTACACTTCAATAGCAAAATCAGTCCTAATAATCTTATCAAAAAAATGGGCTTAAGACTTGAATAGATATTTTTTTAAAGAAGACATATAAATAGCCAATAGGTGTATGAAAAATGCTCAACATTACTAATCATCAGAGAAATGAGATATCACCTCACACTTGTTAAAATGGCTGTTATTAAAAAAAAAGACGAGATATTGGCTAGGATTTACAGCAGTTGAAACCCTTGCACACTATTGGTGGGAATGCAAAATGGTGCAGCTGCTATCAAAAATGGTATGAAGATTGCTCAAAAATTAAAAATAGGACTGCATATGATTCAGCAATCTCACTACTGGGTTTCCACCTAAAAGAACTGAAATCTGGGTCTTGAAGAGATATTATCATCTCTATGTTCATTGCTGTGCTATTCATAATAGCCAAGATGTGAAAACAGCTAAATGTTTATTGATGGATGAATGGATAAAGAAAATGTAGTGTATAAGTAAAGTGAAATGTTACTGAGACTTAAAAAACTAGGAAATTCTACAATATCTGATAGCATGGATGAACCTCTAGAAAATTATACTAAGTGAAATAAACTTGTCATAGAAGGACATATACTGCATGATTCCACTTACATGAAATGTCTAAAATAGTCAGATACATAGAATCAAAGTGGAAAGTTGGATGCCAGGGGCAGGGGGAGGGAGAAATGGAGAATTGCTAGTCAAACGGGTACAACGTTTCAGTTGAGCAAGACAAATAAGTTCCAGAAATCTGCTGTACAACATTGTACCTATAATTAACAAACTGTACAGTTATAAATTTGTCAAGAGAGTAGATCTTATGTTAAATGTTCCTACCACAATTAAAAATAACCTCCTAAAGATACCCAATAAATGGTTAGTACTGGGTTTGAACTTTGTCTTTTTGATTCTAAAGTACAGTTGTTTCCACTAGACTTCTTTGTTCTATATTATTTACTGGAGAGTTCTAATGTTAAAATGCACAGAGATACGTCATAAAAGTTTTGAGGCAATGATAAATCAAGTCAGTGTAATTAATAGGGAAATTGAAAATGAACTAGTTAAAAGAAAGGCCTTAAGAATTATTGTTACAAATTTTAAATTAATCCTGTGGTCCCCTCCTAGACCAATCAAGAATCTCTTTTCAATAAAAGAGAGGGCTAAAGAGTCTCTTATTTCCTCAATTTACATTCTGCCAGTTTATATAGTACTTGTCAAGAATGAATATTCTTGGCTTGATTAAATGCCTAGCAGCCTATGGCTTGATCTTGAGAGTATAATTTTGATATACACTCCAACTGATTTCATCGGAGTCTTCTAGTTTTTAATGAATTCACAATCAGAATTATCTGATGGACATATTCTTGTCTGCTTCACAGCTTAGCTTATGCCATTTCCTCACTATTTTCCTGTGTAGGGCTGTGTGATTATGGTAATGCATGTGTGGTGTCCATGGTACTAGAAACACAGCAATACTAATGGTTTCTTACCACATTCAGAGCCTGGAAAGAGAACTAGGGGTATTGAGAAAAAGTTGAATACAATCAGAATGGGAAATAATTCAGATTATCAGTGCATAGCTGCAGCTGCAGCACTTATTATTACTTTAAACAGATAGTATTATTATATTCATTTATTCATTCATTCAACCAATCAATTAGTTGTTTGGCTAATCAATCTTTCAACAGATGTTTAGTGAACTACCTACTATGTGTCAGACACTCTTTTAGGCACTAGGGATATAGCAATGAAACAGAAAAGAGGAACTGAGATATGCATTAATGAATAAAACATAAAAATCTTTCTCCCTCCTAGAGGAGGAGATAGGCAATAATCATAGACATGAGGATATTCTATAATATATTAAAAGGTGTAAAGTGCTTTGGGAAAAATAGGACATGATAATGGGATGCAGAATGCCAGTTTGTATGTGCAAGTTTTGAAAGGGTGGTTAGAATGGCCTTCACTGAGAAAGTGACATTTGAGCAAACACTTGAAAGAGGTGATAGAGTGATCCATGTAGCTATCTGAAAAAAGGGAATTTAAGTCAGAGGAAATAGCCAGTGCAAAGATTCTGTGGTGGAAGCATGCTTGGCTATTCAAGACAGAGAAAAGAGGCTAGTTTTGTCAGATTCAAGTGAGACTCGTAGGTGATGAGTTCAGAGAGGTCATGGAGAAACCACAACATAGAGAACTTCTAAGCCATTGTAAGAACTCTGACTGAAGTTGGTAACCTTTGGAGAATTTTGAGCAGATAAATGCCATGATCTGAATTTTAGTTCATTCATGTAATTTTGTTGAGAATATACTATAGCCAGGCAAAAGTGGAAGCTGAGAGGCCTGTGGGGTGGTTTTTAAAATAATCTGTGCAAGAGATGGTAATGGCTCAAACCATAGGGTTAGCAACGGAATTGGTTAGAAGTGATAGGATTCCGGATGTATTTTGAGGTTAAAACCAAAAGGATTCCTTCCTTGGTAGATTGGATGGGGATGCTTGAGAAAAAGAGGAGTCAAGAATGACTTCCAGGGTTTTGGCTTGAGCTGCCATCAAGATGGAATTGCCACTGGGCACTATGGCTTATACCTGTAATCCTAGCACTTTGGGAGGCCAAGGTGGAGCCAGAAGTTCAAGGCCAGCCTCTGCAACATGGTGAAACCCCATCTCTACAAAAAAAAAACCCACAAAAAACAAAAATTAGGTGGGCATGGTGGTGTGTACCTGTGTTCCTAGCTACTTGGGCAGCTGAGGTGGGAGGATCACCTGAGCCCAGGGAGGTTGAGCCTGCAGTGAGCTGTGACTGTGCCACTGCACTCCAGCCTGGGAGACAGAATAAGACCCTCTCTCAAAAAAAAAAAAAAAGAAAAAAAAGAAAAAAAATTGGATTTGCCATCAACTAAGAGTTGAAATAGGTTTTTCTAGACAAAATGCACCAGACAATTAAGGGGATGGTTTTATAAAGTCTGTTGTAATAGGGAGATAGTTCATTAACTAGGATGATCTCAAAGATAAGAAAAGAGGCCTTGCATGAAGGGCAGATAGGCAAGAATGTCACCAGGTTATCTTCTGAGAATGGTGAGAAGGAGTTGAGAGGGCTCTTAACTGAGTCATTAAGGAAGGTAGAGATGGGTTATCTTGGAATATTAAAGGGCGGGATGGTTCTTTGTGGTTCCCCATTTATTTGAACACAAGCGAGTGAGAGCACAGGGCTAAGATAAAGTTAAACATTGTCAGGGGAAAAGCACGAGTTTAATTTTGGACTTACTAAATTTAAGATTTGTTCAAACTCCTAGTGAGAATTTCTCCATTATTTCTTTGTGTTTGTTGCATCCATCCCTGAATTCTCACATTGCATGTAAAAATATGTCATTTGAATAACCAGTTTTTATTAAATTTCAGCAGACAGATGTAGGCAATGAATTATTTTCTTTTTATTATATAAATAGTTTCATTTTTAACAGCCTTCACAGTACTAAACGATCTATTTCAACAAAATTGGAGCCTTCACCTGCCACCAGATATCCTGTATCTCAGTGACAGGCTTCATGAATCATGAAAGACTGCAAGGCGCTTACCATGATTGACTTCATATTCACACCTATCTACATATATGATGTGTTCTCTCCCTTTTAGACACTTAGATGTACATTAAATTAGGAAAATTATACCTTTCTTTAGTAAATTCTCTTAAAGTTACATGAAAATATTTTTGATAACTACATACAATAAAATACATGGAATGGTGTGTTTAGTTATAACATTACAGGTTCTTGGTCTAGATTTCTCCCAAAGTCCTCTCAACACTCCTCATAGAATATCTCATATTTCATATGACATCCAGGAAAGCCAAAGTTTGATCAAAGTGGTCAGAGAAGTGATAAGAAATGTGGACCTTTAAGGGAAGAGGCTGGAAAAAAAGTAGACTGCAGATTATATGTATCTTGGAATGAGAAAAGATGAGAATATACAGGGTTTAGGTAGGAAAGAATGTGTTGAGAAGTTTAATTTAAGGCACAGAAGATAGAGTAAGAGTAATCCATATTCCAAGGACAAAAGGCACTTCTGAAAGGTAAAATATCATAAACAAGCTTTGTCTGCAAATTTGGGAACCTGAGTTAGAACATTCCCTTTATTTTGAGGGAAAGGATAACTTGGTCTTAAAATAATCTATATTTGGTGATCTCCTTCCTTTGGTTTTTCTGGAAAGAAAATTAAAAACAAAAATAAACAACAAACAAACAAAACACTCTTATTTGGGATCTACTCTAGCATTGCCTCTCTTCGACTTTAGAAAAGCATCATTTTAACTAAATTTGATTAATTAATGAAGGAAATGAGACCCAGAAACCAATGCAAACTCTGCACTAAATGTATTATCACACTTAATTCTCACAACAATTGTCCAATCCTAGATACCTTCATTTTCTATATTCTACAGATAAGGAAATTTAGAGAATTGAGGAAACTTACTAAATCATGACTTTATTTTTTTGTGCATGGTAAGAAGTTGAAGAGGTAGGATATATATTAGTCAGTTTTCACAATGCTGATAAAAACATACCCAAGACTGGGCAATTCACAAAAGAAAGAGGTTTATTGGACTTACAGTTCCACATGGTTGGGGAGGCCTCACAGTCATGGCAGAAGGCAAGGAGGAGCAAGTCACATCTTACATGGATGGTAGCAGGCAAAGAGAGAGAGCTTGTGCAGAGAAACTACTGCTTTTAAAACCATCAGCTCTTGTGAGACCCATTCACTATCACGAGAACAGTACAGGAAAGACCCGCCCCCATGATTGAGTCAATCATCTCCCACCAGGTCCCTCCCACAACATGTGGCAATTATGGGAGCTACAAAATGAGATTTGGGTGGGGTCACAGAGCCAAACCATATTAGATGCAAACCCATACGTATAGCTCTAAAAAGTCTTTTAACCATTACACTTACTACTACTTTCTATTTATGTATTACTCAAGAGTTCTATAATTTCCCCTTTGCTGCCTTTTCTTTTTCTGGACTATTAACTTTCTTTCTTTTCTTTTTTTTTTGAGATGGAGTCTCGCTCTGTCGCCCAGGCTGGGGTGCAATGGCGTGATCTCGGCTCACTGCCAGCTCCGCCTCCCAGGTTCACGCCATTCTCCTGCCTCAGCCTCCCGAGTAGCTGGGACCACAGGCACCTGCCACCATGCCCGGCTAATTTTTTGTATTTTTAGTAGAGACGGGGTTTCACCGTGTTAGTCAGGATGGTCTTGATCTCCTGACCTCGTGATCTGTCCGCCTCGGCCTCCCAAAGTGCTGGGATTACAGGCGTGAGCCACCGCACCCAGCCTAACTTTCTATAACTTTTGCCATGAAGGTATTTCTTTCTTAACCTTTTATTAATTCCTCTATTCTCTTCTGAATGATGTAATTGGACTATCTGTTATTACATAATTCTGCCACAATGAACTTCAAATTTCACTTGTCCTAAAGCAAAGTGATGCAAATGAAATTCACTCAATGTATTAAATACTATTTTAAATGAAGAATAAAATATAGCATTTTTGTGTTAGTGACACATTATTGATACTTTCCGTTTTTCTCATACTTTTCAGTGTTTTGTTCTTGTTAGTGTTTTGTAGTACTCACCATTTTCTGTGTAAACCACTTCACATTTTTCCTTTATTGAATGTTGCATTTTATCGTTTTTCACCCATTTCTCAAACTTTTCATGCTTATATTCGACTTTAATCTTAATTTTCTAAAACACTGTAATTCTAACCATTTATAAGTTTGATTAGTATTAACATCTCCACTCAAAGCTGTTAATAAAAATGTTGAATGATACTGGGTTCTAAAGGACCTCTGTGGAACTCTAAGTAGCATTTTCTCCCAGTCAGGATACCTTACATTTATAATTACTTTTGGGGTTTGATTTTTTTCAGGGGGGCCAAATGCCATGTTCTTTTATAGCAATGTCATTCTAACCAATAATTTAATTTTAGTTTCTTCCATCTCTAGGATCTTAGTCATAGACGAAATTGTGTATACTTAGTATTGGCTTTCATAAGAATTTCTATGTAAAGCTATTTTGGCTGCAAGTCCTGTTAGTCATTTTGCCTTCTCAGCTGCCAAAATTCTAATTGTCCCCAAGGGCTGCCCGCAAATACAAACTCACTTAAAAACAAACAAACAGATCGCATGCACCTGCAATACTCATAACCTAGTGACTTTGGGAATGCATTTCCAGCTATGACTCCTGCTGCTGGTCAATACTGGGTAATCCCAGTGAGTCAATAAAGAAATAATGAAGCCATGTATCTTGAACTCATTGCCCAAAATTTACCTTTCTAACATTTATCTCATGGAATCTGAGTCTCAGAATGTTCCTTGGTTTTTCTGTACTGTTTTTGCAAGGCACTCTCTGTTAACTCAATGATTTTCTTAAACTATCAAGATGGATTTCAAGCGGGATGTCAATCAAATCCCATTTTCTGATGTGAAACTTCTAGTATCTGTTTGGGTTTCTGCCAGAATAGATTTACTCTAGGTAAGTCTTCAAGCCAAAACTTTGGTTTCTATTTTCTTAAAAATAACAATAAAATACAGCTCAAAGGGACTTTTTTTGGTTATCCTTCAGAGTACATTTCTAATTGAGAGGGTTTTAAAAACTAATTTGACATTTTAAATTAAATAGGAGAAAAAAATCCTGTTATGTTGTCTCAGTATATCTTCTATTATTGTCCCTTTTTTTCTGGGAATAATAAGTGATTGATAGAACACTTGGAGCTTTCTAATCCTGCACTCTCTCATCTGATTTGACAAGTTTGCTGCTACCATTGTCATACCACAATTTAGAGCTATAAGATTCTATGCTATTTTGAGGTGAATTGTATCATAATTGTTTTAGGGTTTTTAAAAAAGGTTTTGATTATATCATAACCATATGAATTCTTAACTGATGCACAGAAAATTGCTAAGTGTGGTAGTTTTAAAAATATCTACTTTATAGATATTTTATCACATATTATTTTGAAGTCCTAGACATGAACAGAAACTTATTTATTGAGTAAATAAACATTTATATAGGGAAAATAGAGATGCCCTGGTTCATTACTTAAAACACATTTTATTAATAGAACAATTTAAATAATTGTCCTACCATAATACAAAGAAAACAATAAGTGATGTCACCTTGGAAATATATATAACAGATGAAGTATAATATATATGTCACTTTCCTGGTATGCAAATCAGCCTGAGGGAAAAATATTCTTCAGAAAAAAAAATGCTTCCTGAGAAACACTTGATGTTGGAAGAACAATTCACTTTATTTTCTATTTGTGGCACTCAACTCTCCACACTTTGGAGGCATATATTTTTATTAGTTTGCATTATGCAGCATGTTCACAAGAAAGAGACACAAAGATGCATTGGAACAAAGCAAACAAGAAATCAGAGAGGCAGACACACAATGAAAACATAATGCAGAACATTAAAGTTTTTGTTAAATGGGAAAACTGTTTGCACACTACAGCTAAAATCTATGAGAAAGAGACAATTCAAAATTTAGCCTAAGCTGCTTTTAGTGATAAGACATATCAGGGGAAGCTTCAGTGTTTCAGATACATTTCCCTTTCCTCATCCAAAGCACATTTGCTGGCCTATTATTGTCACATTTCTCCTTCCCCAAATAAAACTCCTTTTAGCTAGCATTTTCCTCAGGAGAATGTACAATAACAGTGTGCCCAAATGGAATTCAGGGAAGAATGAAAATAGGTGAAAAGCATCCTGGGTAATGGAAGTTAAAATTATAAAGTCTGTGCTCCAAACTTGAAAGACTACAGTTCACGTGGTTTTTGCTAATCGACTAGTCCAGTGGATTTCAGTGTGGTCCCTGGTCCAACAGCAACAGCATCACCTGAGAATTTGTTAGAGGTGAAAATTCTCAGGCCTCATCCCAGATCTACTGGATCAGAATCTCTGAGGATGGGGCCCAGCAACCTGTGTTTTAACAACTGCCCCTCCCCAACTTCCTGCCACCAGGTGATTCTGGTGCATGTTGTGAGAACCTTTGGGCTAAGCCCTTTGCTACTCAAAGTTTAGTTCTTAAACGAGTAGCAAAGGTATCACCTGGAAGCTATTTAAGAATTCAGATTCTTAGGGCCTACCCCAGACCTACTGAATCAGGATATGTTTTTAACAAGATCCTCGGATGATTTGTCTATATATTAAAGTTTGGGGAGCACAGTGCTAGCCATTCTCTCGTGGTGTTTGTCTTTTGAGTGCATAATAACATCATCTTGGGATCTGAAAAATAATACCCTCAGAGATTCTGATTTAATTGGTCTGGGATGTTGTCTGCACACTAGGGGTTTTTAGAAGGTCCCCAGATATTTCCAATGGGCAGGCAAGACTGAGAATTGCTGCCTTTAAGCCCTCAAATAGGGTTTATTTACTTTAGATTCTGATAAGCTTATTTGGTTTCTATCCCTGGAATACCCCGAAGGAAATCTTAATCTTGAGTTGTATTAAGTAAAGGAGGAGAACATTAAAGGAGTTGAGGTAATTATTTTCACCTAACTTTGAATGATCAGATCACATGGAAAGCTCTGCCTTCATTTACAGACTCCCTTCTGGAGGAGAATGTAGAATACCTAGAGCAGGATTAGAGAAGCAATCATTCCTGTGAGAAATGGTTACAGGAATTTGTAAGGTTCAGGAAGCCAGAGTGATTTTCAGAAATGTACCTCAGATTTATTGCTGTCATGTTTGTCACTTGCCATTGCATTTGGAAGGTGTCAGACCTCTGAGCCCAAGCTAAGCCATCATATCCCCTGTGACCTGCAGGTACACATCCAGATGGCCAGTTCCTGCCTTAACTGATGACATTCCACCACAAAAGAAGTGAAAATGGCCTGTTCCTGCCTTAACCGATGACATTATCTTGTGAAATTCCTTCTCCTGGCTCATCCTGGCTCAAAAGCTCCCCTACTGAGCACCTTGTGACCCCAACACCTGCCCGCCAGAGAACAACCCCCCTTTGACTGTAATTTTCCTTTACCTATCCAAATCCTATAAAACTTCCCTACCCCTATCTCCCTTCGCTGACTCTCTTTTCGGACTCAGCCCGCCTGCACCCAGGTGAAATAAACAGCCTTGTTGCTCACACAAAGCCTGTTTGGTGGTCTCATCTCACGGACGTGCATGAAAGAAGGGAATGGAAGGCTTCTACCAAGTCCCTACATGATCAGGTACTGCCTCCCTCTCCCCCTTATCTCAGGCCCTTTACCCCCCGACTCTTACCTCTCCAGCCACAGCTGCCTCCTTCATATTCCTTGATGATTTTGAGAGTTTCCTTCTCTGACAGTGAATTAATTTACTGTTTTTTCTGTCTAAAGGGCTTTTCTCTTGGCTTTTCTTCTGGGTGGAGCTTTAACTTTCAGGTCTCTGGTCGGATAGGGAGCCTTCCCTATGCACTCAGTGTCTCCCAGTAACTTTCCAGAGCAGAACCCTATTTAGTTAGTGTCTTCTTGATACTTCCTGTGATCTGTAATGATCTTGTTTGCTTATTTATTTTCTTGTCTATTATCTTCTACACCAGTAAGTTTGATGAGGGCAGAAACTTATTGGTCTTATTTAATACTACATATATTCCCAACATCTAGAGTAGGGTCCAGCACAAAGTAAACAATAATGATTCATGAAGCAAATGAGAAATGAAGAAAAAGAGAAGACTTTGTGTACCATGATAATTATTTTCAGATATTTGAAGAACTCTAATTGGAAAAGGGTTTAAATTTGAATGGCCCCGAACGTTAGCACTAAAACCAAAAGGTAACCAGTATAAAGGTACTGATTTTGATTTAATATACACAATAAATTCACAAAACTGAAAAAATCAATAGGCAGCCAAAGAAAGAAGTGAGCTGTCATAAGTAAATGGGTACAGGTTCAGGGAGATGGCATCTTGGCAGGTTGTCAATCAGGTGACTTAAGCATTTAGAAGGTGATTGGTTTCAGTGGTCACTGACTTACTATTAAATCTCATGATTATGAAAATGAAGGCTTTAATAATCATTATAATGATAAACTTGAGTTATTAATATTCTTCATTGAAAGAGTCAGGCAAATAAGTGATTTATTTTGGAAATGATTCTAATAAAATTAAGATAAAAGAGTTTGGCTGTGTACAAGTATGAAGTTAATTTTCAAGAAATGTTAGCCATCCATAAATACCCATTTGTCAAGAGTTCCATAGCCAAGATGCTACACTCTGTCTAAATCGTGTATATGTATTTATGTTGATTGAACAGAGATGTGGTTAATACTATAGCTAATCTATAAATGATCTCATTGGCCCTTATTGGCACTGCTCGCATCCTCAGTGGAAATGCATTGTCATAGTTAAATTTAACTTTTTTCTAATAATAAAAAAGAAATTAATGGGCTAAGATAGCTCCCACATTGATCCGCATTGTCTATGCATTGAACAGATGTTTCACCCTACACTTTACTTTGATATTTAGACTTATTTTTGATGTTTCCAGTCAGCAAACCTCATTATAAGGGTTCATTGGAAATTTCACAGGAAGACTTGAGACCTCAAGTAGTTAGTGAGAGAATAGTATCAACTAAGCAGTACTAAGGTAATTTCTACTGGGTAGCTCGATCTTAGTGCTATGGTTTCACTCTGTGTCCCCACCTGAATCGCATCTTGTAATTCCCACATGTCAAGGGAGGGAGGTGATTGGATGATGGGGGTGGTTCCCCCCCATGCTGTTGTTGTGATAATGAGTGAGTTCTCACTAGATCTGATGGTTTTATAAGCATCCGGCGCTTCTCTGCTTGCACTTCTCTCTCTTGCCATAAGGTGGAGAAGGTCCTTGCTTCCCCTTCACCTTCCATCATGATTTTAAGTTCCTGAGACCTCTCTGGCCATGTGGAACTGTGAGTCAATTAAACAAACCTCTTTCCTTATTTATTTACTTATTTTTGGAGACTGAGTCTTGCTCTGTAGCCCAGGCTGGAGTGCAGTGGTGTGATCTCAGTCCCCTGCAACCTCTGCCTCCCGAATTTGAATGAATCTCCTTCCTCAGCCTCCTGGGGACTACAGGTGTGCACCACCATGCCCAGCTAATTTTTGAATTTTTAGCAGAGATGAGGTTTCACCATGTCGGTCAGGCTTGTCTTGAACTCCTGACCTCAAGTGATCCGCCTGCCTCGGCCTCCCAAAGTTCTGGGATTACAAACGTGAGCTACCACACCTGGCCAAACCTCTTTCTTTTATAAATCACCCAGTCTCAGTTATTTATTTATAGCAGTGTGAAAATGGACTAATACACTTAGTTTGGATATTTAGCAGTTCATTTTCGTTCTTGTTGCCCTGTGCTCCGTGTTATCATGAAATTGTTTATCAATGAACTCAATGATTACAACTAATTTGGGCAATTAATTACTGGAATGGCTGATGGAGGCCCTAACAGAGAATTAGCCTCTGACTAATTAAGAAGTTCACAGCAGTTAAATTACGGTTTACCATTACTACCGCTAGTTATATCATTACAACCTTAGAGAAGAATTTCTTAACAACCTGATAACATGGTCTGTGCTTATTTTCCACATCATGATGAAATTGTCACTGGCATCTCTGAGTCCTCAAATCTTTTCTAGATTACATTTAATTGTCTGTGTTTTTCATTCTATTTAGTCCTTTGCCCAAAATTGTTGTTTTTACATTCACATTATCTCCTAAATTTGGTCTTTTTGCTTATAACAGTCTTTTATCATATTCTCATTATCTCTTCCTTGAATTATCAACTTATACAATTTTTTTTGGGAATGGGGTTGCAAAAACTAATAATTATTGGGGACTTTCTGTGAGCTAGGCATCATATAGGGATATTTCAAACATTATTTAATTTTCACAGCAATGATGGAAGATACATTATTATGCCCATTTTTTACGTGAGGATTCTGCAGTGTTAAGATGTTTTGTAATTTAGACAAGTAGCTAGTTTGAACCTAGGTGTGCTTGCTTCAAATTTCTCTCCACAACACTGCACACTGTCCCCAAAATTAGTGTGAGCACTTACTATGTTCTGTAAATTAAACTATGTAGGCTGGTGGATATGAAATTAATGAGGCATAACCCCTTTCCTGGGGGAACTCGTATTTCAGAAGGGAGACAGGCCCGCAAACAAGACAATTCTGCATCATAAGTACATTTGAAAAGGGGTAGAATGAATAGACTCACAGAAAATAAAGATGATTGTGATTCACAGATGAGTGAAGAAAAAGGGAAGAGATATAGTAATAGGTTCTGGTGACAGTAGAGAAAATACAAGATTATATAATATAGAGAAAAATTCCTGTGGTTCTATTTTATTTTCTGTAAGCTGTGTTTCAAAATAACACTGACCAACAGATACATAGGCCAGCTGCATCCGGAGGCTGAATCCATGACAACTGGAACTGGGGGCTTTCTTTCTGTCTCTCATGTCCACATTGTCTTGGTTGACTTTGACCCCAGGATGGCTCTCTCCTCATGACCAGCAGGAATGTTACTTTTTTTGTTTTTAAATTTATAATCCTAGAAATCTTTCCAAGATTTTTCTGGTTTCTGTGGTCTGGTTTTCAAATCCCATGCAAAAAGGCAAGAACCTTTGTCTCAGGGTTCCTAGAAATATTTCTTTGTCTCTAATTGAATCATGTGCGCATCACTGAACCAATCAATACATCCCAGGGTAATGTGACATGTTGACTGTCACCCCTAAGCTAAATGTGGAGGCTCACCTGGAGCCTATGTGCTGAGAGGGAGGGAGAGGTAGCATCAGGGCACTGTTACCCAGAGGAACATGAATAGATGCTGGATGGTGAAATAACCAACTAGGGGTATTCACTATTCTTCACAACATGTGGCTTGGCCGGCCTGCCTGCCTGCCTGCCTGCCTGCCTTCTTTCATTTAAAGTTCTGGGATACATGTGCAGGATGTGCAAGTTTGTTACATAGGTAAACCTGTGCCATGGTGGTTTGCTGCACCTATCAACCCATCACCTAAATATTAAGCCCTATATACTTAGTTGATTATCCTGATGCTCTCCCTCCCGCTGGCCCCCATGCCTGACAGGCCCTGGTGTGTGTTGTTCCCCTCCTTGTGTCCATGTGTTCTAATTGTTGAGCTTCCACTTACAAGTTAGAAAATGTGGTGTTTGGTTTTCTGTTCCTGTGTTAGTTTGCTGAGGATAATGGCTTCCAGCTCCATCCATGTCCCTGCAAAGGACATGATCTTTTTCTTTTTCATGGCTGCATAGTATTCCATGGTGTATATGTACATTTTCTTTATCCAGTCTATCATTGATAGGCATTTGAGTTGATTCAATTTTTTCTATTGCAAATAGTGTTGCAATGAACATACATTTGCATGTATCTTTTTAATAGAATGATTTATATTCCTTTGGATATATACCCAGTAATGGGATTTCTGGGTCAAATGGCATTTCTGGTTCAAGGTCTTTGAAGAATCACCACACTGTTTTCTACAATGGTTGAACTAATTTACATTCCCACCAACAGTGTAAAAGTGTTCCTATTTCTCCACGGCCTCACCAGCATTTTTTTGTTTCTTGACTTTTTAATAATTGCCATTCTGATTGGCATGAGATAGTATCTCATTGTGGTTTTGATTTGCATTTCTCTAATTATCAGTGATGTTGGGCTTTTTTTCGTATGTTTGTTGGCTGCATAAATGTCTTATTTTGAGAAGTGTCTGTGCATGTCCTTTGCCCACTTTTTAATGGGGTTGTTTGTTATTTTCTTGTAAATTTGTTGAACTTTCTTGTAGATTCTGGATATTAGACCTTTGTCAGATGGATAGATTGCAAAATTTTTCTCCCAATCTGTAGGTTGTCTGTTCACTCTAATGATAGTTTCTTTTGCTGTCCAGAAGCTCTTTAGTTTAATTAGATCACATTAGTCAATTTTTGCTTCTGTTGCAATTGCTTTTGACTTTTTTTTTTTTCTTTGTTTGAGATGGAGTCTCACTCTGTTGCCTAGGCTGGAGTGCAATGGCGCGATCTCAGCTCACTGCAACCTTTGCCTTCTAGGTTCAAATGATTCTCCTGCCTCAGCCTCCTGAGTAGCTGGGATTACAGGCACCTGCCATCATGTCCAGCTAATTTTTGTATTTTTAGTAGAGACAGGGTTTCACCAGGTTGGCCGGCTGGTCTTAAACTCCTGACCTCAGGTGATCCACCTGCCTTGGCCTCCCAAAGTGCCGGGATTACAGGTGTGAGCCACCATGCCCCTCTACTTCTGACATTTTTGTCATGAAATCATTGCCCATGCCTATGTCCTGAATGGTATTGCCTAGATTTTCTTCTAGAGTTTTGACAGTTTTGGGTTTTACATTTAAGTCTTTAATCCATCTTGAGTTAATTTTTGTATAAGGTGTAAGGAAGGGGTCCAGTTTCAATTTTCGATATATGGCTAGCCAGTTCTTCCAGCACCATTTATTAAATAGGGAAAACTTTTCCCATTGCTTGTTTTCATCAGGTTTTTTAAAGGAAAAATGACTGTAGATGTGCAGTCTTATATCTAAGTTCTCTATTCTGTTTCATTGGTCTATGTATCTGTTTTTGTACCAATACCATGCTGTTTTGATTACTGTAGCCTTGTAGTGTAGTTTGAAGTTGGGTAGAGTGATGCTTCCAGCTTTTGTTCTTTTTGCTTAGGGTTGTCTTTGCTATACAGTTCTCTTTTGGTTCCATATAAATTTTAAACTAGTTTTTTTCCTAATTCTGTGAAGAATGTCATTGATAATTTAATAGGAATAGCATTACATTTATAAATTACTTTGTGCAGTATGGCCATTTTTATGATATTGATTCTTTCTGTCCATGAGCATGGAATGTTTTTCCATTTGTTTGTGTCTTCTCTTTTTTTCTTGAGCAGTGGTTTGTAGTTCTCCTTGAAGAGGTCCTTCACATCCCTTGTTAGCTGTCTCCTAGTATTTTATTCTCTTTGTAGCAATTATGAATGGAAGTTCACTCATGATTTTGTTCTCTGCTTGTCTAATGTTCATGTATAGGAGTGCTTGTGATTTTTGCACATTGATTTAATATCCTAAGACCTTGCTGAAGTTGCTTATCAGCTTAAGGAGCTTTTGGACCGAGACAGCATTTTGTGGATATAGAATCATGTAGTCTGCAAACAGAGAGAGCTTGACTTCTTTTTTCCGATTTGACTACCCTTTATTTCTTTGTCTTGTCTGATTGCTCTGGCCAGAACTTCCAATACTATGTTGAATAGGAGTGGTGAGAGAGAGCATCCTTGTCTTGTGCCAGTTTTCAAGGGGAATGCTTCCAGCTTTTGCCCATTCAGTATGATATTGGCTGTGGGTTTGTTATAAATAGCTATTATTTTGAGATATGTTCTATCAATATCTAGTTCATTGAGTGTTTTTAACATGAAAGGATGTTGATTTTTATTGAATGCCTTTTCTGTATCTATTGAGATAATCATGTGGTTTTTGTCTTTAGTTCTGTTTATGTGAAGAATTACATTTTTTGATTTGCATATGTTGAATGAGCCTTGTATCCCAGGGATAAAGTTGACTTGATCATGGTGGATAAGCTTTTTGATGTGCTGCCAGATTTGGTTTGCCAGTATTTTATTGAGGATTTTTGCATTGATGTTCATCAGGTATACTGGCCTGAATTTTTTTTTTTTAAATCTCTGCCAGGTTTTGGTATCAGGATGATGTTGGCCTCATAAAATGAGTTAGGGAGAAGTTCCTCCTTTTCAATTGTTTGGAATAGTTTTAGAAGAAATGGCACCAGCTCCTCTTTGTACTTGTTGTAGAATTCAGCTCTAAATCTGTCTTGTTCTGGCCTTTTTTGGTTGGTAGTCTATTTATTACTGCCTCAATTTCAGAACTTGTTATTTGTCTATTCAGGGATTCAACTTTTTCCTGTTTTAGACCTGGGAGAGTGTATGTGTCCAGGAATTTATCCATTTCTTCTAGATTTTCTAGTTTATTTGCCTAGAGGTGTTTATAATATTCTCTGATGGTTGTTCATATTTCTGTGGGGTCAGTGGTGATATCCCCTTTTTCATTTTTTATTGTGTCTAATTGATTCTTCTCTCTTTTCTTTTTTATTAGTTTAGCTAGTGGTCTATGTATTTTATTACATTTTTGAAATAACGAGCTGCTGAATTCATTGATTTCTTTGAAGGGCTTTTTGTGTCTCTGTCTCCTTCAGTTCTGCTCTGATCTTGGTTATTTCTTGTCTTCTGCTAGCTTTTGGGTTTGTTTGCTCTTGGTTCTCTAGTTCTTTTAGTTGTGATGTTAGGGTGTCAATTTGAGATCTTTCTAGCTTTTTGACATTAGCATTTAGTGCTATAAACTTCCCTCTTAACATTACTTTAGCTATATCCCAGAGATTCTGGTACATTGTCTCTTTGTTCTCATTTGTTTCAAAGAACTTCTTAATTCTACCTTAATTTCATTATTTACCTAGGAGTCATTCAGGAGCAGGCTGTCAATTTCCATGTAGTTGTGTGGTTTTGAGTGAGTTTCTTAATCTTGAGTTCTAATTTGGTTTTGCTGTGGTCTGAGAGACTGTTTGTTAAGATTTCAGTTCTTTTGCATTTGCCGAGGAGTGTTTTACTTCCATTTATGTGGTCAATTTTAGAATAAGTGTCATATGGCACCAAGAAGAATATATATTCTGTTGTTATTGGGTGGAGAGTTCTGTAGATATCTATCAGGTCCACTTGATTCAGAGCTGAGTGCAAGTCTTGAATATTCTTGTCAATTTTCTGTCTCAGTGATCTAATATTGACAGTGGGGTGTTAAATGCTCCCACTATTATTGTGTGGGAGTCTAAGTCTCTTTGTATGTCTCTAAGAACTTATTTTATGAATCTGGGTGCTCCTGTATTGGGTGCATATATGTTCAGGATAGTTAGCTCTTCTTATTGAATTGATCCATTTACTGTTATGTAATGCCTTTCTTTGTCTTTTTTGATCTTTGTTGATTTGAAGTCTGTTTTGTCAGAAACTAGGATTGCAACCCCTGCTTTTTTCTGCTTTCCATTTACTTGGTAAAAATTCCTCCATCCCTTTATTTTGAGCCTATGTGTATCTTTAAAGGTGAGATGGGTCTTTTGACTACAGCACACTGGTGGGTCTTGACTCTTTATCCAGCTTGCCATTCTGTGTCTTTAAATTGGGGCATTTAGCCCATTTACATTTAAGGTTAATATTGTTACGCGTTAATTTGATCCTCTCATCATGATGTTAGCTGGTTATTTTTCAGACTTGTTGATGTAGTTGCTTCATAGTGTTAACAAACACACATTGTCAGTGTGTTTTTGCAGTTGCTGGTACTGGTTTTTCCTTTGCATATTTAGTGCTTCCTTCAGGTGCTCTTTCAAAGTGGGCCTGATGGTGATGAATTCCCTCAGCATTTGTTTGTCTGAAAAGGATTTTATTTCTCCTTTGCTTATGAAGCTTAGTTTGGCTGGATATTAATTTCTGGGCTGAAAATTCTTTTTTTTTTTTTAAGAATGTTGAATATTGGTCCCCAATCTCTTCTGGCTTGCAGGGTTTCTGCTAAGAGGTGTGCCATTAGTCTGATGGCACCCTTTGTAGGTGACCTGGTCTTTCTCTCTGGATGCTCTTAACGTTTTTTTTTTTCATTTTGACCTTGGAGAATCTGATGGTTCTTGGAGATCTGATGATTATTTGTCTTGAGATTGATCTCTCATGGAGTATTTTCCTGTAGTTCTCTGGATTTCCTGAATGTGAATATTGGCCTGTCTTGCTAGGTTGGGGAAGTTCTCCTGGATGATATCCTAAATTATGTTTTCCAAATTTGTTCTGTTCTCCCTGTCTGTTTCAGGTACCCCCCAATCAGTCATAGGTTTGGTCTTTTTACATAATCCCATAGTTCTTCAAGGTTTTTTCGTTCCTTTTCATTCTTTTTTCTCTAATCTTGTCTGCCTATCTTATATCAGCAAGATAGTGTTTAAACTCTGAGATTCTTTCCTCCACTTGGTCTAGTCTGCTATCGATACTTGTGATTGCATTGTGAAGTTCTTGTGTTTTGTTTTTCAGCTCCGTCAGGTCATTTACAGTTCTCTCTAAACTGATTATTCTAGTTAACAGCTCTTGTAATGTTTTATCATGATTGTTAGTTTCTTTGCATTGGATTAGAACAAGCTCCTTTAGCTCAGCAAAGTTTGTTATTACCCACCTTCTGAAGCCTACTTCTGTCAATTCATCCATCTCAGCCTCTGTCCAATTCTGTGCCCTTGCTGGAGAGGTGTTGCAATCATTTGGAGGAGAAGAGGCACTCTGGGTTTTTGAGTTTTCACTGTTTTTTCATTGATTTTTTTTCTTCATTTGTGTAGTTTCAGTTTTTGAGGCTGCTGATCTCTGGATGGAGTTTTGGTGGGAACTTTTTTGTTGACGCTGTTGCTGTTGTTGCTTTCTGTTTGTTTTTCTTTTAACAGGCCCCTCTTTTGTAGGGCTGCTGTGGTTTGCTGGGGGTCCACAATAGACCTTATTCACCTGAGTCTCCCCTGCACCTGGAGGTGTCAGTCGTGGAGGTTGCAGAACAGCAAAGATGGGTGTCTGCTCCTTCCTCTGGGTTCTCTTTCTCTGAGGGTCACTGACCTGATGCCAGCGGGAACGCTCCTCTATAAGGTTTCTGGCAACCCCTTTGGGGGTTCTCACCCAGTTAGGAGACATGGGATCTGGGACCTGCTTAACAAAGCACAAGCACTCTGGCTTCCCCTTGGTGAAGTTGATGTGTTGCGCTGGGGGAAATCCCACTCATCTGGGCTGCCCACATTCCTCAGAGCCAGCAGGGGGAAAGAAAGACTAAGTCTGCTGATCTTCGGAGATTGTAGCCACCTTTTCCCCTGGGGTCTCAGTCCCAGGGAGATCAGAGTTCTGTCCCTAAACTCCTGGCTGGTGTTGCTGAAATTCCTGAAGGGAGGACCTGCCCAGTGAGGAGGGATGGGTCAGGGTGTAGCCTAAAGAGCAGTCTGGTCACAATCTGCCACAGCTGCTGTGCTGCACTGTGAGGAATTCTTCCTAGGTTCAAACCACCCAGTCTACCCAGCACCAGTAGTGCAAAAAGTGCAGACTGGAGCTGCAGTGATGGCTGCCACAATTCCCCTAGGGAACTCAGTTGTCTGAGGGAGCAGGCAGCTGCAGTGATGATGGCCCACCCTCCCCCCGGGAACTTGTTAGTCTTAGGCAGTCTCCAGCAGAGTGACTGAAGAGAATCTGCACAGCTCTGTGCTTGGAACCCAAGACCCTGGTGGTGTAGGTTCAAGAGGGATCTCCTGTTCTGCAGGTTGCACAGATCAGTGGACAAAACATCGTTTCCCAGGCAGGGTGGAATAATCACTCACCACCTCCCTTGGCTGGGGGTGGGAGCTCCCTTTGCCCTGTGTGGCTCCCATGTGGGCCATCACACCACTCTTCTTTTCCTTGCTCTCCTTGGGTTGCACCAACTGCCTAGTCAGTTCCACTGAGAGAACCTGGATACCTTGGTTGCTGGTGCAGGATTCACTCGCTGTTATTATTCTTAGTGGGAGCCTCTGACCACAGCTGTTTCTAGTCATCCCTCTTGGCCTTTCCACATGTGGCTTTTCTAGTGTTCCCTTTTTATTTTAGATCCAGCTAAACACTCCAATACTTTCTTAATTTAATCCCACTCAACAATGGAGTATTGAGTACCTATTTTATGCCTGGCCCTGTGTTAGTTTCTGGAAAAACAGAGCTGAAAGAGACATAGATGCTACTTTCAAGAATCTCATAGCAAGGAAATATTTAATTTCTCTTATCTCTAAATAACAAACATATTTTCTTGCATTTTATTGGTATAATTTAATATTTTGACCTTATCAGTATTGTCTGCCTTAAATGGTAGCTTTATGGAAGATAGGAACTTATTATTATTATTATTTTTTAGCTTATTTTGTACAAATTCTCAGCCTTTCAGATAGCTCTTTTTCAGTGAAGAGTTTTCCAATGTACGTTGCTTTTCTGAGAGCTAAAGAGAGATTGGGAATCATGAATTCACCTGTTTAGCTTCAAGTAGTGTCACACACATTGGTGACAGGTCAAAGTGATGAGAACGAACTCAACAACCATCTTCATGAATGGAATTACTATTTAACTCCCTCTGTTCTTAAAGCACCAAAGTACATCATTTTTCTTTAAACTGTCATATTTACATATTTTTGTGATGCAGCTCATTTTTGACTTCAAAATTAGGAAAGGCTTCCACCAAAGTAAATGACTTGTGGCATGATTTCGTGATAAACAATCCAACCAAAACTTATTATTTTTAAAAAGAGACTTCGGGAAACACTTTAGAGCCAAGGATTATGTCTGTTTTAATGTTGATAAACTATTCATTTATAAAATAAGAGGATTACTTACTATTAACTGTATGATTTAAATAACACAAGCAGCCAAAAAAGTGATTTTTTTGTTTATCTTAACTATTATTTGTAACTCCTTGGATCCAGATCTTTGTAAGCAGCTCTTTCTTTACAATGTCCATCATGACTTTTGTGCTTCCTTGTCCCTAATTTTTATTTATCCATTTCCTTCTGTGCAAGCCTCTGTGCCTGATGATACCTACATTTTTATAATTAACCTTTTCTATTTCTTTTGCTTTTTCTTTTCTCCCTCTCTTCTATGTCTGCTAGTTTGCACATATATAAATGTGCATACATACATATATGTGTGTGTGTACAGTATATATCAGATTATTAAGCTTTATTAATACCTAGTTAGAAACAAAAATATTTCATTTAGTAAAATAAGCATGAATATCATCAATTCACAAAGAGAGAACAGAATTTAACTGATTTATCTGAGGTGACTCATAATAAGTCAGTTTCTTATGTGGCAATGAAAACAAGTCTTTAATGCAGTATTCTAATAGAAGTAGTTGAAAGCTTTTGCTTTATATATTTATGCTGAGGTTGTTAGGTACATATAAACTAGTGAATATTATATCTTCTTGGTAGATGTTCCTCTTATTATTATATAGAGCTCTTCTTTTTCTTGGTTAGTGACTTCCAACCGTATTTTGTTTTATCCTAATATTGTAACTCAGCCTTTTTACAAGAGTAGTATTTGGATAGTATCTCAGTTTCTTTACTTTTGTTTTTGATTTTTCAGTTTGGTTTTGCTTCAGTTAGGTTTTTTGAAAGCAGTGTATAGAGTAGAATGAACAAAAATCAATCAGTAATTTTTATAATTTGAGCTATTACAGTTTTGTGGCAATGCAAATATTTGGGATTGTTTCTGTTATCCTACTATACATTTTGTGTTTTTTTCACCTTCCTGAATTTCTGTTAGATTGATAGCTTTTTTATTTTGCTAATTGAAAGCTATAAATTATATTTTTATTTAGTATTACTCTTAAAGTGTTAAGACACATTTTTACCTATAATCTTTTTAAAGAGTTCTTCCTTTATTCAGTATTTCTATTTTTCTGAATACAACAATAGTGTTAGTATGCTTTAAATATGCATTAAGCATTTTTCCTTAAGGTTGTTATTATTTAGAACTTTATTTTTACCATTTAGAACACACAAATTATAGTGAACATTTTATTAGCTTCTATTGTTTATATTTATTTTAGTTATGTACATTAATTTTTTTAGCATAGGTCTGTGAATGGTAAATTCTCATAGTCTTTGAGTGTCTGAAAATATCTTTTTGTTACCTTTACTTGTAAATGGTGATTTTTTAACTCTGTGAAAAATTTTAAATTGGTAGTCATTTTATTCTCAGTTGTTTAAACATAATACTCTATTTTTCCTGGCATTAGTTTCATGTTTATGGTTACTTCTTTATATATGTATTAGTTCCAGGTGTTTGATAGTGTTAATCATTTCAACTGTGACTTCCTTGATTATTTTTTGTGTCTGATTGTTTTATCAATTGCTATGATGGGTATTAAAATCAACAACTAAGATGGTAGAATTTTTTTCTTTTCATTTCTGTCAATTTTTGCTTTATGTATTTTGTAGGACTTATTATGTCTTTCTGATGAATTAAATTCTTTATCATCATTAAACTTCTTTTCCTCTTATCTTTGGTAATAGTCCTTTTCTTAATTTTTCTTTTGTCATTTGTTTGCAGAGTATATCTTTTTTGATTCACTTTATAATTCTCAACTTTATTTTTTAATATAACATACATTTATTTATTTAGACTATGTGTTATCTATCCTGAAAACCTCTGCCTTTTATTGGGGTATGTAATACATTTTAATGAACTTATTGTTATGGTTAGATTTAGGCATATGTAGTCCATCATATATTTTAAATGTCACAAGGTAATTATATAATTTTTGTTTTAAAAAGCAAACTTGCTTTAATAATCCTATGTGCTTCATTTATTTATTTATTTTTGTATTTTTTAAATTATACTTTAAGTTCTAGGGCACATGTGCACAACGTGCAGATTTGTTACATATGTATACATGTGCCACGTTGGTGTGCTACACCCATTAACTCATCATTTACATTAGGTATTTCTCCTAATGTTATCTCCCCCCACTTCCCCAACTCCACAACAGGCCCTAGTGTGTGATGTTCCCCACCCTGTGTCCAAGTGTTCAATTCGGACATTGTTCAATTCCCACCTATGAGTGAGAACATGCAGTGTTTGGTTTTCTGTCCTTGTGATAGTTTGCTGAGAATGATGGTTTCCAGCTTCATCCATGTCCCTACAAAGGACATGAACTCATCCTTTTTTATGGCTGCATAGTATTCCATAGTGTATATGTGCCACATTTTCTTAATCCAGTCTATCATTGATGGACATTTGGGTTGGTTCCTAGTCTGCTATTGTGAATAGTGCCGCAACAAACATATGTGTGCGTGTGTCTTTATAGCAGCATGATTTATAATCCTTTGGGTATATACCCAGTAATGGGATGGCTGGGTCAAATGGTATTTCTAGTTCTAGATACTTGAGGAATAGCCACACTGTCTTCCACAATGGTTGAACTAGTTTATGGTCCCACCAACAGTGTAACGGCATTCCTATTTCTCCACATCCTCTCCAGCACCTGTTGTTTCCTGAGTTTTTAATGATCACCATTCTAACTGGTGTGAGATGGTATTTCATTGTGGTTTTGATTTGCATTTCTCTGATGGCCAGTGATGATGAGAATTTTTCATGTGTCTGTTGGCTGCATAAATGTCTTCTTTTGAGAAGTGTCTGTTCATATCCTTTGCCCATTTGTTGATGGGGTTGTTTGTTTTTTTCTGGTAAATTTGTCTGAGTTCATTGTAGATTCTGGATATTAGCCCTTTGTCAGATGGGTAGATTGCAAAACTTTTCTGCCATTCTGTAGGTTGCCTGTTCACTCTGATGGTAGTTTCTTTTGCTGTGCAGGAGCTCTTTAGTTTAGTTAGATCCCATTTGTCAATTTTGGCTTTTGTTGCCATTGCTTCTGGTGTTTATCTACCTTTGGTCTTTGATGACGGTGACCTACAGATGGGGTTTTGGTGTAGATGTCCTTTTTGTTGATGTTGATGCTGTTCCTTTCTGTTTGTTAGTTTTCCTTCTAACAGTCAGGTCCCTCAGCTGCAGGTCTGTTGGAGTTTGCTGGAGGTCCACTCCAGACCCTGTTTGCCTGGGTATCACTGGTGGAGGCTGCAGAACAGCAAATATTGCAGAATAGCAAATGTTGCTGCCTGATCCTTCCTCTGAAAGCTTCGTCTCAGAGGGGCACCCGGCTGTATGCGATGTCAGTCGGCCCCTACTGGGAGTTGTCTCTCAGTTGGGCTACTCAGGGGTCAGGGGCCCACTTGACAGGCAGTCTGTCCATTCTCAGATCTCAAACTCCGTGCTGGGAGAACCACTACTCTCTTCAAAGCTGTCAGACAGGGACGTTTAAGTCTGCGGAAGTTTCTGCTGACTTTTGTTCCACTATGCCCTGCCCCAAGAGGTGGAGTCTACAGAGGCAGGCAGGCCTCCTTGAGCTGCCATGGGCTCCACCCGGTTCGAGCTTCCCAGCTGCTTTGTTTACCTACTGAAGCCTCAGCAATGGTGGGCGCCCCTCCCCCAGCCTCACTGCCATCTTGCAGTTCGATCTCAGACTGCTGTGCTAGCAGTGAGCAAGGCTCAGTGGGCGTGGGCACCTCCCAGCCAGGTGCGGGATATAATCTTCTGGTGTGCCCTTTGCTAAGACTGTTGGAAAAGCGCAGTATTAGGGTGGGAGTGTCCCAATTTTTTAGGTACCATCTGTCACAGCTTCCCTTGGCTAGGAAAGGGAATTCCCTGACCCCTTGCACTTCCTGTGTGAGGCGATGCCCCACCCTGCTTCAGCTTATGCTCCGTGGACTGCACCCACTGTCCGACAAGCCCCATTGAGACGAACCCAGTACCTCAGTGGGAAATGCAGAAATCACCAGTCTTCTGCGTGGTTCGTGCTGGGAGCTGTAGACTGGAGCAGTTCCTATTCGGCCATCTTGGAACCCTAATAATCCTATGTGTTTTAAAGAAATTAAAAGAAAACAATACTCTTATATTTACCCAGATATTTACCATTTCTTATGTTCTTCATTCTTACTGAAGATTTCTTTCAATCTGATATTTACTTTCTGCCTAAAAAACTTCCTTTAGTATTTCTTGTAGTACAGTCCTGCTGGCAATATTTTTTTTCATTTTCTTTTGTCTAAAAATGTCCTTATTTTGCCTTCAGACTTGAAGAATATTTTCACTGGGTATAGAATGCTGAGTTGACAGTTACATTGTTTCAGCACTTTAAAGATGTTGTTTCATTGTCTTCTAGCCTTCAGAATTTTCTGTGAGAAGTTAATGGATCTCTGAGATTCCTGAGTCTGTAAGTTTTAACTTTTAACAAACTTGAAAATTTTTCACCACTTTTTCTTCAAAAAATTTTTTTTCATTATTTCCTCTGCTGGTGTAACTCTGCTTATGTATATGTTAGATATTTCATATTGTTCAACAGGTCTCTGACGCTCTTTTCACTTTTTCAATGTTCTCTTTCTCTTTTGTTCTTCAGATTGAACTATTTCTGTTGACCTAACTACAAGTTCACTGACTTTCTGCCATCACCTCCATTCTGCTACTAAACCCAACCAAATATTTTTTAAACTTCAGATTTGTGTTTTCAAGTTCTAGAATTTCCATTTTAAGTATATTCCATTTCTCTGCTGAAATTTATTTATTGTGCACATATTTTCCTTTATGTACTTGAGCTAGTTATAAAAGGTTCTTTAAAATCCTTGTCTACCACTTGTAACAAATAGATCTCTCAGACTGGTCTGTGTTTATTGTATTTTCCTCTTGAAAATGAATCATAGATTACTGGTTGAGTAATTTTGGATTTTATCCTAGATGTTGTGAAATGTTATATTATGGGAACTCTGTTATATTCCCCCAAAGAGTATTAATTTTTGTATTTTAGCAGGCAGTTAACTTGGTTGGACTTGAATTGTAACCTCTGTCTCTACAAGCAGCTCTAATCTTAATTCGCTTCTTTTATCTTTAGCTGGAGTCTGTCCACTGCATGCATGGTTCAGGGGCTAGCCAGAGATTTGGGGAGAGTCTATATACAGAATTTGGGACTCTCTTTATTCTGAATGTTTTTCCCTTCAGAATTCCCCTCCCCCTCACTTTCCAAGTGTTTGTGGTTGCTTTGAATTCTCTTCTCTGGTTCTTCAGGCCAGAAAGACTATGGTTTTTCTCTTGGAGTTTTAGACACCTTGTGTAGCAGCAACTTTTATCTGCCCTAAGGCTACCAATTATAAAAAGTGGGAACATCAACCCTTGTTTTGGTTTACTCTCTGGGGCCTTTAGGTTGCTGCTGTTTATATTTTGTTTAGAGTTTATAGTTGTTATCTGCAGGAGAGTCAGATCTGGCAGGATCTGACCATAAGTGAAATCCTGATTGGTTCTTTTTAATATCAACTTTGTTCTTTTTATTTTATTTTTAAAATTTATTTTATTTTATTTTATTTTTTGAGACACAGTTTTGCTCTTGTTGCCCAGGCTGGAGTGCAATGGCATGATCTTGGCTCACCGCAACCTCCACCTCCCTGGTTCAAGCAATTCTCCTGCCTCAGCCTTCCCAAGTTGCTGGAATTATAGGCATGCGCCACCAAGCCCGGCTAATTTTGTATTTTTAGTAGAGATGGGGTTTCTCCATGTGGGTCAGGCTGGTCTCGAACTCCCAACCTCAGGTGATCCGCCCACCTCGGCCTCCAAAAATGCTGGGATTACAGGCGTGAGCCACTGCGCCTGGTCTTGGTTCTTTTTAATATCAACCTCCTTTCTGCCTGTTTTGGTTTCATGATATCTTATTATATTGATATTGCACCTTCATTCCTCTTTGAAATCCTCCGTATACTATTTCAAACTCATTTTCATCAAATAAATTCCACCTCAGATATAATCTATTCTTCTTATTTTTATTTGGCTTATTAGTTTTCTCATATTTATTTTAGAATTTTGCAGACCTATTTCAAATGCTTTTGTTTTTGTTTTCTCTCTCCTTCTGTGCTCATGACTTTCTATTGAACTGTTTTATGTTGTCTCTACTTAGTTCTCTGTGCCCCAGTAAAAAGCTAGGATTTATAACATGTTCCACAAACACATGGAAATATGGAAGACCAAATTATGTAACCAATAAGTAGCTTAGATTAGCTTTTAGTACCAAGATTGTGTGTTTGTGTTTACTTCCTTAGGCTCACAGCTGCTGAAAAAGCCAAAGTCCCCATCAGCAGGTCTGCTATGTGTTTTTTTTTTTTTGGTCAGCCTCCTTTTACATATGAGAGAACTCATATCAGGCCCTGATTTCAATCAGTGAGACTCACTACTGCCCCCTTTTTGCAAGAAACACTTTCAGCTCCCCTTCCTCCACAGAAGTCACATCATTCCTCTCTGACCTGAATGGAAGCAAGTTTGACACTCCACCCTTCATCTACCCTTTGGATATTCTACTTTGTTTCTGATGCATGGTGGTGTTTATTTTTACATGAATTTGACTATGTCTTTTTTGGTTTATGTTACTATTTAACTCATCATTACTATGTATTTGGAGTATACAGTATTTTCAAAGCATAAACTCGTTGTACAAATTTGACCCTGAAATCTAGGCAAGTTCTCCTCTCTTCCCTACTACATACAGTATTATTTTGCTTATACATTTTATGTCTATAAGTATAATACTTTTTTTTCTATTTTACTTAAGCCAGTAGATATGGCCTTACTTGTGTGAAGCTAGTTCTCTTAGAATAAAGCCGAGGAAGATTCGTTAGTGAATATTTATATTTTAGGAGGGGTTTCAAGGGAGAAGAAAGGATGGTATTTGTGTATAGAAAACATTGTAATTTTAGGGTTGGAATCTGGTGTACAAATGTGTGTGTTACAATCTTGGCTCTACCATGTAGTAGCTCTTTAATGCTGAAAAGATACTAGATCTCTCTAACTCTCATATTTCTTACCAACAGCTGGCAATAGAATTTATATAGAGAGGAAACTTACTTTTTCTTCAGAAAAAGACCTTAATAGGCTTCTTGGTATAGATGATGGAACACTTGGGGTGTGGGTAAATCATACTGCAATATAATAGGATAGCTAAACTGCTCTGTAGGCAAAAATAAGATACATTTTTTTTTTCTCCTGAAAAGGAAGGGTATAGAGGATAGGCTATGAGGCCAAGGCATAATGGGAGATACATAAGCACTGGAAATTCTCCAGTGATGTTGTAGCTGAAGGATATCTTTAGAATAAAAATGTATTATATTCAATGTAAAGTTGCTTATTTTTCTGAACTAGGATTCTGTCCTCGTTTCTGTAGCCCCAAAATGTCAGTAGATTTTCCCAAACTTGTCAATGCCTTATATGAAATGTTTGTACGTGTATTTATAATTTTAATGGAAATGGAATCATTAGGTGGTCCATAAACTAAATGAAATGAGCAGAAGCAGTAGAATAAGCCAGAGAGGTATAGGAAAACATATAATCATTGGGAATTTGCAGAAATCTCAAGGACTTTAGTTTTCTATACAGTTTTGAGACTATCATATCAACTGAGAGACTGCAGTAACAAGTGGTTACAAAAATGAGGTAGGGGTAGAAGGTAAATTGAGCTAAGTTCTTTGTTGGATGGGAGGGGGTTTAAAAATCAGCTTAAGGCAGCTGTGGGATCATAGTGAAATGCAACCTGAAGGTATGTATGCCCATTGTCTGATCATCTGTAGACTAATTCTGACCACAAGTATTTGCAGTTGATAATGATTATTCATGGTAGATATGTTCTATAAAGTTGCCAAAAGCCCTGAATTTGTGAATATTGAACTAAGGGAAATACAGTGTTTGGTCCTTATGAACCTCTGGTCTCAACATTTTTATCAACTTATCAATACATTACCTTATCATATGTGTGTTTCTGTAAAAGACACCTACTTTAACGTATACTATTGATTTGATAGCATCAAACTCCTGGCCTCCAGCAGTATAATTCAGTTCTGAACAAAGCTTATCTAACACACGTATTTTCTCCCTAAAGCACATCATGACCTTCTTGTTCTTAGGAACACCAGATACCACTTCAGTACTTCACTTTGGGACCATTTTATATAGTGAAACCACTGACAAAAAGCACAAAAATGTGATAAGTGGCATTAAATAGGCCATGAAAAGGACATCTGTTACATGTATGAGAACTGAAACAAAAAAAACAAAATGTTACCTGTCACCTTGTTCAACCTCAGCTGGGATTGTACACTCTGGGGGACTGAAATATTTTTCCCTGCTCTGTGCAGGATTGAATGACCATGAAAACATAGTGAATATTGATTTTGGAATTACAAATAAATTTTAGCAAGTAGGCAATTTCACAAATACAGAATCCACAAATAATGAGGATCAACTGTATTTTCATCTTGACAAGCATCATTATATGCTTAGGACTTGGTAGCTGCAGGAGAATCTTCAACTCTGTTTCCAATATTACAAACTAAAAGAAAAAGTAAAATATGATCTTTATTTAGATACTCCTATTTAAAATATGGTTAGAATAAGACTAGCTTAGCACCTTCATTTAGAGGTTTTGTTTTCATAGCTGTAAACATGCGTCTACATCAGAAAATTGAAGGAGTAAGTTCCTAAAAATTTAAAGCTCAGAAATTTAGCCTTAGTAGTTCTTTCTAACTGAAGAAAAATTATAGAAACATTTTTAGTAGTTTAATACAGTAAAATCAATTTTACTCTACATACCCAGAAGTCCAATTGGTTTTAAAGTGTGAACACTTAAAAACATTTATGAAAACACAGTAATTACTAATAAAATATATAAAAATTAGAAATAATCAAAGATTTCCCCTTCCTACCCTCAATTTCAAAATAAGTCAAACAGTTATCAAACCCAACAAATCAGGCCAAAATGACTGGATAAGAACTATAGCATTCAAACAAAAAATTTTAAAGGCATCAATGACAAAAATGTCGTCTCAGGTATCTCACTTCAGAGAAAGAATCATATTTTAAAAATCTGGGCAACCAGAGTCTATCAACTATTTAGGTATCTCTGTCTCTTCTTCTCATTTATTATCCTTAGGCAGCTAAGTTTCATCCAATATAAAAATTATAGCAACAGGAGACACTTTTATTTTTTGAAAAGTATTTATATGTGATTTTTGTAAGGGAAAGCTCCAAGGAAGGATGCAAGATTTATGAAGTATCAGCATAAGAATAAGTAAGATGGCTCAGCACAAGACAATAGAATAGCAACTGCTTTTTAAATGTTAGAAATGAAGTGCCTAGTTTCTGCCACATGGGCCACTGTCAGAATGTAATAATCAATCAGAAGCATTTTTTCATCTCCTGAAGCTTTAAAAAGCTCAGCATTATAGGCAGCTAATTAGCAATCTGAATTTCTCTATCAGGTGTGGTAAGGAGATAACTTAATGATATTATCTGATGGAGCCATAATCCCTTGCTTGGCCTTCTTTTTCTCTAAGGAATGACTGCCTTTAATTTTCAGTTCCAGAATTAGAAAAGCACTCTGTGATCAGCTAATAGACATATATTAGCTCTACCATTAGAGAGCTTGATTTTACAAACTTGGTCTCACTAGCACTATGGTTGATTTGAATAAATGAAATGTAGAACCTAATACTATTGTCTTGTACATGATGAGAATGCAATACATATTTATTGATATTAATGGAATTGAAAAAGACAGTCTCATGGATAAAAAAAATTACCTACTTTTCTTTATTTATCACCATTTGGATTATTAGATACTAGAGTGGGTGGACAATGAAAGGCATTAGCTACATGAGCAGGTTGGATACTAATTGATTTAGAACTTCTACTGTAGATTTTGAGGCTATTTTCAGTAACATAACTGTATGATTCCATTTTATATATATCTCTATAAGTAAACTTAGGGATAAAGATTGGTATAAAATATACAAAGAAATAAGTGATTAACTCCTTTACCTTATTGCTTACCTAACTCTTTTTTTACCATATAGTAACACAAAACTAAAAACTCCTAAATATGTTGTTTCTAGCTCAGGCCATGGGATTTTGTTTATTTTTAAGGATTTTGGCTGGAATGTGTCAAAACTAACTGGACCAAGGGTCCTGGGGGTGTTAACAAATAGTAAAATACATGCTTTGACTTGGTTAGACATCGCTTAGAACATTAATCATGCTCATATCATTTGGCTAAACTGTCTACCTCCCTGTTTTATTTCAATTTCCGTTCAGTTGTCAATACAGAGAAAAAATCTTGCAGTACCATTTATTTTCTACTTGTCTGGCATTTCTTAGTATATTCTGTTTTGTCTTTGAAAGATAAATGCACAAATTTTCAATAATTTAAAAGAATAGAAAAACTTCCATGGCCCAATTCTATACTTCCCTATGTGACCTAGAAAGAGGGCAAGCCCATTAATGTGGGATTTGATTTCCTAACAAAAGCTCTGCACTTATCAAAGCAGATACCTGCAAGCAGTCCATTTTCTCATATGGTAGGCATGTCTCCTGTTTTATGATCCTCACAAACAAATGGCAAGAATAGTTTAATTTTCTTACTTATACTAAGATATGCTCTATCTTTTTTGATCATTCCTAGCCGTGTCTTAGGTTTTTTTTTTTTCGTTTTGTTTTGTTTTTTTCTGAGAACAGGGCCCCTGTTGCCCAGGCTAGAATGCAGTGGTGCAATCTTGGCTCACTGCAGCTTCGACGTCCTGGTCATCAATCCTCCTACCTCAGCCTCCCAAGTAGCTAGGATTACAGGCATGCACCACCACCCACAGCTAATTTTTATATTTTTAGTAGAGGCAGGGTTTTCACTATGTTGCCCAGGCTAGTCTTGAACTCCTGAGCTCAAGCAATCCACCTGCCTTGGCCTCCAAAAGCGCTGGGATTACAGGCATGCACCACTGTGCTCCATTGACTCATCGTTTTAATTATCTACAAACGGATGAAGATCAGGAAAATGGAGAGAACCAACATGCTGCATTATTGAGTACTTATCATGTGACAGATTAGCTGTTAGAATATTCTAAACACACAGTCATTTTTTATCCTCCTCGCAACCTAGAGAAGTAGACACTCCTCACATTTTACAAAGAATGGTTGAAAGAAAATGACATGGTTAATAAGTGGAAAAGGTTGCTAAATCTGGATTCAAAGCCAAATCAGAAGCATGACATCAAGAGGGGCTAGGAAGGAACCAGAGGGCACAACAAGTGCTAAGTTCTTTTGGAAATTTTGGTCACCCCTTTTGCAGAATCAGACGTGTAGCATGATTATTTGTGTCCTTATTCTTTTTGCTGCACTAATTTCCCTCTCACAACAGAGGTAATTTTTGTTCTTTTAAAACTAATGTTTTTAAAGCTATTGACCTAGAATTGTCATCACATTTTTCCTGCTTCAAATGTTCTGAGTAGTAACAGAAATAGATTCTCCATCATTTTACTGCTAACCAGTTTGACTGTTCAAACAAAGGGAAGGAACCAACTCATGAATAGTAACATATGGGCTGGGCATGGTGGCTCATGCCTGTAATCCCAACACCTTGGGAGGCTGAGGCAGGAGGATCATTTGAGGACAGAAGTTCGAGACCTGCCTGGACAAAATAGTGAGTCCACATCTCTACAAATTGTAATAATATAACAAAATATAAGTGAGAAATACTTTATCTGTTTTTATTTATTTATTTTTTTGAGACAGTCTTTTTCTGTCGCCCAGGCTGGAGTGCAGTGGCACTATCTTGGCTAATTGCAACCTCTGGCTCTCAGGCTCAAGTGATTCTCATGCCTCAGCCTCCCGAGTAGCTGGGACTATAGGTGTGCACCACCACACCTGGCCAATTTTTGTATTTTTGGGAGAGGTGGGGTTTTGCCATGTTGATCAGACTAGTTTCAAACTCCTGACCTCAAGTGATTCATCTGTCTTGGCCTCCCAAAGTGCTGGAATTACAGGTTTGAGCCACTGTGCCTGGCTGAGACTTTTTAAAAGTATTATATGTTGTGTTATACTTGCCTCCAGGTTGAAAACTCTCTCTGTAAAATACAGATGGGTTGGATATCTCCACTCTGGAATAGAAGTAGCCCATATGAGGAGGCAGGAGTCTAAAAACATAAAAAAAACGCTGAGAGAGTAAATAAGAACATTGAACATAATGGATAAGTAGAAAAAGCTTAAGGCCCTTGGATTCAAGAGAGGGAAAGGGATGCAAAGAAGTAGAAAATCCCCCACTGAACATTTTTCTCAAGACATGCTAGAAAAAAGAGAGGCAAGCATAGAGAGCTCTTCTAAGTGTGGAGCCATTTCCTTAGCCAAGGTTAGAGTGGTCATGAAGAGAACAGTTTTGACCTGGAAATAGGGATTACATTAGAAGAATCCAAATATATAGGACGTCCCCCTCAAGGAAAAAATTCACTTTTTATTTTTTTTAGTCCTCTAGTGAAGGATTAGGGGACAAAGTAAATGAAGTTTTAGATAATTATGAAAGTCAGATTGTTGTGTTAACTATGATAAATGGAAGTAACTTGAGAGTGGGTACTTATGAATTACACAACTTTACTCTGATATTACCATAATGTAATAAAAAGGGGTGTGTCCTACAAATGACTGTATAGATTCTCTTTTGAAAAGGGCGCTGTTGGGGAGGGGATGTAAAAGAGAAAACCATGAAACAAAGGCAAGAGAACTACCATGTTCTTTTAAATAGTGGTGTAGAAATTTTATAAAATCATAAACAAATTTTAACTGGAAGAAACCTTAGAATAATGATAATAATTATAGTTATTAGCTAGTGGCCACTTACTGTGTGCCAGGAACTATTATAAAAGTTTTTCATGCATTACCTAATTTAATCTTTGTAACAACACTTTTTAATAGAGATGATTATTAGTCTTCATTTTATAGGCGAAGAAATTGTGCCACACAAGGTAAGTAATTTTCCCAAGGTCACACTACAGAAGTAAGAAGCTGAGATGTGAACTCCAGCAGCGTGGCTCCACAGTCCATTTCTTAACCACTCAAGGAAATATGGGGTCAAGTTCACACTTAGATATGGTATCATTTAGGGGAACAGTAATTGCTGTGGCTATGAAACTTCAAAAATATAGAATAGCTTAAACACAATATGTTTGTATTTGTTCATATAACAACCCTGTGTGAACAACTGGGATCGTCGGACTCTCTGGCAAGGGTTCTGACATCTTCAACAGATGAGGCAAGGAAATTAAAAAGCGATGTGATCATGCAATGCATTACTATACTGGGAACAGCTTTAGCATGAGACATAGTTGTATATACTGCACACACGACACATCTCTGGAAGGTTTCCAGTGAGAAATCATACCTTTGAACTATTCCTGGTAGGGAGAAATGAGGAAAGAGTTACTTGCCATGGTTTGTTCTTATTTCATATTTCATAGAGGTCAAGTTTCATCCTGAAAGGCTCTAACTCTTCAGAGCTTTCAGGTTGTGTCATCTGCCCTGCAGCGACCACTCAGGAAGCCATACACTACAGGTACAGTGTGGCATTTCGTGCAAATGTAGAAGTGTAATCACAGAGATGGGCAAGAATGTACCATGAGGGCCAGGTAAGCATGGGAATTTACCTGGAGTTCCAGCTAGCTTACGATCCAGCAAAGGCAGCAGCAGAGTGATCCAGGCAGTGATTGGTATCTTTGGAAAGAAAGAGGAAATTGAAACATTCTGAGAAGGCACATGGTTTATGTTCAATTAGCAAGGTTGTCAAAATCTCCCTGAGGGTCATCTTCTGTCTAGTCAGCCAGAAAGAGAGAGCATAAAGGAGCATGCACGTATGGAAGGTTTTTATGAGATAGGCCTCCAAGGCACATATTACTTTTGCTTCCATTCCATTGACTAGGACTCAAGCCATATCGCCCCATTAAATTGCAAGGGGGCTGGGAAATGTAGTCTAGCTGTGCACCTAAAAAGAAAAGAGAAGGGCTAGGCATCGTGGCTCATGCCTGTAATCCTAGCACTTTGGAAGACCAAGGTAGGAGGATCCCTTATGCCCAGGGATTTGAGACTATTCTGGGCAACATAGTGAGACCTCATCTCTACAGAAAAAAAAAAAAAAAAAAAATTAGAAGAAAAAGGTAGAGTGAAAACGGGTTTTGAGGAGCCACTGGCATATATGTTGCATGTTTAAGAAAGGGAAGTCTAGAGAAATTGATTGCCTTGCTAAAAGTCACAAAGCTTAGAGTCCAAATTCTTCTCACAAAGATGTAGTTCTTATTTTTTGCTTCCAAAGTTAATGGGAAGTCTGTGGATATGAGCATCCGTACTCTGTTCCAGACAAGAGTTTTGTTTAGTTTTAAAAGAAAAAAATGGCATGTAGGAGATACATTTAATAGACCTAACTGTATCTTACCTTTTTTTTTTTGATAATTTAAAAGAAAATCTGGAATTATAGAAAAAGATTGTTTACATGACATTAAAAAATCTGTGAAGTTAACAACAACTTATTGCTTTGGCTAATTAAAAATAAGAACTTGTTTGACATTTAAGTGAATCATTAAACCAAAAGACTCAAATCCATGGTCCCTCTTTGAAAATATAGTGTAGGTAGATGCTCTGCTTTTTCTCAATATTTGAAGAAAATCAAGGCATTCTAATTTAGCACATGTGATTTAGACCAACCTAAAACATGTGGCCATAAACAAATGTTATAAACAAAGCCTTGGAAATATTACGTAACATAAAGTAAATATAATTTTTCCTCATTCTTCAGACTATTGGCTAAGCCTGAAAGTTGAGACGAGTGGATAATAAATACTTCATGATCTAAAGAAATGTACTAGATATAGCTCTGCAGCATGCATTTAAGAAGTTAAGAAGTGACTATATAGATGTGTGACTATTACTCAATTCTGGTCTATATGAAGACAGGTAAAGATTTAGCAACTAGATTCTTTTTTTTTTTTTTGAGACAGAGTCTTGCTCTGTCACCCAGGCTGGAGGGCAGTGGCATGATCTTAGTTCACTGCAACTTCAGCCTCCTGGGTTCAAGGGATTCTCCTGTTTCAGTCTCCCGAGTAGCTGGCATTACAGGCACCCACCACCATGCTGGGCTAATTGTTCTGGTATTTTTGGTAGAGATGGGGTTTCATCGTGTTGGCCAGGCTGGTCTTGAACTTCTGACCTCAGGTGATCCGCCCGCCTCAGCCTCCCAAAGTGCTGGGATTACAGGCATAAGCCATGACGCCCAGCCTCAAGTGGATTCTTTGAAGGGAAGTTTTAGGAGTAGGTAATATTATGACATTTCCTCTCCTCTCACTCATGGGGTAAAAAAAGATGGAGAGGGTGGTTCATTCCTTTTTCCTCAATCCAACTGAGGGGCATTCAAAGAAACATTCAGAAAATTGAAGCTGTTTGCAAAATGAGGAGATGTATGCTCATCTCTTATTTGGAAACTCTAACAGTAGGAGTCAGGCTGATGTTTTGCCTCTGCTGGTGAGGCAAGGATTGAGGAACCAGCAGTTGGTCAAGCTGTACTCTGTAATTTGGTGAGAGTCAAACATTCAACAGTCTTCTGTGGGCCAAGTGGGCCCATAGAGCGGATAGCTAGGCTTGAGTTTTCTCAGGACCCACCCCAACAAGGCTGAGAGTTGGAGAAAGAGAAACCTAGCAGAAGGTTCTGGATCAGGGGAGTGTACAGGGCCATGGGATATATCTGAAGAACCCTCTAATGTGCTCCATGGAGAGAGTTGGCGTTAGATGCCTATCCCTACTCCTTGGCAGATGCTCCTGGGTTCCAGATTGTTACCCTGTATCAGAGCAAGCCCATAAATTTGGTTTTGCCATGCCTTCCTTTGGGCAGTCCTCACCTCACTCACCTCTCTCTCTATTTGTCTCTCTGCCTTCCTTTCTTTATATGAGGGGACGAGAGTAGAGGTAAAAAAATTTAGAAATTCTTCCAGGTGATTCTGGTGTTACTTAATTGCAACAAACCAAGACCTTCACATAAGGTTTTACAATTTTCTTTTACCAGATTGATTAGCCTTTTAGTATGTGTTTGCTATTCTCCTTTTGTTTTATTAATAAATTCCATTGAGCATTTGCTGTGGGATACAATTATTTTTGCGGAAGTCAATACATGAGCTCTTCTGCCTCCCTCCCTATTGGTGATTTAGGGAGTTCTTTTGGCTTCTACTGTGTTATATATAATCTCTCTACTGTAGGGGAAAGTGTTTCAGATCTAGAAGGGCACTCCACATCCTCTGCCTTGTAGGCATGCTTTTCCAGCTCACCAGACCACTTCCTTCAGAAAGGGGGGCATCAGTGAAATTTTTCAGGCATTTGTGATTTCTGGTTCTTCTTCTCAGTGCTGCTTAAGGGAATAGGAAAAGCAGATCTATCAATCCCAAGGTCCTTTACTGTCTTAAATATAATAGGGGATCATCATTAAGATAGGTAATTTTAGATTTACGATAGCACCTGTTAACAATTGATCCGTGTTCAGTTTGATTGAGACAAGGCAAACTAAATCCAATAAAATTTTGTTTTCTTATACTTTTGAGATTAGTAGATGTGAATAGCACAATTTAGACTCTGAAATGATTTAACTTGATGAATTAAAATTGCCACTTAACATAATAACATAATGAACATTGTTCACAAAATTAAAATGTTCTTTTCAGGAAATGCAATTTGTACATTTGCAAATTAGAAAAAAAAGAGGGCTCATGTTGAGCTCTGATGAATATAACGGTAAAAAATTCGCTAAACACTTTTCTTCTTTTTTTTTGACTTCTCCTACCTTTTAAAAAATTTTTTTATTTTTATTTTATTTTATTATTATTATACTTTAAATTTTAGGGTACACGTACACAATGTGCAGGTTAGTTACATATGTATACATGTGCCATGCTGGTGCGCTGCACCCATTAACTCGTCATTTAGCATTAGGTATATCTCCTAATGCTATTCCTCCCCCCTCCCCCCACTCCACAACAGTCCCCAGAGTGTGATGTTCCCCTTCCTGTGTCCATGTGTTCTCATTGTTCAATTCCCACCTATAAGTGAGAACATATGGTGTTTGGTCTTTTGTCCTTGCGATAGTTTACTGAGAATGATGATTTCCAATTTCATCCATGTCCCTGCAAAGGACATGAACTCATCATTTTTTATGGCTGCATAGTATTCCATGGTGTATATATGCCACATTTTCTTAATCCAGTCTATCATTGTTGGACATTTGGGTTGGTTCCAAGTCTTTGCTATTGTGAATAGTGCCGCAATAAACATACGTGTGCATGTGTCTAACACCTTTCTTCTTTTTGAAATGTTCTCTTTGGTAAAGAAAATTGGACATTTAAGATTTTTTCCCTCTTTAGTTTTTTAAATAATGTATCAGGAAAGAATATGAAAACCATGTTCTATGGAAATTCACTGTACAACTTGAAAATAAAAGGGTGATTTACACACTTTTTTAAAAGAAGAAAACTAAGAAGATGTTTGAGAAGAGAGAACAAGTTTCATGTGATTTTTAAACTCTCTGTACTTCCATGGACACATGCATGGAACCACCACATTTTACTCCTGGAGGTGCTATTTCTGTCCACGTAAATGTCATCTCATGGAGTTGTATGATACTGTGTAGTACACAGTCCATCTCACGTGGCTAAATGTGGAGACCCTGCCTTAGAATCTCTTTTATATTACCTTTAGAATAAATAAGGATAAATTCTCCTGCCTAGTAAATTTTAGCTATTCTCATAGAAGCATAAAAAAGTTATTAATAGGTAGGAAATCTCAAAGGGACCACACTTCAGAGAGTTGTAAGGAGGGAGAATTGTAAGGAGGGCTTGTTGGCTTATAAAAATAACCAAGGAAAGCAAGGGAGATGTGTGGGCCTGGAAGGAGAAGAAACAATACCGTCTGTGCCAAAACAATGACAGCTGGCATTCCATGGGTTTTTGCTATGGATGAGAGTACTCAAAATTGGGCAACTTCAGTATTTTCAATTATGGGTGGCTACTATAATGGTCCGCCTCTGGTCATTTTGACCACATCCTCAAAAGATATATATTGTTCCCTATTACTTTTAGATATACTCTTCTTGTTCCCTATCCCTTGCCCACAGTCCTAAATTTTTGATTTGATTTTTCAAATAAAAAATTAAATTACCTGTAGCTGGCTAGATGTGTTTTTCCTATTCAGCTTTCCTGTTGGTATGAGAATGAGGGAAGAAGTTTAAATGGACTGGCTGTGATATTTATGAAATGGTGATGGTGTAAATTCAAAATGTTAAATATCACTCTTAAATAAACAACTTAAGGTTTAATATAATGCAATGTTTTCCATTTGCAAAATGTCCAAGACAAGCAGACTTTGGTTCATGAAAATTTTATTTGTCTTGTTTTCCTTCTGTGGCTCAGACTAAGTTTCTCTGCTTATGCTTTAGCTTTTCAAAATCTTTGCTACTGGAATCTCTTAGGAAAGTCAATTCTAATGGATTTTCTTCCTTCATAAAATGTTCTTCAAGCCTCCCTGAGAAAGACAGGTTGGGAATGCGGTATAGGCTCACCTTTCATGTATAGTGGGCTCTTATTATTGCCAGTCTTAGCTCCATCTCATTACATAACAATTCTATTATACAAAAAACTGTTTATGTTGCTTGACAATACATGTAATATGGAACTTTTGGTTACCATAGAGTTAAACAATATAAGGTTGAAGTAGGTGTTTTGAGTTGCCTTGCCAGACGAGATGATTCATTTTTATAGAACAAGTCACATTTATTCTCTGGTTTCATTTCTTTGCTACCAGTAGAATGTATTTGAGAGATAGCTGGTCTAGAATTCCTGGCATTATTCTCAGTACTGTTTCTTTTACAGATGACCTTAGCTGTCTTTGGCTTCACTGCTTTCACGATTTTGAATTTCATCTGATAAACTTCATTCTAGCCCAGTGGTTCCTCCACTTAGAACTTAAGCACTCTATGATACCTGGCTGTTTTGGAATCTTAGCTGAACTATCTGTCCTTGTTTGTCTCATGGTTCTACATTGCTTTGTGTCATTTCTTATTTTTCTATTTCTAGTCCTAGCTCTAGTCCATGCTTGGATTTCTCTATAGGAGTACAAGCTTTTACCTATTAAGAAACAATAGGTAAAATCTTGAGAGAGAGAGAGAGAGAGAGAGAGAGAGAGCTCTCAATGGAGATCAGGGAACTAGCCCCAATCCCATCTTTGTTCCCTAAAAGAGAAGGAACTGTGGCCTCTTTGACTGGAAATTTCCCACTTCTTGATACAAGTGTTAAAATGATGCAGACAGCACCCTATCCCCACTTCCCCAGCTTTTTTGGGGGTTAGTTCTCTAGATAGAAAAGGATATAAAATATTCTCTAAGAGTTGACTAGCAAATTATTACAAATAATCATTTAGAAAACAAACCAGACAGAAACAGCTAGGCAACAGTGACTCAGGGAGGCTGAAAAATGTGGGAAGAACCACATTTTGGCTTCAAAGTAAACTAAATAATGGTCACTATAGACGAACAGGAATATGTTCTCTTTGTTTGATGTTTTTGCTAAAAGAAACTAAAATAATTTACAGGTACACATCATACATTGATAATGAGTTCACTACACACCCCTATTTTTTTGAATGCTTAAACTGAGGGAGAGGAATGATGATTGACTTATTCAAAGCACTTACCATGTCAGTGGTTGAATTTTGTTGAGATCCTTCATACACTGTAGACCACACTGCTGCTAATGACCTATGTATAATTCACCTCAGCTTCATCCAAATTAGGAGCTGACATTTTTTGGTAACACAAATCATAGCTTCTTGTCAGTAAAAAATCTCTAGTGTGGGAAACACAGACTGCTAGGAGGCCTGGTATGCTGCTAACTTTGTTTTTGTACAGATTTGGGAGAATCTAATAGTTTGCCACCTTTATGTTGGCACATGCATACATATGTTTATTGATGAAATTGATTTTTTTTCAACCCAGGTATTTCCTGAGCAAGCAGGAAAGGAGATCATTCTGAGGATTTTCTCCAAAGTGGTTCAACATGAATTAACAATAATAATTCACTAAACATGTTTTGGGTTCAATAAATTTTTCAGTAATGATTTAAAATGATAACTGTGAGCCTAAAAGTTGGAATAAGTCTGTTTTATTTCACTTTTTTCAACGTATTTTTGGAATTAAAAAAAACTTTTTCCTCTAACAGCTGAGTAATTCTTTTTCTCTTTTAGCCTTTCCCTGTTGTGAGAGTGAATAGCTATGATCAAAGGACCAATTTGCTTTCTTAGTGTGCAGAACTGTCATTGACTTCAGGGCAATTTGAGGTCAAGCTGAGCCATGCACATATAAGGGTATAAGGGAGCATGATCTGCAGCAGGACCAAGTGATCTTGGAAGATGTATTTGAACTTTGATTCCAAATGTTAACCAAGGTGTTCTCTTTATCCTTCTCTAACATAAGAAATAAATTTGTCAACTAGATGTGTAAAAATTATGCTGTGCCCCAAATAATACAGAATTCTAGATAGAAATGGTGTAGACATACTTTGTTGCATCACGATATTTTCAATTACATATACTCTTTTTAAACAGATTGGCTGGTTTATTATTAACATATTTTTTCATGGAATAACTTTTTACTTTATAGCCTTAGAAATATCTATGGTTTAATTCTATTTTAGTCTGGGAATCTTTATGGACACTACCAAATTATCGTTGTTTTAACTTTTTTCAAAATCATTTCAGCAAAATGGAACTCAAATGTTACAGGTTTATTTATGATTAGAGTTTTCAATAATAAAAAATTGGCTTCGTCCAGCCAGAATTCTTAATAAATGGGAGTTTAAAAATGTAACCATCTGGCCGGGCACGGTGGCTCATGCCTATAATACCAGCACTTTGGGAGGCTGAGGTGGGCGGATCACCTGAGGCCAGGAGTTTGAGACCAGCCTGACCAACATGGAGAAACCCTGTCTCTACTAAAAATACAAAATTAGCCACGTGTGGTGGCACATGTCTGTAATCCCAGCTACTCGGGAGGCTGAGGCAGGAGAATCACCTGAACCCGGGAGTCAGAGGTTGCAGTGAGCCGAGATCACGCCATTGCACTGCAGCCTGGGCAACAAGAGCCAAGCTCCATCTCTAAATAAATACATAAATATAAAAAAAGGAACCATCTTTTCTGAAAAAGAATCAATATAACAAAGCTGCCATTAGAAACTTAAATTTTAAATTAGATTAAAAAATTTTTTTATTATACTTTAAGTTCTGGGATACATGTGCAGAACGTGCAGGTTTGTTACATAGGTATGTATACACGTGACATGGTGATTTGCTATACCCATCAACCCATCATCTACATTAGGTATTTCTCCTAATACTATCCCTCCCATAGCCCCCCAACCCCCGACAGGCCCCAGTATGTGATGTTCCCCTCCCTGTGTCCATGTGTTCTCACTGTTCAACTCCCACTTATGAGTGAGAACATGCGATGTTTGATTTTCTGTTCTTGTGTTAGTTTGCTGAGAATGATGGTTTCCAGCTTCATCCACATCCCTGCAAAGGACATAAACTCATCCTTTTTTATGGCTGCATAGTATTCCATGGTGTATATGTGCCACATTTTCTTTATCCAGTCTATCATTGATGGGCATTTGGGTTGGTTCCAACTCTTTGCTATTGTGAACAGTGCTGCAATAAACATATGTGTGCATGTGTCTTTATAGTAGAATGATTTATAATCCTTTGGGTATATACCCAGTAATGGGATTGCTGGTTCAAATGGTCTTTCTGGTTCTAGATCCTTGAGGAATCACCACACTGTCTTCCACAATGGTTGAACTAATTTACACTCCCACCAACATTTTAAAAGCATTCCTATTTCCCCACATCCTCTCCAGCATCTATTGTTTCCTGACTTTTCAATGATCACCATTCTAAATGGCATGAGATAGTATCTTATTGTGGTTTTGATTTGCATTTCTCTAATGATCAGTGATGATGAGCATTTTTTCATATGTTTGTTGGCCGCATATATGTCTTCTTTTGAGAAGTGTCTGTTCATACCCTTCATCCACTTTTTGATGTGGTTGTCATTTTTTCTTGTAAATTTGTTTAAGTTCTTTGTAGATTCTGGATCTTAGCCCTTTGTCAGATGGATAGATTGCAAAAATTTTCTCCCATTCTGTAGGTTGCCTGTTTACTCTGATGATAGTTTCTTTTGTTGTACTGAAGTTCTTTAGTTTAATTAGGTCCTATTTGTCAATTTTGGCTTTTGTTGCCATTGCTTTTGGTGTGTTAGTCATGAAGCCTTTGTCCATGCCTATATTCTGAATGGTATTGCCTAGGTTTCCTTCTAGGGTTTTTATGGTTTTAGTTCTTATGTTTAGGTCTTTAATCCATCTTGAGTTAATTTTTGTATTAGGTGTAAGGTAGGGGTCCAGTTTCAGTTTTCAGCATATGGCTAGCCAGTTTTCCCAGAACCATTTATTAAATAGGGAATCCTTTCCCCATTCTTTGTTTCTGTAAGGTTTGTCGAAGATCAGATGGTTGTAGATGTGTAGTGTTATTTCTGAGGCCTCTGTTCTGTTTCATTGGTCTATATATCTGTTTTGGTACCAATACCATGCTGTTTTGGTTACTGTAGCCTTGTAGCATAGTTTGAAGTCAGGTAGTGCAATGTCTCCAGCTTCGTTCTTTTTGCTTAGGATTGTATTGGCAATGTGGGCTTTTTCTGGGTTCCATATGAAATTTAAAGTAGTTTTTTCTAAATCTATGAAGAAAGTCAATGGTAGCTTGATGGGGATAGCATTGAATCTATAAATTAGTTTGGGCATTATGACCATTTTCACAATATTGATTCTTCCTATCCATGAGCATGGAATGTTTTTCCATTTGTTTGTGTCCTCTCTTATTTCCTTGAGCAGTGGTTTGTAGTTCTCCTCGAAGAGGTCCTTCACATCCATTGTAAGTTTTATTCCTAGGTTTTTATTCTCTTTGTAGCAATTGTGAATGGGAGTTCACTCATGATTTGGCTCTCTGTCTGTTATTGGTGTATAGGAATCCTTGTGATTTTTGCACATTGATTTTGTATCCTGAGACTTTGTTGAAGTTGCTTATCAGCCTAAGGAGATTTTGGGCTGAGATGATGGGGTTTTCTAAATATACAATCATGTAATCTGCAAACAGAGACAATTTGACTTCCTCTCTTCCTATTTGAATACGCTTTATTGCTTTCTCTTGCCTGATTGCCCTGGTCAGAACTTCCAATACTTTGTTGAATAGGAGTGGTGAGAGAGGGCATCCTTGTCTTGGGCTGGTTTTCAAAGGAAATGCTTCCAACTTTTGCCCATTCAGTGTGATATTGGCTGTGGGTTTGTCATAAATAGCTCTTATTATTTTGAGATACGTTCCATCAATACCTAGTTTATTGAGAGTTTGTTTTAAAGAGATGTGGTCTTGCTCTATCTCCCAGGCCGGAGTGCAGCGATGTGGTCATGGTTCACTGCAGCCTCGATCTCCCAGGCTGAAGTGATCCTCCCACCTCGGCCTTCCGAGTAGCTGGAATTATAGCTGCACATCACCACACCTGTCTAATAATTCATTTTTTTTTGTAGAGACAGGTTCTCACTGTGTTTCACAGGCTGGTCTCAAACTTCTGTATTTAAGCAATCTTCTTGTCTCAGTCTTCCAAAATACTGAGATTTCAGACATAAGCCACTGCTCCTTGCCAACTTAGAATGCTTGTTTTGATCAGTACATGTCCAGTACTTGTCTTCCACATCTCGTATATGTATAATCCTCTCTAAAAGTCGTTGATATTGACAGAGATAACCCTGATAGCCTGGAATATACAAAACCAAAAGAAAGATTTTATAATATTCACTTATGTTCTTTTGACTACTGCAATATAATATTAAATATTTTTTAAAATTGTAAATAAAAATAGTTGAAATGAAAAAAATGCTTATGTTAAGACTAAGATGATTGGTGAATTCAAGCAGACATAATTTTTCATGACCTATATAGTAGGAAAGACTGGGATTCACTGTTTGCCAGAATTATTTTATTTTTTTAACTCACTAACTTATGTGGTTTGTGACAATCAATAAAACAGGTTTGTCTATTTCTTTTTCTTTTTTTTGAGATGGAGTCTCACTCTGTTGCCCAGGCTGGAGTGCAGTGACGCAGCTCACTGCAACCTCTGCCTCCTCAGTTGAAGTGATTCGCCTACCTTAGCCTCCGAAGTAGTTGGTATTACAGGTGCCTGCCACCATGCCCGGCTAATTTTTGTATTTTTAGTAGAGACGAGGTTTCACTGTGTTGGCCAGGCTGGTCTGAAACTCCTGACTGCAAGTGATCCTTCTGCCTCAGCCTCCCAAGTGCTGGGATTATAGGCGTGAGCCACTACACCCGGCCAGGTTTGTCTGTTTCTCACAGGGTCATACAAGAGGTCTAAAATGATCCTAGCTAACAGCAAGAAAAAAAATTGTCATGTGGTGTGTTACTAATAGAATGTAAATTAACATTCAAAATCTATTTTCCTCATTAGAGATTTACCAAGAAAGCCAAAGGGAATGCTCTCATTTCAATATCTAAAGATATGTTAAATATCACAGCATTCCCCTTGAAAACCTTCATAAGACAAGGATGCCCTGTCTCACCACTCCTATTCAATGTAGCATTGGAGGTCCTGGCCAGACCAATCAGGCAAGAGAAAGAAATAAAAGGCATCCAAATAGGAATAGAGGAATTCAAATGATCCCTGTTTGCAGATGACCTGTTCTTATATCTGGAAAACCCCATAGTCTTGGCCCAAAAGCTCCTGAAACTGATAAGAAACTTCAGCAAAGTCTCAGGATACAAAATTAACATACAAAAATCACCATCATTCCTATACACTAACAATAGTCATGCCAAGGGCCAATTCAGGAACACAATCTTTTTCATAATTGCTACAAAAGGAATTAAATATCTAGGAATACAGCTAACCAGAGAGGTGAAAGATACCTACAAGGAGAACTACAAAACACTGCTGGAAGAAATCAGAGATGATTCATACAAATGGAAAAATATTCCATGCTCATGGATAGGAAGAATCAACATCATTAAAATGGCCATACTGCCCAGGGCAATTTATAGATTGAATGCTGTGCCTATTAAATTACCAATGACATTCTTCACATAACTAGAAAAAACTATTTAAAAATGTATATGAACCACAAATGGGACCCAATAGCTAAGGCAATCCTAAGCAAAAAGAAAAAGTTGGAGGCATAGTGCTAGCTGACTTCAAACTATGCTACAGGGCTACAGTAACCAAACAGCATGGTACTGACACAAAAACAGACACATAGACCAATAAAACATAGTAGAAAGCCCAGAAAAAAGGACTTAACACCTACAAGTATCTGATCTTTGACAATGCTGACAAAAACAAGTGATAGGGAAAGGTCTACCTATTCAATAAATGGTGCTGTTATAACTGGCTAGCCATATACAGAAGATTGAAACTGGATCCCTTCCTTACATCACATCCAAAAATCAACTCAAAATGGATTAAAGACAAAACTATAAAAACCCTGGAAGACCACCTAAGCAATAACATTCTGGACATAGGAACTGGCAAAGATTTCATATTGAAGTCACCAAAAGCAATTGCAACAAAAGCAAAAATTGACAATTGGGATCTAATTAAACTGAAGAGCTTCTGCCAGGCACGGTGGCTCATACTGTTATCCCAGCACTTTGGGAGGCTGAGGACGGCGGATCAGGAGGTCAAAAGATCGAGACCATCCTAGCCAACATGGTGAAACCCTGTCTCTATTAAAAATATAAAAATTAGCTGGGCGTGGTGGCATGTGCCTGTAGTCCTAGGTACTCGGGAGGCTGAGGCAGGAGAATTGCTTGAACCCAGGAGGCAAAGGTTTCAGTGAGCCAAGATTGCCCCACTGCACTCCAGCCTGGGTGACAGAACGAGACTGCATCTCAAAGAAAAAAAAAAAAGCTTCTGTACAGCAAAAGGAACTCTCAACAGAGTAAGCAGTCAACCTCCTGAATGGGAGAAAAGCCAAGGGGAATGCTCTCATTTGAGAGCATTTGACAAAGGTCCAGTATCTAGCATCTACAAGGAACTTAAATAAATGGACAAGAAATAAACAACCCCATTAAAAAGTGGGCAAAGGACATGAGCAAACACTTTTCAAAAGAAGACATGCAGCCAAAAAAAAAACATATGAAGAAAAGCTGAATGTCACTTATCATTAGAGAAATGAAATCCAAACCACGATGATATACCATTTCACATCAGACAGAATGGCTGTTGTTAAAACGTCAAAAAATAACAGATGCTGGTGAGGTTACAGAGAAAAGAGAATACTTATACACTGCTCATGGGAATGTAAATTAGTTCAGCCATTGTGGAAAGCAGTATGGTGATTTCTCAAAGAACTAAAAACAGAACTACCATTTGACTGAGCAATCTCATTGCTGGGCATATACTCAAAGGAATATAAATCATTCTACCATCAAGACACATATGTATGTTCATTGCAGCACTATTCACAATAGGAAAGACATGGAATCAACATAATGTTCATCAACGGTAGACTGGATAAAGAAAATGTGGTACATATACACTATGAAATACTATGCAACCATAAAAAAGAAAAGATCATGTCCTTTGCAGGAACATGAGTTGAGCTGGAGGCCATTATCCTTAGCAAACTAATGCAGGAACAGGAAACCAAATACCAGACATTGTTACTTTTAAGTGGGAGCTAAATGATGAGAACGCGTGGGCACACAGAGGGGAACAACACACACTGAGGCCTACCTGAGGGTGGAGGGTGGGAGGAAGGAGAGGATCAGGAAACATAACTAATGAGTATTTGGCTTAACACCTGGGTGGCAAAATAATCAGTACAACAAACCCTCATGGCATGAGTTTACTTATATACCAAACCTGCACATGTACCCTTGAACTTAAAAAAAAATCACAAGTGTATAATTAAGAGTCCAAATCAAATGCTAGCACAATGAGTATCATAAAATTATACATATTTTAAATTATACCAGAATATTACTATTGCTTGAAATAAGAAGGCTAGAGTTTAAAAATATTTGCTGATGTTGCAAAAATTATTGTTCAACTCACATTATAACTACAACATTTAATTACAAATAGAAGTTAAATGGCTTATATAGTTTCAAAGATGAATGATACATATACTCCATCAATATTTCTGTTTCATTCATCTATCCCATACTGAGAGTTTACCCAGTACACATTCTAATATTGATAACAAATTGTATTAGTCTATTTTCACACTGCTAATAAAGACATACCTGAGGCTGGGTAATTTGTAAAGGAAAGAGGCTTAATTGATTCACAGTTCTGAAGGGCTGGGGAGGCCTCAGGAAACTTACAATCATGGCAGATGGGGAGGCAAACATGTCCTTCTTCATATGGCAGCAGCAAGGAGAAGTGCTGAGCAAAAGGGAGAAAAGCCCCTTATAAAACCATCAGATCTCATGAGAACTCACTATCACGAGAACAGCATGAGGGTAACTGCCCACATGATGAAATTACCTCCCACTAGGTCCCTTCCACAACATGTGGGGATTATGGAAACTGCAATTCAAGGTGAGATTTGAGTGGGGACACAGAGCTAAACCATATCACATATATTCCAGTATCAGGAGTATTATGAATGCTGTGGTAAACAGTAAACATTCTGCTACAAACTCTAAGTTATACTTATGCTGTGCCAGACACTGGGCTTAGAATGAGGGATACCACACTGATAATGTCCAATCCATTTACCATTAAGAAGAAGTACACAAAAACAGAAAATTACAAGGCAAAGAACTGCAAATTCACTTTTGAGAATGTAGTAACATGGATCTGATGCAAGAGATTAGATGCAGATGTTCATGACATAAATGACTAATCCAAATATCTGTATGATTTTTTCCTTTACTTAGATAAAAAAGTTGTTCTACCTCAGGAAATTGAGAAGCTCTCAGAACAACCTCATGACTTAAGTATTATGTTTGTGGTATTACCTCAGTCAAGCAAGTAATTCTGGTAGTTGAATAGATATGTAGAAACTTCTGCATAAATTGGCTGCCTTCATAATTTTATTAAACACTCCATGAGGAAACAGAGCTGAGGGTGCTATAAGCAGAGAGGATAGTATCAATTACATACCAAAATGACTAATAAGACAGTATTTTTGCGAGATAATAATTGATGACTGTCTTTTCCCAGCTGTCTTACATTGCTCAAATTTAACTTTATTATTAACATTGATTTTAATTTATGCAAGACAATACTCAATGTAGGATGCATTAATATCAAAAGGAAAATGCTAGCAATTATTTTTGTAGGTCTTCTTTATACTCATAATTGAAGATTTGTGAGTCATGATTGAAATAAGATATAGAATTGTTTACTGGTAGGTCAAGTTATCATTGCCTTTTATATTTCACCACAAAAAGTGCATTGATCATTTCATAAAATTTTTAAAAGTTGAAAGCTTTGAATAATGTTCATTTCGCTGACATGAACAAAAATGGTAACAACAAAGAAAATTTAATAATAGCTTCAAATTAAACAGACAAACTGATACATATTTATGATACATATTTATCTTCTACATAAAAAAGAATACATATTCTTCGGGCACAAGTCAATCTTAGTTTTTCATGTTGACAAAGGATTTTCAAGTGACCATGGATCTAAGATCAATACCTAAATAAATTGTTGCTGTGTTGAGATGCTTATCACTTTGCTATTTTTTATGAAGTGTAGTTATCATCAAAGCAAAAAAAGATTTCACATGTGCTGACTATAATAAAAGCACACCCAAAGCCAATATGAAACTAAATATATAATGTAGTGAAAAGAACAATGGACTCATTTAAACTTTGTACTAAATAATTTGTGCAATAATAAAACTTTGTCTTAGTTTTGCCACCTGCAAAATAAGTTTATAACATTCAAAGACCTTTGATAAATATGCTTTCATAAATATGATATAAAGCCAGAATTATAATTGTAATAGCATTGGGTGTACCAAATTTTCCTTTATGTGATCTTAACCCATAAATCCACAAACTGGTGGATATTAAACTTCTTGTCCAATATTTTCTACATATACTTTTATAGCAATTTGGCAACACAGATTTTCTTATTCAACTTCACTAGGAGACACAAACATTTCTTAAAAGTGACTGGATGTGCATATAGCATTTATACTGAATCTTGGTATTCAGTAAATAAAAATTATGCCTGACATTCCATAATTTTGTTTGAATGTTTGGGGGACATTGCACTGAATAAAATCATGATCAGTCAGTAACAATATTAAAGTATCAAGTAGAAGGGAGAATTGTGTCATTTATGATTAGCCCTTGTGCTTTTCATCTTAATTGTTTTTTCATCAGAGAGTCATTGATGGGATGGGTGTTTCCAAGACCTAATCTATGTCAAGAGTTCTCAAAGATTTTGAGACATACTAATTTTTAATTCCATGAAGACTTAAAATTTATTTTCAGGGGAATAAGAAGGGAGATGTTAGATAGTTAGGTGAGTGGGAAAGCAGGTAATGAAATTCTTGGGTAGAATAGTGTAGAAGGTTTCAGTGTAGGCTCTCTCTGTATCTACTGGTAAGTGACACCAGGGTGAATGCTAAAATGGTAGCTGGCTGCTGGTGAACCAGATAAGTCAAGGTCTACTGGCCGAGCCTGATTTACCTGCTGGAAACTCCTTTTCTATATAGTTATGTCATATTTTTGGCAATAACACATGATTTCTGATATGATTTCCTATGTATGAGAACTTAGTTAAGCACATCTTATTAAATACATATTTTAAAAGACATGAATCTGGAGGGCTCACTTTCTCTTTCCTTTCTTTTCTTATTTCCTGTATCATTTACTGGGAATCTATTATGTCCAAGAACCATTGAGTTCTAAATCATTCAGAAAGACCTAAAAAATCTAAAAGACGTGGTCCATGTGTTGAGGGGGAAATGGGCATGCAAATATGTATGGCACAAAGCAGGCCATCATTATTTCTATTAAATTAGGATAAATCACCCAGAGGATTCAGGGTTTAGAGGGATCTTTACCAGCTGTGGTGATCAGGAATCAGTTATCTCTCTAATGCCCTCATTCTTTTGATAAACGTATCTATGTATGTTTATAAAATATATATATGTTCATATACAATAATACATGCTATTTAATATATTTTAATATATTTTCATTAAATATGCATATGTAAATATGCACATAAGCACATTTTCATGTCTATTTTGAAATCTATTTAGATATTTTAAAAATCAGGAATCGATACTATACCTCCAGTTCCAATTCAAACATACAGTTCATTCTAGATTTCCCACTTTTCATATTGTAACTTCTTTCCCTAACACTGAGAAGCCTGGCTCTCATGATCATTAATGTTATTAGATCAGTACCCCCATATATAACCAATCTCCCATTGTAGCTCCTGGTGCCTCCCACTCATGTTCTGACACCTTGTGTCCAGCCATCCTACCATGTGATGCTGTTCTCATCCTGGTCTTCTGCCATGTTGGTTGCTCAATTAATATTTGATTGATTAATGTATCTCAATTATACAATACAAGATTCTCACAGAGCAGTGTATTTTCAAAAGAATACTAGTCTTCTGTAATGCCAACAATTTTAAGCTTTATTTCTGGGTTAAAATTACATTGTTAGTGTCAAACCCAAGTCCAGTTGTTTCACTGAGCCAATAGAAATGAAGTATGCAAATATATTTTGGATGAGGTTTGAAAAGGCCCAGAATCAATGAAGAGAAAGGAAAGGATTTTCTGTTGACATTTTAAACTGACTCATTTAATTTAATTCTCCCTGAGCTTGTGAAAGGAAGACAAATGAGGTGTTTGAAGATAGAATATGAAAGAAAGCAAAGGGCACTGAGAAAGCTAAATAAATAAATAAATAAATAAAAACATTTGGCTTATTTGCGATATTTCTACTTACATATAAGTAGAAAAAAGAGACAGTTTGCACTTAATCTTGTAGGGTTTAAATATAGGCAAAATCTCTACGCCACAGAAAAATATAATAGGAAATTAAGATGCATAAAAAAGCTTTATGCTACATATTAATGGGTTTCAAGACATGCTACCCCAAAATATAGCACCTTGGCATTTGAGTAAAAGCAGGAAGCCCACTCTGACTTTTAACTGACCCTTCTCTGCTGAAGCAGGCCACAAAAATTCTCTGACCTTCTCTAAAGCAGATCATAAGATCATCATGTGAGAGTTGCCCAATCTAGAAGAAAGGGATGTCCTTATCTCTGAAGACGTAGGACACAGAGAAGAATCTGAACAAACAGACCTTGTTAAGATCACCCTAGTTTATTATTGTTAGATCAGACCCCATTTGTCCAATTATCTGTCCACACAACTGTCCACATTTCATTAAACCTAAGCATAAAAATATAGATTTTCCTATTTCATTGTCTTAATTTCTTTTTTTTTTTTTCCCTCCAAGATGGAGTCTCACTCTGTTGCCCAGGCTGGAGTGCAGTGGCATGATCTCAGCTCATTGCAACATCTGCCTCCCAGGTTCAAGTGATTCTCCTGCCTCAGCCTCCTGAGTAGCTGGGACTACAGGTGCGTGCCACCACACCTGGCTAATTTTTTATTTTTAGTGGAGATGGGGTTTCACCATGTTGGCCAGGCTGGTCTTGAACTCCTGACCTCAGGTGATCCGCCCACCTTGGCCTCCCAAAGTGCTGTGATTACAGACGTAAGCCACTGTGCCTGGCCTGAGTCTTAATTTCTAATGATTCCTATGTCATGTAAAACTTACATTAAAAACATTTGTATGCTTTTTTCTTGTTAATTTGTGTTTTGTTATAGGTGCCTCAGACACAAACTTACAATATTATTTAACTAAATTATGACTTGGGAGATAAGGCCTAGTATAGGTTGCAATCACATAACCAATAACAATTAATTAGCATCTGTAAACCAAAGCAACATCAATCAGTGGGTTATTAATGGAATATCAATGACATGGTGATAGTAGATTCATGCCAAATCATTGTGGGCACAGGAGTCTAGAATTGTAGGTCTTTCTTTCTTATTCCCCTTTTTGCCTTGTTTGTTCCTTGCCCCAAACAGACTCAGTTTATTTTGAGTGAAATTATTAGTAGCACCCTCTTTAATGCTGAAAAATGTTCCAGCTTGGATTAGAAACTATATACAGTCTTTAGATAGATTTTGGAGAGAGAAAGCTGAGGGATCTCAGCTCTTCTTATTTGTCACTTTGACCTACAAAGAATAAGGCAATTTTAAGCAAGCCATCCAAAGGCACATAGGTCTAGTCCCACCTTGCACTACATATGAATGTAAATTGCACCAATCAGCTGCATTTTATACCAGCTGTAACTCATGGGTGGTCTTTAAAGAGAACCCCACTTAGAGTACATTTTGATGATGCAAGGGAAATTTTGCAGACTGCCAAAATGATGGTGGGAGGTCTGAAGTTGAGAGGTGTTCAATCACTATATTATAGACAGCAGATGAAAAGCTTTTCTAGCTACAGTTGTTGCCTAAAACTTAAGCCACTAGTTAGTTACCAACATACTCTGTTCATAGCATTCTACTATTTCCCTATAAAATTTACAAAACTTCTCAACACTATGTTATTCAAGGTGGTGTCATGGATTAAGAAATGTAATTTAGTACTCTTTGTCCACAGTATTCAATGTTGACAAAATATGCTGTCAATGCTGCCTTTTGCGTAATGAAAGGAAAACAAGATTTAATAGGATTTCATACTTTGGTTGTGCGACTCAATACTAATACAGTGTGCAGGTGCAAAATTATTAGTAATGTAATACTTTAACATTGAGTATTAAGATAGAAATGGGATTTTTGTCTGTCAAGATTAACTGAAAAATTCAAGACTTGACTGTGAAATTTAACATAAAGTTTTAAAGACCACCTTTTTTGATCAAATCTATTGAGAGAAAATTCTATGTATACAAATAAGGAATATTTAATGTAACAACACTTTATCATAAAGATACTTCTAAATCTTTAATCCATCTTAGATGAAGGGAGAAAAACTATTTGATGAGATGGTGGCAAGATATGGAGAATGAAAAAGTGAGTTCAAAAGAGCAGAAAAAATAAAGCAAGGAAGACAGAAATTACAGGGGATGAGAGTCTCCAGTGGTAAGATCAGAAAGAAGGCACCAGGCAGAGCATGGTGGCTCATGTCTATAATCCCAGCACTTTGGGAGGATGAGGTGGAAGAATCACTTGAGGCCAGGAATTTCAGGTTGCAGTGAGCTATGATTATGCCACTGCACTCCAGCCTGGGTTGAAGAGTGAGACGCTGTTCAAACAAACAAACAAACAAACAAAAAAAAAAAGGAGAAGGAAAAGGAGGAGAAGGAGAAGTAGAAGGAGAAGAAAACCAGCAGTAAGAAATCTGAAGACCACTGCTTCAATAAGGTGGTATTATAACAATCTGCATTTTCTCTTATTATTATTATTTTATTTAAATAGGTTTTTGGAGAACAGGTGGTGTTTGGTTACATGAATAAGTTCTTTAGTGGTGATTTCTGAGATTTTGGTGCACCATCACCCAGGCCGTATACACTGTACCTAGTGGGTAGTCTTTTATCGCTCACCCCCTTCCCACCTTTTCCTTGAGTTCCCAGTCCATTGTGTCATTCTTATGCCTTTGCATCTTCATAGCTTAATTCCCATTTATGAGTGAGACCATATGATGTTTGGTTTTCCATTCCTGAGTTACTTCTCTTAGAATAATGGTCTGCAATTCATCCAGGTCGCTGCAAATGCCATTATTTTGTTCCTTTTTATGGCTAAGTAGTATTTCATTATGTACATACCACATTTCCTTTATCTACTCATCATAGATGGGCATTTAAGCTGGTTTATATTTTTCAATTTGCAAATTGTGCTGCTATAAATATGCATGTGCAAGTATCTTTTTCATATAATGACTTCTTTTCCTCTGGGTAGATACCCAGGAATGGGAGTACTGGATCAAATGGTCTACTTTTAGTTTTTTTGTTAGATCTACTTTTAGTTCTTTAAGAAATCTCCACACTGTTTTCCATAGTGGTTGTACTAGTTTACATTCCCATCAATAGTGTAAAAGTGTTCCATTTTCATCACATCCATGCCAACATCTATTATTTTCTGATTTTTTGATTATGGCCATTCTTGCAGGAGTAAGGTGGTATTGCATTGTGGTTTTGATTTGCATTTCCCTGATAATTAGCGATGGGCATTTTTTCATATGTTGGGCACTTGTATATCTTCTTTTGAGAATTGTCTATGTCCTTAGCCCACGTTTTGATGGGATTTTTTGTTTTCCTTCTTGCTGATTTGTTTGAGTTCATTGTAGATTCTGAATATTAGTCCTTTTTCAGATATACAGATTGCAAATATTTTCTCCCATTCTGTGGGTTCTCTGTTTACTCTGCTGATTATTTTATTTGCTGTGCAGAAGCTTTTTAGTTTAATTAGGTACCATCTATTTATCTTTGTTTTTGTTGCATTTGCTTTTAAGTTCCTGGGTCGTGAGCTCTTTGCCTAAGCCAATGTCTAGAGGGTTTTTCCGACATTATCTTCTAGAATGTTTATGGTTTCTGGTCTTGGATTTAAGTCTTTGATCCACCTTGAGTTGATTTTTGCATAAGGTGAGAGATGAGGATCATTTTATTCTTCTGCATTTGGCTTGCCAATTATCCCAGTACCATTTGTGGAATAGGGTATCCTTTCCCCACTTTGTGTTTTTGTTTGCTTTGTCAAAGATCAGTTGACTGTAAATAATTTGGCTTTATTTCTGTGTTATCTATTCTGTTCCATTGGTCTATATGCCTGTTTTTATACCAGTACCATGTTGTTTTGGTGACTATGGCCTTATAGTATAGTTTTAAATCAGGTAATGTGATACCTCCAGGTTTGCTTGTTTTGCTTAGTCTTGCTTTAATTGTGTGGGCTCATTTTTGGTTCCACGTGAATTTTAGGATTGTTTTTTTCTAGTTCTGTGAATAATGATGATGGTATTTGGATGGCAATTACATTGAATTTGTAGATTGCTTTTGGCAGTATGGTCATTTTCACAATGTTGATTCTACCTATTCATGAGCATGGAATGTATTTCTATTTCTTTGTGTTGTCTATGATTTCTTTCAGCAGTGTTTTGCAGTTTTCCTTTTAGAGACCGTTCACTTCATTGGTTAAGAACATTGCTACAAACCTTATTTTATTTTATTTTTTACAGCTGTTTTAAAAATGGTTCAGTTCTTGATTTGATTCTCAGCTTGGTTGCTGTTGGTATATAGCAAGGCTACTGATTGTGCACATTAATTTTGTATCTTGAAACTTTGCTGGATTCATTTACCAGTTCTAGGAGCTTTTTTTAGGATGAGTCTTCAGGGTTTTCTAGGTATATAATCATGTCATTGGCAAACAGTGACAGTTTGAATTTTCTTTACCCATTTGGATGCCCTTTACTTCTTTCTCTTGTCTGATTGCTTTGGCTAGAACTTCCAGTACTATGTTGAATAGAAGTGGTGAAAGTAAGCATCCTTGTCTTGTTCCAGTTCTCAGGGGGAATGCTTTCAACATTTCCCCATTCAGTATAATGTTGGCTGTGGGTTTGTCATAGTTGGCTTTTATTACCTTAAGGTATGATTTTTCTTTTTTTTTTATTATTCTTATCATACTTTAAGTTTTAGGGTACATGTGCACAATGTGCAGGTTAGTTACATATGTATACATGTGACATGCTGGTGCGCTGCACCCATTAACTCGTCGTCTAGCATTAGGTATATCTCCCAATGCTATCCCTCCCCCCTCCCCCGACCCCACAACAGTCCCCAGAGTGTGATGTTCCCCTTCCTGTGTCCATGTGTTCTCATTGTTCAATTCCCACCTATGAGTGAGAATATGCAGTGTTTGGTTTTTTGTTCTTGCGATAGTTTACTGAGAATGATGATTTCCAACTTCATCCATGTCCCTATAAAGGACATGAACTCATCATTTTTTATGGCTGCATAGTATTCCATGGTGTATATGTGCCACATTTTCTTAATCCAGTCTATCGTTGTTGGACATTTGGGTTGGTTCCAAGTCTTTGCTATTGTGAATAGTGCTGCAATAAACATACGTGTGCATGTGTCTTTATAGCAGCATGATTTATAGTCCTTTGGGTATATACCCAGTAATGGGATGGCTGGGTCAAATGGTATTTGTAGTTCTAGATCCCTGAGGAATCGCCACACTGACTTCCACAATGGTTGAACTAGTTTACAGTCCCACCAACAGTGTAAAAGTGTTCCTATTTCTCCACATCCTCTCCAGCACCTGTTGTTTCCTGACTTTTGAATGATTGCCATTCTAACTGGTGTGAGATGATATCTCATTGTGGTTTTGATTTGCATTTCTCTGATGGCTAGTGATGGTGAGCATTTTTTCATGTTTTTTGGCTGCATAAATGTCTTCTTTTGAGAAGTGTCTGTTCATGTCCTTTGCCCACTTTTTGATGGGGTTGTTTGTTTTTTCCTTGTAAATTTGTTTGAGTTCATTGTAGATTCTGGATATTAGCCCTTTGTCAGATGAGTAGGTTGAAGGTATGATTTTTCTGAGGGCTTTAATCATAAAGGATTGCTGGATTTTGTCAAATACTTTTTCTGCATGTATTGAGATGATCATGTGATATTTGTTTTTAATTCTGTTTATGTGGTGTATCACATTTATTGACTTGTAGATGATAAACGATTTCACATCCCTAGTATGAAATCCACTTGATCATGGTGTATTATCTTTTTGATATGCTGTTCGATTTAGTTAGCTAGGATTTTGTTGAGGATTTTTGCATTTATGTTCATAAGAGATATTGGTCTGTAGTTTTCTTTTTTTGTTATGTCTTTTCCTGGTTTGGGTATTAAGGTGATACTGGCTTCATAGAATGATTTAGGGAGGATTCCATTTTTTCTGTATTCTGTGGAATAGTGTCAATAGGATCAGTACTAATTCTTCTTTGAATGTCTGATAGAATTTACTAATTCTTTGAATGTCTGCTAAAGATATTACAACTGATACCAGTCCTGGACTTTTATTTTTTGGTAACTTTTAAGTTACTATTTCAATCTCACTGCTTGTAATTGATCTATTTAGAATTTCTATTTTTTTTCCTGGTTTATTCTAGGAGTGTTGTATATTTCCAGGATTTATCCATCTCCTCTAGGTTTTCTAGTTTATGCAGGTAAAGGTGTTCATAGTAGCCTTGGATGATTTTTTTGTATTTCTGTGGTATCGGCTGTAATATCTCTTGTTTCCTTTCTAATTAAACTTATTTGGATAGTCTCTCTTTTTTTCTTGGTTAGTCTCACTAATGGTCTATCAATTTTATTTTTCTATTAAAAAAACAGCTTTTTTTTCAGTTTCATTTAGTTCTGCTCTGACCTTGGTTATTTCTTTTTTCTGCTAAGTTTGGGCTTGGTTTGTTCTTGTTTTTCTAGTTCCTTGAGGTGTGACCTTAGATTGTCTATTTGTGATCTTTCAGACTTTTTGATGTAGGCATTTAATGCTATGAACTTTCCTCTCAGCACTGCCATTGCTGTATCTCAGAGGTTTTGATAGGTTTTGTCACTTTTATCATTTAGTTCAAAGAATTTTTAAAAATCTATCTTGATTTCATTGTTGACCTAACAAACATTCAGGAGTGGGTTATTTAGTTTCCATGTATTTGCATCATTTTGAGGGTTCCTTTTGGTGTTGATTTTTAATTTTATTCTACTGTGGTCTGAGAGTAATTGCTATAATTTTGATTTTCTTAAATTTGTTGAGACTTATTTTGTGGCCTATCATATGGTCATTCTATCATTCTATCTTGGAGAATGTTCCATGTGCTGATAAAAATTATGTGTGTTCTGCAGTTGTTGGGTAGAATGTTCTGTAAATATCGAAGTCCATTTGTTCTAGGGTACAGTTTAAGTCCATTGTTTCATTGTCAACTTTCTGTCTTGATGCCCTGTCTCGTGCTGTCAGTGGAGTATTGAAGTCCTTCAGTATTACTATGTTACTGTCTATCTCATATCTCATGTCTAGTAGTAATTGTTTTATAAATGTGGATGCTCCAGTTTTAGGTGCATACATATTTCAGATCACGATAATTTCTTGTTGGCCTAGTCCTTTTATCACTGTATGATGTCCCTCTTTGTCTTTTTTAACTGCTGTTGCTTTAAAGGTTGTTTTGTCTGATATAAAAGTAGCTTCTCCTGCTCAATTTTGGTGTTCATTTGCATGGAATATCTTTTTCCACACCTCTACGTTAAGTTTATGTGAGTTCTTATGTGTCAGGTGAGTCTTTTGAAGACCGAAGATACTTGGTTGGTGAATTCTTACCCATTCTGCCATTCTGTATCTTTTAGGTGGAGCCTTTAGGCATTTATATTCAATGTTAGTATTGAGATGTGAGGTACTATTCTCTTCATCATGCTATTTGTTGCCTGAGTACCTTGATTTTCTTTCATTGTGTGTTCTTTCTTAGGTCGTGGGAGATTTATGTTTTAAGGAGATTCTATTTTGGCGTGTTTCAAGAAATTGTTTCAAGATTTAGAGCTCCTTTTAGCAGTTCTTGTAGTGCTGGCTTGGTAGTGGTGAACTCTCTCAGCATTTGTTTGTCTGAAAAAGACTGTATCTTATCTTCATTTATAAAGCTTAGTTTAGCTGGATATAAAATTTTTGACTGATAATTGTTTTGTTTAAGAAGGCTAAAGATAGGACCCTAATCCCTTCTAGCTTGTAGAGTTTCTGCTGAGAAATCTGCTGTTAATCTGATTGGTTTTCCTTTATAGGTTACCTGATGCTTTTGCCTCACAGCTCTTAAAATTCTTTCCTTTGTCTTGACTTTAGATAACCTGATGACTATGTGCCTAGGTGATGATCTTTTTGTGATGAATTTCCCAGGTGTTCTTTGAGCTTCTTGTATTTGGAGGTCTAGATCTCTAGCAAGACCAGGGAAGTTTTCATCGATTATTCCCTCAAATATATTTTCCAAACTTTTAGATTTCTCTTCTTCCTCGGGAACACCAATTATTCTTAGATTTGGTTGTTTAACATGATCCCAAACTCATTGGAGGCTTTGTTCATTTTTTAAAATTCTTTTTTCTTTGTCTTTGTGGCATTGGGTTAATTTTAAAGTCTTGTCTTTGAGCTCTGAAGTCCTTTCTTCTACTTGTTTGATCCTATTGCTGAGACTTTCCAGTGCACTTTCCAATACAATTCTTTGTGTCCTTTATTTCTAAAAGTTGTGATTGTTTTTTATTTATGCTATCTATTTCACTGGAGATTTTTCCATTTATATCCTGTATCATTTTTTTAAAAATTTCTTTAGGTTGAACTTCACCTTTCTTTGGTGCCTCCTTGATTGGCTTAATAGTCGACCTTCTGAATTCTTTTTCTGGCAATTCAGAGGTTTCTTGGTTTGGATCTATTGCTGGTGAATTAGTGTGATCTTTTAGGGGAGTTAAGTAGCTAGATTTGTCATATTACTAGAATTGTTTTTCTGGTTCCTTATCATTTGGGTAGACTTTGTCAGAGGGAAGATCTGGGGCTCCAAAGCTGCTGTTCAGATTCTTTTGTCCCATGGGTGTTCCTTTGATGTGGTGCTCTCCCATTCCCTCTAGGGATGGGGCTTCCTGAGGGCCAAACTGCAGAGATTGTTATTTCTTTTCTGGATCTGGCCACTCAGTGGAGCTATGGGGCTCCAGACTGGTACTGGGCAGTGTCTGCAAGATGTCCTGTGATATGATTCATCTTCAGGTCTCTCAGTCATGGATACCAGCCCCTGCTTCAATGAAGGTAGCAGGGGAGTGAAGCAGACTCTGTGAGGGTCCTTGGTTGCATTTTTGTTAAGTGTGCTGATTTTGTGTTGGTTGGCCTCCAGCTAGGAGGTGGCATTTTCAAGAGTACATCAGCTGTGGTAGTATAGGGAGAATCAGGTGGTGGGTGGGGCCATAGAGCCCCCAAGAGATTATGTCCCTTGTCTTCAGCTACCAGGGCAGGTAGAGAAAGACCATGAGGTGTGAGCAGGGTTAGGTGAGCTCAGACTCGCCTTGGGTATAGGCTCTCCTGCAGCTGCTGTGGGGAATGGAGGTGTGGTTACCAGGCTAACTGAGTCATGTTCTCAGGGGGATCATGGCTGCCTCTGTTGTGTCACACGGGTTTCCAAGGAAGTGGGGGAAAGTTGGCAGCCACAGGCCTCACCCAGCCCCCATACAGCCCACAGCCTGACATGTTGGTCTCACTCCCACCACACACCACCAGCAGCACCAAGTTTATTTCCAGGAAGCCAGTGAGCATGGCTGAGAACTTTCCCCAGGCTGCAAGCTTCCCAGCTGGGAAAGCAAGCAGGCTTGCAATTCTTTGGTTGTCCCATAGGCCTGAAGAAGCAATCTGCCTCCTTCAAAGGGTCTGTGGATTCTCTTGGCTTTCCTGGTATGTTTCTGCAGTAGTTCTTGGAGCAAAAGTTCATGATGTGGTCTCCACATGCTGCTGTGTCTGTCAGAGTGGGAGCTGCAAGTTAGTCCTGCCTCCTATTCACCATTTTCCCCTTCAAAACCAAACAACAACAACAATCTGCATTTTATTGCTTACGAAGAATGTACTTTTTGGGAGTTAGTTTTAGAAAAAGGCTTTAGGCATTTTACACATTTAAATAAAGGCCATGTAACAATAACACAAGTGTTTAAAGTGCTAATACTGGTGGTATGGTGGCTCACACCTGTAATCCCAGCACTTTGGGAGGCCGAGGCAGGCATATCACAAGGTCAGGAGATCGAGACCATCCTATCTAACATGGTGAAACCCCCTCTCTACTAAAAATACAAAAAAAAAAAAAATTAGCTGGGAATGGTGGCACACATCTTTAGTCCCAGCTACTCGGGAGGCTGAGGCAGGAGAATCACTTGAACCTGGGAGGCAGAGATTGCAGTGAGCCGAGATTGTGCCACTGCACTCCAGCCTGGGAAACTGAGCAAGACATCTCAAAAAAAAAAAAAAAAAAACAGTGCTAATACTTCATTCATTTTGATCAATCCTTTGAGATATGGAAAAGCAGACATTATTACCTAGGGTTGCTTAGGAGATATCTCTTTCTATATATCTCACCTACAGGGACAGGGACCTTCCTGATCAATCTTTTTCTACAAATTGAGGTTTGTCAGCTTGTCTTCAGGCATTGGGCAAGTTGGAATTTTGGGGAGAAACAAAATGGTTGGCTTGAGTGTCTTGATTTCATTTCACTGGCCAAATAATGTCTTTTTGCTAACTGCTGAAAATAACTTTTGATATGTATACTCATTTATGTTTTGGCAAACCATGATTAAGATCTTGAAATACCCTCACTTTAATATATTATGCCACTATGTTTTCTGAATTAGAATTCTAAGGGTGAATTACTCTCAGATGTTGTACTGAAAGAGTTAGAGTTTCTTTGGTTATATCTTCCATTCATGGAGGTTTACGATCAAAGGATTTTGGAGGAGAGAGAACCTTAGATATCTTCTATGCAATAAACTTTTGCCCATATAGTTATCCCTTTCGCTGTCTCATGTGTATACAGTCTCCCAATTTTTGAGAAAACATGACAGTCTCATTGCTTAGCCTATGAAATCCACTTCTCCATGTACAACACAATATTGGCAAAGCTTATAATTTATTCTCATCCAAAGAACAAGATATTTTGGTGGCACCCTAATGAAAGCTTGCTACAGTCACTTTGGCTGCTCTGTGGTGATTATAAATCAAAGGTAGTACAGGTAAGAGATGGTATTTGGAAATGATCATGTTATTAAACAATTTAAGTCCCTTAAATGTCAATATGCTTTAATATACCATATTTTGAGAACATAATTGTAATGCAAAACTGGTATTTCAAAGAAAAGACAAAGAAATTAAATAATTATAGTTTTTTTGCTTAAATTTACAAATCAAAGTCAGTTGATGTTTATGCATATATTCCAAGTTTATTTATTTACTATCTTTAGTGCTTGGCAATCAATAGAGACTATCAGTGGTCAAGAATTGCATGCAGACAAAATAAAAACAAAAATGTGAACATCAGTGTCTTCCTTTTTTCTTTACTCATCCTTTAACCACTGTTTCTTAGAATGTTATCTCAGAACCCACCTTCATTTGAATTGTTAAAATTTAGAGTCTTGGCACCCATCAGAACAATGTAATTGTAGTGTCTGGGTTGTGGCCATTTATTTTCAAGTCCTACATATGATTGTTCTGCCTTAATAATTGTTAATATTCCTTCCAATGGTCTCCTACTTGCTTCCTCCTGGCAGTGAATCTACCTTAATCTTAACTGCTTCCTTCAAGTACTTTATTAAAGCCATCTTTACATTAAAAATAAAGATTCTTAATGTACTGGTATATAGTTACAGACTTCACTTATCCTAGGCAGCCAAACTGCAACTTGCTGATAGTAACTTGCTGATAATAAAGGAATGAGCAATATTGTGAAAGATTCTGTACAGTCATTCCCTACTTACAAAAAACTAATTCAGAGGTAATGCCTGGTCTTGAATCAGTGGCATCATCTTTGCAAATAAAAGAATAGCTCATTAATGATTAATTTTCATGCTGTCATGAATGGAACAGAGTGGTTTCCAAATAACACTCTGCTCTCTCTCTGAACCTTGGCTATATTATTCTTCCAGTAGAATTTGCTTACACTTCATTTCTGGTCATCAGTCAAGTCAGTTACAGAAGTAGTCAAGACAGGAGAGGTGGAGTGCAAAATTAGGGAATAATAAATGCTAAGTTTCAAGTGACAGGACCTAATGTCTTTCCTGTTGATCTTTTTTTCAATAAAGAAAGAATCAGGAGGAGGAAGAAGTCTTGACTCAAAGCATTGTAGTTCTGAGTCCTTCCTACCCTAAGGAAGAATTTGACAATTCTTAATCTGCTTTAAAATGCTGGGGATTTGGGCCAAGATGGCCAATTAGAAGCAGCTATGGTGTGTGGCTCTCACAGAGAGGAATGAAAGGGGCAAGTAAATACAGCACCTTCAACTGAAACATCTAGGTACTCACATTGGGGCTAATCAAGGAAACAACCCACAGAAAATGAAGAAAAGCAAGACAGGATGACAGCCCACCCGGGAGTGACACAGAGCCAGGGGAACCTCCTCCATCCAGGGAAGTGGTTAGTGAATGGGCAACCCTGGGAAACAATGCTTCTCCAGTGGATCTTTGCAACCCCCAAAAGATCACTCTTGGGTCAGGAGATCCCTCATGAATCCACTCTACCAGGTCCTTCAGTCTGATACACAGAACTGTGTGGAGTCTTGGGGGAGCAGCTGCTCAGGCACACACAGAGGCCCAGGAGCTTTACATATTCTGGTTCCAGGCTTCCTGGCAAAAGTGACTGCAACTCTGGCAAGGTGGGAGGTTGGACCTCCCCTGGGAAGGGGCTGAATCCAAGGGGCAGAACAGTGATGGTATGTAGGTCCCATTTCCATGGCTTCTGACAGGATAAGACCCATTGGCTTGGAATTCCAGCCAACCACTGGCAACAGTGTCACCTTTACCCAGAACAGGGTTTCCAGGGGCAGGGGTGGGCTACCATCTTTGTTGTTTGGATAACACAGCCATTCCAGACTGTGGACTTAGGAGATCCCAAACTGACCGAGGGCAGAAGGGATCCCCCAGCACAGCACAGCTTCTGTATCAAATCATGGCCAGACTGCTTCTTTAAGTGGGTCCCTGATTGTATTAATCAAGGTAATCTAAAGGGACTGAATGAATAGGATAGATGTGTATATATAAAGGAGAGTTTACTAAGAATTATTGAGTCACACAATCACAAGGTGAAGTCTCACAATAAGCCATCTGCAGGCTGAGGAACAAAGAAGCCAGTCTGAGGCCTAAAATCTCAAAAGTAGGGAATGTGACAGTGCAGCCTTCAGTCTGTGGTCAAAGGTCCAAGAGTCCCAAATCTGAAGAACTTGGAGTCCAATATTCGAGGGCAAAAGGTATTCAGCATGGAAGAAAAATGGAGGCCAGAAGACTCAGCCAGTCTAGTCTTTCCACGTTCTTCTTCCTGCTTTATAATTCTGGCTATGGAGGCAGCTGATTAGATCGTGCCCACTCAGATTGAGAGTAGGACTGTCTTTCTGAGTACACTGACTCAAATGTTAACCTTCTTTAGCAACATTCTCACAGATACACATAGAAACAATACTTTGCATCCTTTGATCCAATCAAATTGATGCTCAATTATCACATCAATCCATTCCTTCTCACTGGGTGGGACATCAAAACAGGGGCCTCCAGCAACTCCCACTGATGTTCTCTGGCTGACAGAGATTTGAAAACTTCCCAGGACAGAGTTCCCAGAGGGAGTGGTGGGCTACCACCTTTGCTATTTGGGTGACTTAATTGTTCTAGCTGCCAGGCTTTGGAGAGCCCAAGCCAATCAGGGTGAAAGTGGTACCCCAGCACAGCATGGCTGCTCTACAAAAGCATGGCCAGACTTCTTCTTTAAGCAGGTCCTCAATGCTGTTCCTCCCGACTGGGTGAGACCTACTAAAAGGAGTTGCCAGCCACCTTCTTCAGGTATATTCAGACCAGCCACAGGTGTGTACCTCCCTGGGACAGGGCTCCAGGAGGAAGGGGGGCAAGCTGACATCTTTGCTGTTCTGCAGCCTTCACTAGTGATACCTCCAGGTACTGGAAAATCCAAGGTGACTAGAGACTGGAGTGGACAGCCAGCAAATTGCCACAGCCCTACTGAAAAGTGGCCAGACTGTTAAAAGAAAAATAAAATAAAAAGGTCAGAAACATAAACAATTGAAGGTATATAAGTCTACAAAGATGAGAAAGAATCAGTGCAAGAATGCCAAAAACTCAAATTGCCAGAGTGCCCTCTCTCCTCCAAATAACTGGATTACCTCTTCAGCAAGGGTTCAGAAGTGGGCTGAGGCAGAGATGGTTGAAATGACAGAAGTAGAATTCAGAAGGTAAATAAAAATGAACTTCAATTAGCTAAAGGAGCCCATTGTAGCCCAATGCAAGGAAGCTAAAAATTATGATAAAACATTGCAGGAGCTGAAAGACAAAATAACAAGTATAGAAAAGAATGTAACTGAACTGATAGAGCTGAAAAATGCAATACAAACTTTTCATAATTTTAATACAGAATTTCATGACACAATCACAAGTACTAATAGCAGAATAGTGTTCAGAGCTTGAAGACTGTCTTTTTGAAATAAGAGGCCGAAAAAAAACACAGAAAAAAGAATGAAAAGGAATAAACAAAACCTCCAAGAACTGTGGGATTATGTAAAAAGACCAAACCTGTAACTGATTAAGGTACCTGAAAGAGATGAGGATAATGGAACCATGTTGGAAAACATACTTCAGGATATCATCCAGGAGAACTTCCCCAACCTAACAAGACAGGCAAACATACGAATTCAGGAAATGCAGAGAACCCCAGTAAGATGCTCTATGAGAAGATCATCCCAAGACACATAATCATCCGATTCTTTGAAGTTGGAATGAAAGAAAAAATGTTAAGGGCAGCTAGAGAGAAAGACCAGGTCATCTACAAAGGGAAGCCCATCAGACTAACAGCAGACCACTCAGCTGATACTCTACAAGCTAGAAGAGATTGGGGGCCAATATTCAACATTCTTAAAAGATATTTCAACCCAAAATTTCATATCTGGTCAAACTAAGCTTTATAAGTGAAGGAGAAATAAGATCCTTTTCAGACAAGCAAATGCTGAGAAACTAAGCTTTATAAGTGAAGGAGAAATAAGATCCTTTTCAGACAAGCAAATGCTGAGGGAATTCATTACCACCTTACCTTACAATAGTTTCTGAAGGAAGCACTAAATATGGAAGGGAGACTTTTATCAGCCACTACAAAAACACACTGAAGTACATAGACCAGTAACACTATAAAGCAACAACATAAACAAGTCTGCAAAATAACTAGCTAATATCATGATGACGTGATCAAATCCATGCATAACAATACTAACCTTAAATGTAAATGGGCTAAATGCTCCAATTAAAAGAGACAAATTAAAAATAAAACAGATGAAGAAGCTGGATAAACAATCAAGAGCCATTTGTATGCTGTCTTCAAGAGACCCATCTCACATGCAATGACACCCATAGGCTCAAAGAGATGGAGGAAAATCTACCAAGCAAATGGAAAACATAAAAAAGCAGCAGTTGCAATCCTAGTTTCTGACAAAACAGACTTTAAATTAACAAAGTTCAAAAAAGACAGAGACGGGAATTACATAATTGTAAAGGGTTCAATTCAACAAGAAGAGCTAACTATCCTAAATATATATGCACCCAATACAGGGGCACCCCACATTTATAGAGCAAGTTCTTAGAGACTTTCAGAGACTTAGACTCCAACACAATAACAGTGGGAGGGGCTGGGTGTGGTGGCTCATGCCTGTAATTCCAGCACTTTGGGAGGCTGAGGTGGGTGGATCACCTGAGGTCAGGAGTTCGAGACCAGCCTGACCAACATGGAGAAACCCCATCTCTACTAAAAATTCAAAATTAGCTGGGCGTGGTGGTGCATGCCTGTAATCCCAGCTACTTGGGAGGCTGAGGCAGGAGAATCACTTGAACTTGGGAGGCGGAGGTTGTGGTGAGCTGAGATTACGCCATTGCACTCCAGCTTGGGCAACAAGAGTGAAACTCCATCTAAAAAAAAAAAAAAAACAAAAAAACAAAACAAAAAACAAAATGGGAGATTTTAACACCCCGCTGACAATATTCGATCATTAAGACAGAAAAATTAACAAAGATATTTAGGACCTGAACTTAGCCCTAGATCAAATGGACCTGATAGATATGTACAGATCTCTCCACCCAAAAACAATAGCATGCACATTCTTCTTATTACCACAAGATATTTACTGTAAAATTGATCAAGTAATCAGAAATAAAACACTCTTCAGCAAATGCAAAAGAACTGAAATCATAACAAACAGTCTTTCAGACCACAGCACAATCAAATTGGAACTCAAGACTAAGACATTCACTGAAAACCACACACCTACATGAAAATTGAATAACTTGCTCCTGAATTACTTTAGGGTAAATAATGAATTTAAGCCAGAAATCAAGAAGTTCTTTGAAATGAATGTGAACAAAGATAAAATGTACCAGAATCCCTGGGACACAGCTCAGGCAGTGTTAACAGGGAAATTTAAAGAACTAAATGCCCACATTACAAAATTATAAAAATGTCTATTTAACAACCTAACATCACAACTGAAAGAACTAGTGAACCAAGAGCAAAGAAATCCCAGTGCTAGCAGAAGACAAGAAATAACCAAAATCAGAGCTGAATGAAAGGAGATAGAGACGTGAAAAACCATTCAAAAGATCAACAATCCAGGAGCCGTTTTTTTTTTCTTGAAAAAGTTAATAAAATAGACTGCTAGCTAGGCTAATAAGGAATAAAATAGAGAAGATTCAAATAAACACAATCAGAAATGATAAGGGGAATATTACCACTGAATCCCCCCAAAATACAAATAACCATCAGAAAATATTATGAACACCTCTATGCACATAAAGTAGAAAATCTAGAAGAAATAGATAAATTCCTGGACACATACACCCTCCCAAGACTGAAGCAAAAAGAAATTGAATCCCTGAACATACAAATAATGAGTTCTGAAATTGAGGAAGTAATAAATAGCCTACCAACCAAAAAAAGCACAGGACCAGACAGATTCACAGTGAATTCTACCAGATGTACAAAGAGCTGGTACCATTATTACTGAAACTATTCCAAAATACTGTAAATGAGGGACTCCTCCCTAACTCATTCTATGAGGCCAGCATCATTCTGATACCAAAACCTGGCAGAGATACAACAAAAAAGAAAACTTCCGGCCAATATCCTTGATGAATATCAATGCAAAGATCCTCAAAAAAATACTGGCAAACTGAATCCTGAAGCACATCAAAAAACTTATTCATCATGATCCAGTAGGACTCATCCCTGAAATGCACATTTCATTCAAGATATGCAAATCAATATACGTGATTAATCACATAAACAGATCTAAAGACAAAAACTATGATTATTTCAATAAATGCAGAAAAGTATTTTGATAAAATTCAACAATCCTTCATGTTAAAAACTCTCAATAAATGAGGCATTGAAGAAACATACTTCAAAATAATAAGAGCCATATATAACAAACCCACAGCCAACATTATACTGAATGGGCAAAAGCTGGAAGCATTCTCCCTGAAAACTGGCACAAAAGAAGGATGCCCTCTCTCATTACTTTTATTCAACATAGTATTGAAAGTTCTGGCCAGGGCAATCAGTCAAGAGAGAGAAATAAAGGACATCTAAATAGGAAGAAAGGAAGTCCAACTGTCTCTCTTTGCAGATGACATGATCCTATATCCAGAAAACCCCATTGTCTCAGCCCAGAAACTTCTTAAACTGATAAACAACTTCATCAAAGTTTCAGGGTACAAAAATCAATGTGCAAAAGTAGCCAGTATTCCTATACCACTCACAACAGTCAAGCCAAGAGCCAAATCACGAATGAATACCCATTCACAGTTGCCACAAAAAAGAATAAAATACCTAGGAACACATCTAACTAGGGAGGTGAAAGATGTCTACAAGGAGAACTAAAAAACACTGTTCAAATAAATCAGAGATTAAACAAACAAATGGAAAAATATTCCATGCTCATGGATAGGAAGAATTAATATTGTTAAAATGGCCATACTGCCCAGAGCAATTTTTAGATTCAACGTTATTCTCATTAAACTACCACTGATATTCTTCACAGAACTGGAAAAATATATTTTAAAATTCATACAAAATCACAGAAATGCCTGAATAGCCAAGGAAATTCTATGCAAAAAACAAACAAACAACAATAACAACAATGACAAAAACAAAAACCCCAAAACCCCCAAACAAAGCTGGTGGTATCATGTTACCCAACTTCAAACTATACTACAAGGCTGCAATAACCAAAACAGCATGGTGTTGGTACAAGAACAGACACATGAACCAATGGAACAGAATAGATTCCAGGAATAAGACTGCACAGCTAAAACTATCTGATCTCTAACAAAATCAACAAAAACAAGCAATGGGGAGAGGATTCCTTATTCAATAAAGGGTGCTGTGATAACTGGTAAACATATGCAGAAGACTGAACCTAGACCCCTTCCTCACACCATATGCAAAAATTAATTCATAATGTATTAAAGACTTAAATGTAAAACCATTTTTTACTATAAAACTATATATAAATAAACTATATAAACTATATATAAAAATACATATAAACTATATATATATATAAACCCTGGAAGACAAGCTAGGTAATACCATTTAGGATATAGGCATGGGCAAAAATTTAATAATGAAAATCCCAAAAGCAATTGTAACAAAAGCAAAAATTGACAACTGGCATCTAGTAGAACTAAAGAGCTTCTGTGCAGCAAAATAAACTATCAACAGAGTAAACAGACAACTTACAGAATGGAAGAAAATTTTTGCAAACTATGCATCTGACAAAGGTCTACTATCCATCATCTATAAGGATCTTAAACAAATTGTCAAGAAAAAACAACCCCATTAAAAGTGGGCAAATGACATGAACAGACACTTCTCAAAAGAAAACATACATGTGGTCAATAAGCACATGAAAAAAATCTCAACATCACTTATCATTAGAGAAATGCAAATCAAAACCACAATGAGATACCATCTCACACCAGTCAGAATGGCTATTATAAAAAGTCAAAAATTAACAGATACTGGTGAGGTTGTGGAGAAAAGGAATGCTTATACACTGTTGGTGGGGGAGTAAATTAGTTCAACCGTTGTGGAAGACAGTGTGGCAATTTATCAAAGACCTAAGGACAGAAGCATCATTCAACCCAGCAGTCCCATTCATAGATATATACTCAAAGAAATAGAAATTGTTCTATTATAAAGACACATGCATGTATATGTTCATTGCAGTGCTATCCACAATGGGAAAGACATGGAATCAACCTAAATGCCCACCAATGATAGATTGGATAAAGAAAAAGTGGTTCATATACACTACGGAATACTATGCAGCCCTAAAAAGGAATGAGATTTTGTCCTTTGTAGGGACATGAATGGACCCGGAGCCCATTGTCGTTAGCAAACTAATACAAGAACAGAAAACCAAATGCCACATGTTTTCACTTATAAGTAGGAGCTAAATGATGAGAACATATGGATAAATAGAGGGAAACAATACTTAATTACTAGGCTTAATACTTAAGCCTAGTAATACTTCATCCTAGTAATACTTCATTACTAGGCTGAATAGTATTGGTATATTAGTATATAGTGTATATACATATTACACACCTACCATTAGTATGTAGTATATATATTATGCTCCAACACTATTCATCCTTTAAAAAGAAAGAAATTCTGCCATTTTCAACAACATGGATGAAGCTGGACGACATTATGTAGGTGAAATAAGTCAGTCAAAGAAAGACAAATACTGCATAATATATATTATCTATCTCCCCTTCCCCCCTCCCTCTCTCTCTCTATATATATACACACACACACAGACCACGCATATATATGCATATACATATGTATACACACATACACCACACATCAATACTATATATATATTCACACACACACACACACACACACACACACACACACACTTTTAGGTGGATACCATATCTTGGCTATTGTGAAGAGTTCTGCAACAAACATGGAAGTGCAGATATCTCTGACACACTTATTTTATTTCCTTTGGTATATACCTAGCAGTGGGATTGCTGGATCATATGATAGTTCTATTTTTATATTTCCTGATGAACCTCCACCCTGTTTTTCATAATGGCTGTACTAATTTACATTCCTACCAACAGTGTAAAAGGGCTCCCTTTTCTCTACATACTTACCAACATTTGTTATCTTTTTTTTTTTTTTATATTAGCCATTCTAACAAGTGAGAAGGAATTCTTCTTTGTGGCTTTAATTAGCATTTCCCAAAAGATTAGTGATGTTGAACAATTTTTTGTAAAGCCTGTTGAGCATTTTAAAAATATATCTGTTGGCCATTTATATGTCTTCTTTTGCAAAATGTCTACTCAGGTCCTTTGTTCAATTTTTAATCTGGTTATTTGTTTTCTTACTATTGAGTTGTTTGAGTTCCTTATATATTTTGGATATTAACCCCTTATGAGACATATGATTTGCAAATATATTCTCTCACTCCATACACTAACTTTTGACTGTTGATTGTCTCCTTTGCTGTGTTTCTAGAAGCGTTTTAGGTTGATGGAATCCTATTTGTCTATTTTTGCTTTTATTGCCTTTGTTTTTGGGATTATATATAAAAAAGTCTTTGCCCAGACCAATGTCAGGGAGAGTTTCACCTGTATTTTCTTCTAGGAAGTTCATATTTTCAGGTCTTACATTTAAGTCTTTAATCTATTCTGAGTTGATTTTTGTATGTTGTGTGAGATGAGGGACTAATTTTATTCTTCTGCATGTGGATATTCAGTTTTCTTAGCATCATTTGTTGAAGTTACTCTTATTTTCCCACTGTGTTTTCTTGGTATCTTTGCTGAAAATCAATCAGTTGTAAATATGTGAATTTATTTCTGAGGTCTCTATTCTTTTCTATTAGTCTATGTGTTCGTTTTTGTGCCAAAACCATGCTGTTTTGATTACTATAATTTTGTAGTAGATTTCTTCTCTCCTCTCCTCTCCTCTCTTCTCTTTTTTTTTTGTTTTGAGACAGGATCTCACTCTGTTGCCCAGGCTGGAGTCCAATGGCATGAACAGGGCTCACAGCACCCTCAACCTCCTGGGCTCCAGTGATTCTCCTACCCAAGCCTCCCTAGTAGTCCGGACTACAGGCATGTGCCATCATGCCCATTTGATTTATTTTTGTAGAGATAGGGGCTCATTATGTTGTCCAGGCAGGTCTTGAAATTCTGGGCTCAAGCAGTCCTCTTGGCTTGTTGGGATTATAGGCATGAGCCACCGTGACCAGCCTATAGTAGCTTTTAAAATCAGGTAGTATGATGCCTCTAGTTTTGTTCTTTTTGCTCAAGATTGCTTTGGCTAGTCAGGGTCTTTCTTGGCTTCATATGAATTTAGACTTTTTTTTTCTATTTCTGTAAGAAATGTCATTGGAATTTTCAAAGCATCTACATTGAATCTATAGATCACTTTGGGTAGTATGGAATTTTTTTAACAATGTTTATTATTTCAATCTATGAACATGGAATATTTTTTATACTGATTTTTGTGTGTTGAATTTGTATCCTTCAATGTTATGGAATTTGTTTATTAGTTTTTTTGTGGTGGTTGTTGAAATCTTTTGGGTTTTCTATGTATAAGATCCTGTCATCTGCAAAAGGAGAGAATTTAACTTTTTTCTTTTCTATTTGGATATTTTAAAATTCTTTCTCTTGCCTAACTCTATCTAGGAGTTCCATTACTATGTTAAATATAAGTGGCAAAAATGAGCATCCTTTTCCTGATCTTTGAGGAAAAGCTTTCAACATTTCATCATTGAATGTAATATCAGCTGTAGTTTGTGATATATGGTCTTTATTGTGTTGAGGTACATTCCTTCTATACCTTATTTGTTAAGAGTTTTTATCATAAAAAGGTATTGAGTTTTGTCAAATGACTTTTCTGCATCTGTTGAGATAATCATATGGTTTTGTCTTTCATTCTGTTAATGTGATGTATCACATTTAAATAATTCATGTAAATTGAACCATGCTTGCATTCCAGAGATAAATCCCACTTGATCATGGTGAATGATCTTTTCAGTGTGCTGGTGAATTCACTTTGCTAATATTTTGTTGAGGATTTTTGCATCTATGTTCATCATGGGTATTGGCCTGTAATTTTTTTTTTTTTTTGTATACTCGTCTGGCTTTGGTATCAGGGTAATGCTGGCCTCATAAAATGAGTTTGAAAACTTTCCTTCCTCTTCAATTCTTTTTGGAAGAATTTGAAAAGAACTGGTATTAATTATTTAAATGTTTGGTATAATTCAGCAGTGAAACCACCAGATCCTGGTCTTTTATTTGATGCAAAACTTTTTATTAGTGATTCACCTCCTTACTTGTGATTTGTCTGTTCAGATTTTCTATTTCATCATGATTTAGTCTCTGCAGGTTTTATATGTCTAGAAATTTATTCATTTTTTCTAAGTTATCAAATTTATTGGTGTATAATTGTTGATAGTAGTCTATTATGATCCCTATATTTCTGTGGTATCAGTAATAGTTTCTTCCCCATTATCTCAAAAATAAATGTTATTTGAGTGTTCCCTTTCTTTGTTCTAGTCTAGCTAAATGTTTGCTGACTTTATCTTTACAAAAAATCCAACTCTTTTTTTATTGATCTTTTCTATTGTTTATCCAGTCTCTATTTCATTTATTTCTTCTTTTATCTTTATTATTTCCTTTCTTTTTTGACTTTGGGCTTAGTTTGTTCTTTTTTCTTCCTAGTTTCTTGAAGTATAACACTAACTTATTTATTTGCCTTCCTTCCTTCCTTCCTTCCTTCCTTCCTCCTTCTGCTTCCCTTTCCTCTCTCTCTTCCTCTTTCTTCCTTCCTTCCTTCCTTCCTTCCTTCCTTTCGAGTTTCACTCTTGTTTTTCACTCCAGACTGGAGTGAAATGGCATGATCTCACCTTATGGCAACCTCCACCTCCTGGGTTCAAGTGATTCTTGTGCCTCAGCCTCCCGAGTAGCTGGGATTACAAACATGCACCACCATGCATGGCTAATTTTTGTATTATTGGTAGAGACGGGGTTTCTCCATGTTGGTCAGGCTGGTCTAGAACTCCCAATATCAGGTGATCTGCCCACCTCAGCCTCACAAAGTGCTATGATTACAGGCATGAGCCACCACACCCAGCCATCTTTCTTTTTTATGTAGGAATTTATTACTATAAACTTTCCTGTTAAAACTATTTATATGTTTAATGTTTGTGGGTACATACTACCCACAAATATATATATATATATATATAGTAGATGTATATATTTATGGAGTACATGGTATATTTTGATACAGCCATGAAATACATAATAACCACATCAGGATAAATGGGGTATTTATCACTTCAAGCATTTATTATAATTACGTTTGCTGTATCCCATAAGTTTTGGTTTTAATGATGTGTTTTTATTTTTGTGTGTCTCAATTATTTTTAAATTTCTTTATTTCTTTTTTTACCCATTAGTCGTATAGGAGTATGTCCTTTAGGAATTCTTTATGCTTAGAATAAAGTAGAGATAGCAGTGTCCATATCAGATGTTACAGAAAGAAAATAAAAATTTACCATGTTACTATTAAAATAATGCACGGCTGTATGACGCATATTGGATTATCATGATCTTCATAGGAAGTTCAAACACAACCAGATAGAACTTCTTGTCTCTCCTTTCACAGAAGACATAGTGTATTTTTCAACCTCTATGCTTCACTCATATTCGAGATGATTCATTCAATTTTCTTTGCTGAACATTAATCAATAAAATGTTTAAAATGACAATAAAGATTATCTCTTATTTCATATGTGAGAGATAAATATGTATATAATTTATTTTCATGAGTGTATTTTAGGCTTTGTAGATCTTTCTTTTTTCTTTTTATTTTTTATTATACTTTAAGTTCTGAGATACATGTGCAGAATGTGCAGGTTTGTTACATAGGTATACACGTGCCATGGTGGTTTGCTGCACCCATCAACCTGTCATCTACATTAGGTATTTCTCCTAATGCTATCACTCCCCTAGCACCCCACCCCCCAACAGGCACCAGTGTATGATGTTCCCCTTCCTGTGTCCATGTGTTCTCATTGTTCAACTACCACTTATGAGTGAGAACATGTGGTGTTTGGTTTTCTGTCCTTGTGTTAGTTTGCCGAGAATGATGGCTTCCAGTTTCATCCATGTCCCTGCAAAGGACATGAACTCATCCTTTTTTATGGCTGCATAGTATTCCATGTTGTATATATGCCACATTTTCTTTATCCATTCTATCATTGATGGGCACTTGGGTTGGTTCCAAGTATTTGCTACTGTGAATAGTGCTGCGATAAACATAAATGTGCATGTGTCTTTATGGTAGAATGATTTATAATCCTTTGAGTATATACTCAGTAATGGGATTGCTGGTTCAAATGGTATTTCTGGTTCTATATCCTGGAGTAATCACCACACTGTCTTCCACAATGGTTGAACTAATTTACACTCCCACCAACAGTGTAAAAGCCTTCCTATTTCTTCACATCCTCTTCAGCATCTGTTGTTTCCTGATGTTTTAATGATCACCATTCTAACTGACATGAGATGGTATCTCATTGTGGTTTTGATTTGCATTTCTCTAATGACCAGTAATGATGAACATATTTTCTTTTTTTTTATTTTTTATTATACTTTAAGTTCTAGGGTACATGTGCACAACGTGCAGGTTTATTACATATGTATACATGTGCCATGTTGCTGTGCTGCACCCATTAACTCATCATTTACATTAGGTATATCTCCTAATGCTATCCCTCCCCCCTCCCCCAACCCCACAACAGGCCCCAGTGTGTGATGTCCCCCTTCCTGTGTCCAAGTGTTCTCATTGTTCATTTCCCACCTATGAGTGAGAACATGCGATGTTTGGTTTTTTGTCCTTGTGATAGTTTGCTGAGAATGATGGTTTCCAGCTTCATCCATGTCCCTACAAAGGACATGATGAGCATATTTTCATATGTTTGTTGGCTGCATAAATATCTTCATTTGAGAAGTGTCTGTTCATATCCTTCACCCAATTTTTGATGGGGTTGTTCATCTTTTTCTTGTAAATTTGTTTAGATTCTTTGTAGATTCTGGATATTGGGACAGAAGGATAGATTGCAAAAATTTTCTCCCATTCTGTATGTTGCCCGTTCACTCTGATGATTTTCTTTTGCTGTGCAGAAGCTCTTTAGTTTAATTAGGTCCCATTTGTCAATATTTTTTGTTGCCATTTCTTTTGGTGTGTTAGTCATGAAGTCTTTGCCCACACCTATGTCCTGAATGGTATTGCCTAGGTTTTCTTCTCAGGTTTTTATGGTTTTAGGTCTTATGTTTAAGTCTTTAATCCGTCTTGAATCCTTCCTTACACCTTATACAAAAGGATTAGTCTTTAATCCATCTTTAATAATACACAAAATAATCTTAATACATATACAAAATAATCCACCTTTAATAATATATAAAAATTGTGTATAATTTTTGTATAAGATGTAAGGAAGGGGTCCAATTTCAGTTTTCTGCATATGGCTAGTCAGTTTTCCTAACACCATTTATTAAATAGGGAATCCTTTCCCCATTGCTTGTTTTTGTCAGATTTGTCAAAGATCAGATGATTGTAGATGTGTGGTGTTTTTTCAGAGGCCTCTGTTCTGTTTCATTGGTCTATATATCTGTTTTGGTACCAGTACCATGCTGTTTTGGTTACTGTAGCCTTGCAGTATAGTTTGAAGTCAGGTAGCCTGATGCCTCCAGCTTAGTTCTTTTTGCTTAGGATTGTCTTGCCTGTGCAGGCTCTTTTTTCATTCCATATGAAATTTAAAGTAGTTTTTTTTCTAATTCTGTGAAGAAAGTCAATGGTAGCTTGATGAAGATAGCATTGAATCTATAAATTACTTCAGACATTATGGCCATTCTCATGATATTGATTCTTCCTACCCATGAGCATGGAATTTTTTCCATTTGTGTCCTGTCTTATTTCCTTGAGAAGTGGTTTGTAGTTCTCCTTGAAGAGGTCCTTCACATCCCTTGTAAGTTGTATTCCTATGTATTTTATTCTTCTTGTAACAATTGTGAATGTGCTTTCACTCATGATTTGGCTTTCTGTTTGTCTATTATTGGTGTGTAGGAATGCCTGTGATTTTTGCACATTGATTTTTTATCCTGAGATTTTGCTGAAGTTGCTTATCAGCTTAGGGAGATTTTGGGCTGAGACAATGGGGTTTTCTAAATATACAATCATGTAATCTGCAAACAGAGAAAATTTGACTCCCTCTCTTCCTATTTGAAAACACTTTATTTCTTTCTCTTGCCTGAGTGCCCTGGCCATAAGTTCCAATACTATGTTGAATAGGAGTGGTGACAGAGGGCGTCTTTGTCTTGTGCCGGTTTTCAAAGGGAATGCTTCCAGTTTTTGCCCATTCAGTATGTTATTGGCTGTGGCTTTGTCATTAATAGTTCTTATTATTTTGAGAGATATTCCATCAATATGTAGTTTATTGAGAGTTTTTAGCATGAAGAGCTGTTGAAATTTATTGAAGGCCTTTTCTGCATTTATTGAAATAATCATGTGGTTTTTGTTGTTGGTTCTGTTTATGTGATGGATTACATTTACTGATTTGCATATGTTGAACCAGTCTTGCAGTCCAGGGATGAAGTTGACTTGATCATAGTGGATAAGCTTTTTGAGGTGCTGCTGGATTCAGTTTGCCAGTATTTTATTGAGGATTTTTGCATCAATGTTCATCAAGGATATTGGCCTGTAATTTTCTTTTTTTGTTGTTTCTCTGCCAGGTTTTTGTATCAGGATGAGGCTGGCCTCATAAAATGAGTTAGAGAGGAGTGCCTCTTTTTCTATTGTTTAGAATAGTTTCAGAAGGAATGGTACCAGCTCCTCTTTGTACCTCTGGTAGAATTAGGCTGTGAATCAATCTGGTCCTGGGCTTTTTTGTTTGTTTGTTTGATGGGCTATTAATTACTGCCTCAATTTTAGAACTTGTTATTTGTCTATTCAGGGATTCGACTTCTTTCTTATTTAGTCTTGGGTGGGTGTATGTGTTCAGGAATTTATCCATTTCTTCCAGATTTTCTAGTTTATTGGCATATACATGTTTATACTATTCTCTGATGGTAGTTTGTATTTCTGTGGGATCAGTGGTGATATCCCCTTTATCATTTTTTATTATTTCTATTTGATTCTTCTCTGTTTTCTTCTTTATTAGTCTGGCTAGTGGTGTACTATTTTGTTGTTCTTTTTAGAAAACCAGCTCCTGGTTTCATTGATTTTTTGAAGCGTCTTTCATGTCTCTGTCTCCTTCTGTTCTGCTCTGATCTTAGTTATTTCTTGCCTTCTGCTAGCTTTTGAATTTATTTGCTTTTGCTTCTCTAGTTCTTTTAATTGTGATGTTAGGGTGTCAATTTTAGATCTTTCCTGCTTTCTCTTGTGGGCATTTAGTGCTATAAATTTCCCTCTAAACACTGCTTCAGCTGTGTCCCAGAGTTTCTGGTATGTTGTGTTTTTGTTTTCACTGGTTTCAATGAACTTATTTATTTCTGCCTTCATTTTGTTATTTACCCAGTAGTCGTTCGGGAGCAAGTTATTCAGTTTCCATGTAGTTGTGTGGTTTTGAGTGAGTTTCTTAATCCTGAGTTCTAATTTGATTGCACTGTGGTCCGAATGACTGTTTCTTATGATTTCCATTATTTTGCATTTTCTGAGGAGTGTTTTACTTCCAAATATGTGGTCAATTTTAGAAGATGTGCAATGTGATACTGAGAAGAATGTATATTCTGTCTATTTGGAGTAGAGAGTTCTGTAGATGTCTATTAGTTCTGCTTGGTCCAGAGCTGAGTTAAAGTCTGGAATATCCTTGTTAATCTTCTGTCTCATTGATCTATCTAATATTGACAGTCGGGGGTTAAAGTCTCCCACTATTATTGTTTGGTAGTCTAAGTATCTATGTGGGTCTCTAAGAACTTGCTTTATGAATCTGGGTGCTCCTGTATTGGGTGCACACATATTTAGGATAGTTAGCTCTTCTTGTTGCATTGATCCCTTTACCATTATGTAGTGCCCTTCTTTGTTTTTTTTTTTAATCTTTGTCGGTTTAAATTATGTTTTATCAGAGACTAGGATTGAAACCCCTGCTTTTTTTTTTTTTTTTTTTTTTTTTTTTTTGCTTTCCATTTGCTTGTTAAATATTCCTCCATCCCTTTATTTTGAGCTTATGTGTGTCTTTGCACTTAAGATGTGCACGTGAGATTTCCTAAATACAGCACACTGGTGGGTCTTGGCTCTTTGTCCAATTTGCCAGTCTATATCTTTTAATTGGGGCATTTAGCCCATTTACATTTAAGGTTAATATTGTTATGTGTGAATTTGATCCTGTCATTATGATGCTAGCAATATTTTCAGGAGGAGTCATGAGACACTGTCAAAGTTCAAGAAATAACTAAAAGCAAAAAAATAACCTGAGACTCCTTTCTGCATTACCACCAGCTGCCCAGTACACTGGGTCACCTTTTACAGCAGTAAGCACAGCAATCCATGCCACAAAAATCTTCACAAAACAAGAAGAAAAAGTACACAAATAATTATATTAAAACAGTAACTTACATTTGTGTGTATGAGGGAGAAATACTTAAAATTAAAATATTATATAATCACAAGAAAGCCCAGATAGTCCTTGGGCAACCAAGAAAATTAAAGCCTGTTTTATATCCCAATACAGAAGCGAGACTTGATATAAGTAACAGTGCTCAGTGCTTGCAACCCCAGTCAATTTTTACTCATGTTAGATAAGTTTAAATTCTAAAGGCTACAAAAATCCTGATGAATCTAGGGGAAATAATTGATTTTAAAACAAAGTTATTCAAGATGAAAGAATGGCATGTCTTCAGTTAGAGAACTGCCTGCTATCAGGTGATTTCTTGCTAATGTGTTTAAAGATTTTGGACTTCTCAACTTTGGTAGCCAAATCCACCACCACCTCCTTGCTTTTTCTGCTTGCCTTCATTGCTCTTGACTTTCAGATCAATAAAGGGAGGCACCTTGAAACCAAATGACAGAGCAACTTGAGAAAAATTTAAGTTATTAACATTAAAGATCTGTTTCAGAGAATGGGAATCATAGGTTTGTATGTATGACTTACATGTTTCCTGGGCTGACTTATGAAGAAAGTAATTCTTTTTAATCAGTTTCTCAAGTTGAGACTGAATGTCAGAAATTTTAGACCAGGAAAAGTGAAATTCATTTAATGGAACCTTGGATTGTTTCAAGTAGCAAAGAAAACCCAATTTTCTCTCCCATTTAGGCCTCTGGCTGTTCTACCCACACTATGAATATATTCCTTAGGGTCATCCGGAGGGTCATACTGAACAATGCAGTCCACTTCAGTAATGTCCAGTCCTCTTGCTGCCACATCTGTGCACAATAGTGTTCCCAAATCTGCGCTGGAGAATTGGAAGAATGTGGTTGTATGCTTACTTTGCTTTTGCTTTTCATGAATGGCCAAGATGAGCAAATAAATGTAGTTCAGCAACTCACAGTGGTATTTCATGGACATACAAGATGAAAAGAAGACCATAAGCTTCTTCTTTCAGTTCTTAAGGAATGTAAAGAGCAGAAGGAATCTGTTTTCATAAGGACAAACAACATATCCTTGCTCAAGACCATACACTGTTTCATTAGCATTATCATCATCATCACCAACATAAACGGCTCCTTTTTCAAAGAAATCCTTGCCAGGTCTTCAACTTTTTGAGTTTGGGTGGCAGAAAAGAGCATAGTCTGTCTATGAGTTAGCAAAAGTTTAATAATTTGCTTTAACTCCTCTTCAAACCCAACATCCAAGATACGATCAGCTTCATCAATAACCAGACACTGCAGGTTTTTATACATAAACCCTGGGGTATTCTGCATATGGTCCAGCAGACGGCCTGATGTGGCCACAATGATGTTGATCCCATTAGCAAGTTTCCATGCTTCAGCAGATCTGTTACTCCCACCCATTATCAACCCATAGGTATGCACGTGGTGAGTCATTAGCTCCTTAAGAACCACCAAAAGTTTCCATGGCTAGTTCTCCAATAGGTGAGAGAATAAGGACTCCTATTCCATTCCTGGGCATGAACTTTAACTTAACCATGAGTTCAACTGCAGGGATAAGAAAAGCCAGGGTTTTACCACTTCCTGTTTTTGCAGCTGCTAGACGATCCCTGCTTTCCAGAAGTGGTCTGATACTTTTATGCTGAATTTCCGTCATATTTGTAAAACTCATTTCTTTTATTGCCTTCAGAGTGTTTTCATTGACAAGATTATACAGAGAAGCAAATGAAGTATATTCAACAGCTCCTGTCAGTCCCAGGGGCAGGCTGGGCACCTCACTGTCATCTTCATCATTATCTGGCTTCTCCACATTATTTTCTGTTTCTTTAGGATTCTTGGCACTTTCTTCTTGAGATTCCCCTTTGTTTTCAGTTTTTGCTTTTTTTTTGTATCAGGCCCAGCATCATTCATCATTTTTCTTTTTTTCTTCTTCTTTTTTGATTCTGGATTGGGAGACTGCATTGCTGTTTCTCCGTTGGTTAATACAGTGGATTTCTGGGGAGATTTTTTAACTTTTATATTTTACACTGCTTCTTGAGACACATCTCCACTTTGAGCTTCTGATAAGCCCACATTCATAGAATGTTTGATTTTTTAACCTTTCCATCTCCCATTGTTTCTTCAGACACATCTCCATTTTGAGTTTCTGATAGGGTCAGATTTGAGGCCCCCTGCAACTTTAGGTTCCGCTGCCGCAATTTGAGGTTCTGCTTCTAAATCTTCTTGCACAGGAGTTTCATCAGCAGGTGAGACATGCTGTCCAAGAAGTGCCTAGACCACGGCGCCACACAGTACATCTACTGAATTCTCCGAGCTGATGTTATTTCCCTTCCGGGGGCACGTGTGCTGCTCAGCCAACCGGAAATGCCTGTAGTAGATCTTTCTTACTATGTGGATTCAAACATGTCATGAGCCCATAATGTTTTTTAAACACCACTTATAATCAATGTCTGTCATCACATCTTTAACTTATCCTAGGCATGTTAAATTCTATTTATTCCCATATAATGTTATCATTAATAGAATAGCGGATTTCAGAACAAAATCTAAATCGTTAAGTAAAATAGAGATTAGATAATATACAGGCTCTAGTATATTTTACATATAATATACTTTCAAAATTTAAATAAAAACTTGAGTTTGATAAATGATATTATCCTCACAGGGGAAGATAAAATATTTTCCTTCACTCATTGCTAGGTTCATTGTGGCAGTCCTGATAACAAATGACAGATTAATAAGAGAAAAGTATACATGTGTATTTAATACGCTTTACATGACACAGGAGGCTTCATAAGGAAATGAAGACTCAAAGAAATGGATAAACCAGTGTATTTTTTAAGCCAATGTATTGTTTTGTGGTAGGTTTCATGAAGAAATCGACAGTTGTGGAACAGTATAATTGGGTAAAAAAGTATGATTAAAATGGCAATAAACTGGGGGGTACTTAGCAAGACTTGTTTATTCAGATTTGTCTCTGTGACTCTGTGTCTTCAGAGGTAAGAATGTTTCTTTCCTCCAGGCATAGGTAGGGTAACTCTTCAATAAGTGTCTTGTGACCTGCTTCTGAAGAAATTCAGAAAATCCTTTTTAGGTTTTATCACTTGCTTCAGGAAAGAATGGCTCGGGGAAGGTAAAAATGACTTTTTGGCTTCTGATGTGTTTTCAAATGCCAAGGTGCCACATTTTGGGGTAGACCCTCCTGAACCCCATCATCTTTAAGAAGCAGTGCTATCTCTGTTGATTTTTCTCTATGGAAGGCATTAAGAACCCCACTGTTTTATCTCCTTCATTAATTCATTCAATTCTAATTGGAGATCTACATCATACAAGGTACTATGCCAAGAGCTAAAAAAAAAAAAGTGCCAGGAGGAACCCCAAATGTTTTGGTGAACTAATGCTGAATCATACTCTGACACATAGTAGGTATTCAATAAATATTAGTTAAATAAGTACAATTTCAATATTTTCTCTATCAATCTTACCTTTTACAAATCAATTTAACCTTCCCACCTATTTGCCTTCCCAGATAGCCCAGGAAAGACCAAAGGAAAGCAGATGTACTGTCGTACTGTGTATAGCTTACCTATATTGACCCATGCACAAGATGAATCACAAGATATCGATATTTATAAATGCAGAGGGATTTTGTATTCTTTCAACATAAGTTTTGGTTTAAAATTAATCAGACATACCAATTAACAGAGCCAAATCTACCTATAGAATATTTTCAGTTGACCTAGTGGCCATGACATTGAGTATTCTTTTTTATTCCTATCAAATTTGTTCACATTTAAAAAAATCAATGTTTACTTTGTGTGGGTACGTAATAGTATATATTTATATGGGACATGAGATGTTTTGATACAGGCATTCAATGTGTAATAATCACATCATAGAAAATATTCATCCCCTCAAGCATTTATCCTTTTTGTTACAAACAATCAAATTATCTCTTTTAGTTATTTTAAAATGTCTAATTAAATTATTATTGACTATAGTCACTCTGTTGTGCTATGAAATCCTAGGTCTTATTCATCTTCCTAACTTTTTTGTATCAATTATATGCTTTTAGTTATTTTAAAATGCACAATTGAATTATTACTCAGTATGATCACTCTGTTGTGCTATGAAATAATAGGTCTTATTCATTATCTCTAACTATTTTTTGGTATCAATTATACTCTTTTAGTTATTTAAAAATGTGCAATTAAATTATTATTGACTGTAGTCAATCTGTTGTGCTATGAAATACTAGCTCTTATTTAGTCTTTCTGTTTTTTTTGTATCCACTAACCATTTCCACTTCTCCCCAGCTTTTTCCCACTACCCCTGCCAGCCTTTGGTAACCATCCTTCTATTCTCTGTCTCCATAAGTTTAATTGTTCTGATTTTTAGTTTGCACAAATAAGTGAGAACATGCACAGTTTGTCTTTCTGTGCTTGACTTACTTTACTTAACATAATGACCTCCAGTTCCATTCATGTCGTTGCATATGACAAGATCTCATTCTTTTGTATGGCTGCATAGTACTCGCTTGTGTATATGTACCACATTTTCTTTATCCAATCATTGGTTGATGAACACTTTTGTTGTTTCCAAATCCTGGCAATTTTGAACAGTGCTGCAGCAAACATGGGAGTGCAAATATCTCTTAGATATACTGATTTTCTTTCTTTTGGGTGTATACTCAGCAGTGGCATTGCTAGATTGGATGGTATGTCTATTTTTGTCTTTTTGAGGAATCTCCAAACTCCCCTCCAAATTGGTTTTACTCATTTATATTCTAACCAACAGTACACAAGGTTTCCCTTTTCTCCACACCCTCTCCAGCATTAGTTATTGCCCATGTTTGGATAAAAGGCATTTTAACTGGGGTGAGAAGATATCTCATTGCAGTTTTGATTTGCATTTATCTGATAATCAATGATGTTGAGCATCTTTTCATATGCTCATTTTCCATTGGTATGTCTTCTTTTGAGATTCAAATCTTTTGCCCATTTAAAAATTAGATTATTAGATATTTTTCCTACAAAGTCATTTGAGTTTCTTATATATTCTGGTTATTATTCTCTTGCAGATGCATAGTTTGCAAATATTTTATCCTATTCTGTGAGTTATCTCTTCACTCAGTTGATTGTATCCTTTGCTGTGCAGAAGTATTTTAACTTAATATGATCTCATTTGTTTATTTTTGCTTTGGTTGCCAGTCGTTTGTGGGGTGTTACTCAAGAAATTTTTGACCAATATCTTGGCGAGTTTTTCCAATGTTTTCTTGTAGTAGTTTCATAGTTTAAGAAGGTCTTAGATTTAAGTCTTTAGATTAATGTCTTCAAGTTAAGTCTTTAATCCATTTTGATTTTATTTTTGTATGTGACAAGAGATAGAGGTCCAATTTCATTCTTCTGCATATGGATATTAAATTTTCCTAGCACCATGTATTGAAGAGACTGTTGTTTCCCCAATATATGTTCTTGACACCTTTATAAAAAATGAGTTCAGTGAAAGTGTTTGGACTTGTTTGTGGGTTCTCTATTCCATTCCATTAGTCTATGTGTCTGTTTTTATGCAATTTCCATGCTGTTTTAATTACTATAGCTAAATAGTATTATTTGAAGTCAAGTAAAGTGATTTCTTCAGTTTTGTTCTTTCTGCTCAAGATAGCTTTGGCTATTCCAGGACTTTTGTGGTTCCATTTAAGTTTTAGGATAGTTTTTTCTATTTCTGTGAATGTCATTGGTATTTTGACAGGGATTGAATTGAATCTGTAGACTGCTTTGGGCAGTATGGAAATTTTAATAGTATTGATTCTTCCAATCCATGAACATGAAATATCTTTCTGTTTTGTGTGTGCGTGTGTGTCCTTCAATTTCTTTCATCAGTGTTTTACAGCATTCATTGAAGAAATCTTTTATTTTGTTGATTAAGTTAATTCCTGACATTTTATTTCATTTGTGGATATTGTAAGTGGGATTCCTTTTTTGATTTCTTTTTCAGATTATTCAGTGTTGGCATACAGAGATGCTACTAATTTTTGTATGTTGATTTTGTACTCTGCCACTTTATTGAATTTGTTTATCAGTTCTAATAGTTTTTTTTTGGGTAGAGTCTTTAGATTTTTCCAAATATAAGATCCTATGTTCTGCAAAGAAGGATAATTTGATTTCTTTCTAATTTGGATGCTATTTATTTCTTTCTGTTGTTTGCCTGCTAAACCTAGGACTTCCAGTGCTATATTGAGTAACAGTGGTGAAAATTAGCATCCTTATTCTGTTCCACATCTCAGAGGAAGGGCATTCAGTTTTCTTTTATTCAGTATGATACTAGCTGTATGTTTTTCATATATATCTTTTTATTATGTTGAAGTATGTTCCTTCTATATGCAGTTTTTTGAGAGTTTCTATCATGAAAGGATGTCAAATTTTATCAAATTTTTTTAGCATCAATTGATATGATCATATGGTTTTTTGTCCTTCATTCTGTTGATATGATGTACCACATTTATTGATTCATGTAAATTGAACCAACCTTGCATTTCTGGGATAAGTCCCCTTGGTCATGATAAATTATCTTTTTAATGAATTGTTTAATTCAGTTTGCCAGTATTTTGCTGAGAAGTTTTGCTTCAATGCTCATGAGAGATATTGGCCTATAGTTTTCTTTTCTTGATATGGTCTGATTTTGGTATCAGGGTAATACTGGGCTTGTAGAATGCATTTGGAAGTATCCCCTCCTTCTATACTTTTCGGAAAAGTTTGAGTAGAATTGGTATTATTTCTACTGTAAATGTTTGGTAGAATTCAGCATTGAAGCCATCAGGACCTGGGCTTTTCTTAGCTAGGAGAACTTTTTTTTCTTTATTTCTTCTAAAAAACCAAAAAACCAAAAACAAAAAATGAAATACATGCGAAGAACCTGCAGGTTTGTTACGTAGGTATATATGTGCCAGAGTGGTTTGCTGTACCTATTGACCCATCCTCTAAGTTCCCTCCCCTCACCGCCCACATCCCAACAGGCCCCTGTGTGTGCTGCTCCCCTCTCTGTGTCCACGTGTTCGCAATGTTCAGCTCCACTTATGAGTGAGAATATGTGGTGTTTGGTTTTTTGTTCCTGTGTTAGTTTAGTCAGGATGATAGCTTCCAGCTTCACCCATGTCCCCGCAAAGAACGTGATCTCATTCTTTTTTATGGCTGCATAGTATTCCATGGTGTATATGTACCACATTTTCTTTATCCATTCAATCGTTGATGGGCATTTGGGTTAGTTCCATGTCTTTGCTATTGTAAATAGTGCTGCAATAAACATACCTGTGCATGTGTCTTTATAGTAGAATGATTTATATCCCTTCTACTATATAAATCATTCCTGTAGTAGAATGATTTATATGGTAGAATGATTTATAATCCCAGAAATGGGATTGCTGGGTCCAGTGGTATTTCTGATTCTACATCCTTGAGGAATCGCCATACTGTCTTTCACAATGTTGAACTCATTTACTTCCCACCAACAGTATAAAAGCATTCCTGTTTCTCCACAGCCTTGCCAACATCTATTGTTTCCTCTCCTGACTTTTTATTGATCACCATTCTAACTGGTGTGTCTTATTGTGGTTTAGATTTGCATTTCTCTGGTGATCAGTGATATTAAGCTTTTTTTTTTTTATGTTTGTTGGCCAAGTAAATGTCTTCTTTTGAGAAGTGTCTGTTCATATCATTTGCCCAGTTTTTGATGGGGTTGTTTGCTTTTTCTTGTAAATATGTTTAAGTTCCTTGTAAATTCTGGATATTAGGCCTTTGTCAGATGGGTAGATTGCAAAAATTTTCTCCCATTCTGTTGGTTGCCTATTCACTCTGAGGGTAGTTTCTTTTGCTGTGCAGAAGCTCTTTAGTTTAATTAGATCCCATTTGTCAATTTTGGCTTTTGTTGCAATTGCTTTTGGTGTTTTTGTCATGGTCTTTGACCATGCCAATGTCCTGAATAATATTTCCTAGGTTTTCTTCTAGAGTTTATATGGTTTTGTGTATTACATTTAAGTATTTAATCCATCTTGAGTTAATTTTTGTATAAGGTGTAAGGAAGGCGTCCAGTTTCATTTTCCTGCCTATGGCTAGCCAGTTTTCCCAGCACCATTTACTGAATAGGAAATCCTTTCCCCATTACTTGTTTCTGTCAGTTTCATTGATGGTCAGATGGTTATAGATATGTGGTGTTATTTCTGAGATCTCTGTTCTGTTTCATTGGTCTATATGTCTGTTTTGTACCAGTACCATGCTGTTTTGGTTACTGTAACCCTGTAGTATAGTTCGATGTCAGATAGCGTGATGCCTCCAGCTTTGATCTTTTTGTTTAGGATTGTCCTAGCTATATGGGGTCTTCTTTGATTTCATATGAAATTTAAAATAGTTTTTTCTAATTCAGTGAAGACTGTCAATGGTAGTTTGATGGGAATAACGTTGAATCTATAAATTACTTTGGGCACTATAGCCATTTTCATGATATTGATTCTTCCTATCCATGAGGATGGAATGTTTTGCCATTTGTTTGTGTCCTCTCTTATTTCCTTGAGCAGTGGTTTGTAGCTCTTCTTGAAGAGGTCTTGCACATCCCTTGTTAGCTGTATTCCTAGGTATTTTATTTTCTTTGTAGCTATTGTGAATGGGCATCCACTCATGATTTGGCTCTCTATTATTGGTGTATAAGAATGCTTGTGATTTTTGCACATTGATTTCGTATTCTGAGACTTTGCTGAAGTTGCTTATCAGCTTAAGGAGATTTTGGGCTGAGATGATGGGGCTTTCTAAATATACAATTATGTCATCTGCAAGCAGAGACAACTTGATTTCCTCTCTTCCAATTTGAGTACCGTTTATTTCATTCTCTCACCTGATTTCCCTGGCCAGAACTTCCAATATTATGTTGAATAATTATTGGGATAGAGGGCATACTTGTACCCGTTTTCAAAGGGAATGCTTCTAGCTTTTGCCCATTCAATATGATATTGGCTGTGGGTTTGTCATAAATAGGTCTTATTATTTTGAGATATGTTCAATCAGTACCTAATTTATTGAGAATTTTTAACATGAAGGGATGCTGAATTCTATCAAATACCTTTTCTGCATCTATTTAGATAATCATGTGGTTTTTGTCATTGGTTCTGTTTATGTTATGGATTATAGTTATTGATTTGAGTATGTTGAACCAGTCTTGCATCCCAGGGATGAAACCAACTTGATCATGGTGGATGTTTTTTGATGTGCTGCTGGATTTGGTTTGGCAGTATTTTATTGAGGATTTTTGCATTGATGTTCATCAGGGATATTGGCCTGAAATTTTCTTTTTTTTGTTGTGTCTCTTCCTGGTATTGGTATCAGGATGATGCTGGCTTCATAAAATGAGTTAGGGAGGAGTCCCCCTTTTTCTATTGTTTGGAATAGTTTCAGAAGGAATGGTAGTAGCTCCTCTTTGTATTTCTTGTAGAATTCAGCTGTGAATCCATCTGGTCCTGGGCTTTTTGTGTTTGGTAGGCTATTAATTACTGCCTCAATTTCAGAACTGGTTATTGGTCTAATCACAGATTCAACTTCTTCCTTGTTTCGTCTTAGTAGGGTTTATGCATCTAGGAATTTATCCATTTCTTCTAGATTTTCTAGTTTATTTGCATAGAGGTGTTTATAGTATTCTCTGATGGTAGTTTGTGTTTCTTTGGGGTCAGTGGTGATATCCCCTTTATCATTTTTTATTGTGTTTATCTGATTATTCTCTCTCTTCTTTTTTATTAGTGTAGCTAGCAGTCTATCTGTTTTACTATTTTTTTTTTAAAACAAACAGCTCCTGGATTCATTGATTTTTTTGGAGGGTTTTTCGTGTCTCTATCTCCTTCAGTTCTTTTCTAATCATAGTTATTTATTGTCTTCTGCTAGCTTTTGGATTAGTTTGCTCTTGTCTCTCTAGCTCTTTAATTGTGATATTAGGGTGTTGATTTGAGATCTTTCTAGCTTTCTGATATGGCATTTAGTACTATAAATTTCCCTCTTAACACTACTTTAGCTGTGTCCCAGAGATTCTGGTATGTTGTTTCTGTGTTGTCATTGGTTTCAAAGAACTTCTTGATTTCTGCCTTAATTTCATTATTTTCCCAGGAGTCATTCAGGAGGAAATTGTCAATTTCCATGAAATTGTGTGGTTTTGATTGAGTTTCTTAATCCTGAGTTCTAATTTGATTGCACTGTGTTCTGAGAAACTGTTTGTTATGATTTCCATTCTTTTGCATTTGCTGAGCAGTGTTTTACTTCCAATGATGTAGTTGATTTTAGAATAAGTGCCATATGGCACTGAGAAGAATGGTGTATTCTGTTGATTTAGGGTAGAGAATTCTGTAGACCTCTAATAGGTCCACTTGATCCAGAGCTGAGTTCAAGTCCTGCATCTTCTTTTAAATTTTCTGTCTCATTGATCTGTCTAATACTGACGATGGGTTGTTAAAATCTCCTATTATTATTGTGTGGGAGTCTAAGTTTCTTTGTAGGTCTCTAAGAACTTGCTTTATGAATCTGGGTGCCCCTGTATTGGGTGCATATATATTCAGAACAGTTACCTCTTCTTGTTGAATTGATCTCTTTACCATTGTGTAGTGCCCTTCTTTGTTTTTTTTTTTTTTTGATCTTTGTTGGTTTAAAGTCTGTTTTGTCAGAGATTATGATGGCAATCCCTGCCTTTTTTCGCTTTCCATTTGCTTGGCAAATTTTTCTCCATCCCTTTATTTTGAGCTGTGTGTGTCTTTGCACATAAATGGGTCTCCTGAATACAGCCCACCAATGGGTCTTGACTCTTTATCCGGTTTGCCAGTCTGTCTTTTAATTGGAGCATTTAGCCCATTTACATTTAAGGTTAATATTGTTATGTTTGAGTTTGATCTGGTCATCATGATGCTATTTGGTTATTTTGCACACCAGTTGATGCAGTTTCTGTGTAGTGTCATTGGTCTTTATATTTTGTTGTGTTTTTGCAGTGGCTGGTACTGGTTTTTCCTTTCCATATTTAATGCTTCTTTCATGAGCTCTTGAAGGGCAGGCCTGGTGGTAAGGAAATCCCTCAGGATTTGCTTGTCTGGAGAGGATTTTATTTCTCCTTCACTTATGAAGCTTAGTTTGGCTGGATATTTCACTGGGAATTCTGGGTTGAAAATTCTTTAATTTAAGAATGTTGAATATTGGCCCTTAATCTTTTCTGGCTTGTAGAGTTTCTGCTGAGAGGTCCACTGTTAGTCTGATGGGCTTCCCTTTGTATGTGACCTGGCCTTTCTCTCTAGCTGACCTTAACAGTTTTTCCTTCATTTTGACCTTGGAGAATCTAATGATTATGTGTTTTGGGGTTGATTTTCTCATGGAGTATCTTAATAGTGTTTTCTGTATTTCCTGAATTTGCATGTTGGCCTGTCTTACTAGGTTGAGGACGTTCTCCTGGATAATATCCTGAAGTTTTCAGCTTGTTTCCATTCTCTCCATCTCCTTCAGGTACTCCAATCAATCGTAGGTTTCGTTTTTTTAAGAAGTTGTATATTTCTTGGAGGCTTTGTTCATTTCTTCTCATTCTTTTTTCTCTATTCTTGTCTTCATGTCTTATTTCAGTAAGGTGGTCTTCAAACTCTGATTCCTTTCTTCCACTTTGTCAGTTTTGGCTTTGATACTTGTCTATGCTTCACGAAGTTCTCATGCTGTATATTTTAGCTCCATCAGGTCATTTATCTTCCTCTCTAAACTGGTTATTCTATTTAGCAATTCCTGTAACCTTTTATCAAGGTTCTTAACTTCTTTGCATTGGGTTAGAACATGCTCCTTTAGCTCATCATAGTTTTTTATTACCCATCTTCTGAAGCCTACTTCTGTGAATTCGTCCACCTGATCCTCTGCCCTGTTGTTCTGCGCCCTTCATGGAGAGACATTGTGATCATTTGGAGGAGAAAAGGCACTCTGGCCTTTTGGGTTTTCAGCATTTTTTTCATTGATTCTTTCTCATCTTCATGAGTTTGTCTAGTTTCGGTCTTTGAGGCTGCTGACCCCTGGATAGGGTTTTTATGGGGGCCGTTTTTGTTGTTGTTGTTGATGCTGCTGTTGTTGCTTTTTGTTTGTTTTTGTTTCAACAGTCAGGTCCCTCTTCTGTAGGGCTGCTGCAGTTTGCTGAGGGTTCACTTCAAACTCTATTCATCTGATTTGCTCCTGTGCCTGGAGATGCCACTCAAGGAGGCTGGATAGCAGCAAAGATGGGTGCTTGCTCCTTCTTCTGGGACCTCTGACCTTGAGGACAACCAACCTGATGCCAGTAGGATTGCTCCTGTATAGGGTGTCTGACAACCCCTGTTGGAGGTTTTCACCCATTTGGGTGGCATGGGGAGCAGGACCCATTTAATGAAGCACTTTGTCCCTTGGTGGAGAGGGTGTGTTTTGCTGGGGGAAATCCTACTCATCTGGGCTGTCTGCATTTCTCAGAACTACCAGGAGGAAAGGCTAAGTCTGCTGGTGCAGAGAGACTGCGACCATCCCTCCCTCTAGGGGCTCAAGCCAAGGGAGATTTAAATTCTGTCCTTGAGCCTCTGGCTGGAGTTATTGGAGATCCTACAGGGAATCTCCATCCACTGAGGAAGGATGGGTCAGAATTATAACTGAAGAGGCACTCTGGCCACAGACTGCCACAACTGGTGTGTTGGCTGTGGGGATAAGTCTTAGGACAAAGCCATCCAGGCTTCCTGGCTCCAGCAGGGGAAAAGTGCAGCCTGGAGCTATAGATATGGGTGCCACCCTTCCCTGGCTCAAGGAGCTTAGCATGTTAGGCAGTAGCGTGTTAGTGTGTTATTCTCAGTGCTAGCTGCTGCCCCTCCCCCAAGGAGCACAAATGGCTTAGATAGCAGGCAGCCACAGCCAGTGGCTTGGTTGTGGTCATCCCTCCCCCTGGGAGTTCCGTAGGCTTAAGCAGATTTCAGCTGAGAGACTGTAAGAATCTGTGTGTTCCAGGGTTGGGATGCTAGGTCCTGGTGGCGTGGGTACGCGAGTGGGAACTTCCAATCCCTGGGTTGCACAGTTCTGTGGAAAAAGCCACAGTTTCCCCGGCTAGGTAGCGTGCTCACTCACCACCTCCCTTGGCTGGGGGTGAGGGGTCATCTTCCTCTTGTGGTTCTCAGGTGGGCTGCTGCACCACACTGCTCTTCCTTCTCTCTGTGGGTCATGCCAGCCTTCTATTCAATTTTCATGAGAAAACCTGGATACCTTGGTTGCTGGTGAAGGATTCACATACTTATTATGGTTTTTTTTCAAGGAGAGCCTCCAAATGGGACTGCTTCTTGTCGGCCACCTTGGCCTTACCCCGGGAGACATTTTATTACAGTGTTGATCTTGTTACTTGTTATTGGTCTGTTCAGGTTTTGGATTCTTCACGGTTCAACCTTTATAGGTTGTATGTGTCTAGGAATTTATCTAGTTCCTCTAGATTTTCTAATTTGTAAATTAGTTCATACAGTTGCCATACCGTTGCTCACAGTAGCTACTAATGACCTTTTGAATTTCTGTGGTATCAGTTTTAATGTCTCCTTTTGCATCTTTTATTATATTTTTTTCTTAGTCTGGCTAAAGGTTTGTTAGTTTTGTTTATCTTTAAAAAAACAACTTTTTCTTTTGTTGGTCTTTTAAATTGTTTTCTTCCTTTCAAAGTCATTGAGTTTTGCTCTAATCTTTATTTTCTTCTATTAATTTTGGGTTTCATTGGTTCTTACTTTTCTAGTCCTTTAAGATGTATCATTAAGTATTTATTTATAGTTTTTCTTTTTTGATGTAGGCACTTATAGCTATAAACTTCCCTCTTAGCACTGGTTTTGCTGTATCCCATAGGTTTTGGTATGTTACGTTTCCATTATAATTTGTTTCAAGAAATTTTTTCAATTTCCTTGTTAATTTCTTCATTGACCCACTGGTCACTTAGAAGCACGTTGTTTAATTTCCATGTGTTTGCATAGTTTGCAAAATTCCTCTTGTATTGATTTCTGGTTTTATTCCATTGTGGTCAGGAAAAATGCCTGATATTATTTGAATTGTTTTGAATGTTTTAAGACTTGTTTTGTGACCTAACATGTGATCTATCCTTGAGAATGATCTATGTGCAAAGGAAAAGAATATGTATTCTGTAACCATTGTCTTAAATGTTCTGTAAATATCTGTTAGAGCCATTTGTTCTATAATGCAGATGGAATTCGATTTTTCCTTGTTGATTTTCAGTCTGAAAGGTCTTCCCAATGCTGAAAGGGAGGTGTTGAAGTCTCTAGCTATTATTAGTTTAGGTCTATATCTCTCTTTAGCTCTAATAATATTTGCTTTATGTATCTGAGTTCTCCAACATTAGGTGTATATATGTTTACAGTTGTTATATCCTCTTGCTGAATTGACCTTTTTATCATTATATAATGATCTTCTTTGTATCTTACAATTATTGTCTTGAAATCTGTTTTGTCTGGTATAAGAAGAGCTACTCCTGCTCTTTTTTGGTTTCCATTGCCATGGAATACCTTTTTCCATTCCTTTATTTTCAGTCTATGTGTATCTTTATAGGTGATATGTTTTACTTGTAGGCAATAGAACATTGGGTCTTGCTTTTTCATCCATTCAGCCCCTCGTGCCTTTCAATTGAAAAGTTAGCCCATTTGCATTCAATGTTGTTATTGATGAGCAAAGACTTATCCTGCCATTTTGTTATTTCTTTTTCTGGTTGTTTTATGGTCTTTTCTTCCTTCCTGTCTTTTTTTAGTAAAAGTGAATGTGGTGGTATAATTTAATTCCTTGCTTTTTAATTTTTTTTGTATTTGTTGTGTTTTTGATGTGAGGTTACTGTGAGGCTTGCAATTACTCTCTTATAACCCATTATTTAAAACTGATGACAACGCTGATTGCATAAACAAACAAACAAGCAAAAAGAAAACCAATAAAAATTCTACATTTTAACTTCATCCCCCTGCTTTTTAACTTTTTGTTGTTTCTCTTTATGTGTTATTCTACTGTCTTTGTCTTCGTCATAAAAAGTTGTTGTAGTTATTATTTTTGATTGGCTCATTGTTTAGCCTTTCTACTCAAAATAAATGTGGTTCACACAACACACGTACAGTGATATAATATTGTGTGTTTTCTGTGTGCCAGTGAGTTTTATACCTTTGGATGATTTCTTATTTCCAATTAATGTAATTTTCTTTCAGATTAAAGAACTGCCTTTAGCATTTCTTGTATGACAGGTCCAGTGTTGATAAAATTCCTCAGCTTTTGTTTGTGTTTCTCCGTCATGCTTGAAGGATATTTTCACCAGATATACTATTCTAGGTCTTTGAGGAATTGTCACACTGTCTTCCACAATGATTGAACTAATTTACATTCCCACCAACATTGTAAAAGTATACCTATTTCTCCACAGCCTCGTCAGCACCTGTTGTTTCTTGACTTTTTATAATCACCATTCTGACTGGCATGAGATGATATTTCATTGTGGTTTTGATTTGCATTTCTCTAATGATCAGTGATGTTGAGCTTTTTTTTCATATGTTTGTTGGCTGCCTAAATGTCTTCTTTTGAGAAGGGTTTGATCATGTCCTTTGTTCACTTTTTAATGAGGTTGTTTGTTTTCTTCTTACAAGTTTGTTGAAGTTCTTTGTAGATTCTGGATACTAGACCTTTGTCAGATGGATAGATTGCAAAAATTTTCTCCCATTCTGTAGGTTGTTCACTCTGATGATAGTTTCTTTTGCTGTGCAGAAGCTCTTTAGTTTAATTAGATCCCATACGTCAATTTTTGCATTTGTTGCAATTGCTTTTGACATTTTTCATCATGAAATTTTGCCCATGTCTATGTCCTGAATGGTATTGCATAGATTTTCTTCTAGGGTTTTTATAGTTTTAGGTTTTACATTTAAGTCTTTAATTCATCTTGAGTTACTTTTTGGGTAAGGTGTAAGAAAGGGGTCCAGTTTCAATTTTCTGCATATGGCCATTCTCCCAGCATCATTTGTTAAATATGGAGTCTTTTCCCCATTGCTGTTTCTGTCAGGTTTGTTGAAGGTCAGATGGTTGTAGATGGGGGGTCTGATTTCTAAGTTCTCTACTCTGTTCCATTGGTGTTCCATTGTTCTATGTGTCTGTTTTTATACCAGTATGATGCTGTTTTAGTTACCACAGCCTTGCAGTATAGTTTGAAGTCAGATAGCATGATGTCTCCAGCTTTGTCCTTTTTCCTTAGGATTGTCTTGGCTATATGGGCTCTCTTTTGGTTCCATATGAACTTAAAAGTAGTTTTGTCTAATTTTGTGAAGAATGTCAATGGTATTTAATGAGAACAGCATTGAATCTATAAATTACTCTGGGCAGTATGACCATTTTCACGATATTGATTCTTCTTATTCATGAGCATGGAATTTTTTTTATTTGTTTTTTGTCCTCTCTGATTTCCTTGAGCAGTGGTTTCATCCCAGAGGGGCACTGACCTGATGCCAGCAGGAACAGTCCTGTATAATGTTTTTGGTGACCCCTGTTGGGGAGTCTCACCCAGCTGGGAGGCACAGGATCAGGAACCTGCTTAACAAAGCACTCTGGCTGCCTCTTTGTGAAAGGGTGTGCTGTGCTGGGGGGAATCCCATTCATCTGGACTGCCCAGATTCCTCAGAGTCAAGAAGGGAAAAGACCAAGTTCGCTGATCCATGGAGACTGTGGCCACCCTTGCCCCCAGGGGCTCCATCCCAGGGAGATCAGCATTCTCTTTGTAAACCCCTGGATGGGGTTGCTGAAATTCCCACAGGGAGGCTCTACCTGGTGAGGAGCGATGAGTACGGGTCTGGCCTAAAGAGACAGTCTCTCCATGATCTGCCACAGCCGCTGTGCTGCATTGTGGGGAATTCCTCTTTGGTCCAAACCACCCAGTCTCCCCATTACCAGCAGGTGAGAATGGTAGACTGGAGCTTCAGTGATAGTAGCCATCCCTCCCTCTGGGAGCTCAGTCATCTTAGGCAGCAGGCAGCAGGCAGCTGCAGTGATAGTGGCTGCCCTTCCCTCCAGGAACTCGGTAGTCTTAGGCAGTCTCCAGCTAAGCAGCCACTGAGAATCTTCACAGCTCTGTGGGCTTACAAGGGGATCTCCTGATTTGTGGGTTGCATGGATGCATGGAAAAAGTGTGGTTTCCCAGGTGGGGTAGCACAATCACTCACTACCTCCCTTGGCTGGGAGTGGGAGCTCCCCTTGCACTGTGCAGCTCCTGGGTGTGCTGTTACTCCGCCCTGCTTTTCCTCACTCTCCATGGGTCTTGCCAACTGCAAAGTCAGTCTCAGTGAGAGAACCTGGATACCTTAGTTGCTGCAGGATTCATTCACTGTTTTCATTCTTCTTGGTAGGCACCTCTGACCATAGCTGTTTCTAGTCAGCCATCTTGGCCCCTCCTTTTCCTGGATGGTCTTGATGTTTGTAGATGTTCATCAGTGTCTGGGCATCATTAAAGAGTTAGGCATTTATTGTCGTTTTGCAATCTGGGCTTGCATTTTTAGGAAGGCTTTCCAGGTATTTGAAGGAACTTGGCCCATCCAACAATGCTGTGGTTCTTAGAAACTTGTAGAAATACTGCCTTAGTAGTCTTGAATAAGATCTAGATGAGTTCTCTGAATTACCAGGTAGATACTCTTGTTTTTTTCCTTTACTTTCTCCCCAAAAAACAGAGTGTCTTTCTTTCTCTCTCTCTCTCTCTCTCTGTTCTGAGCTGCCTGGAACTAGGTGTGGGTAGACTCAGGCATTCCTGTGGCCACAACCACCAGGACTGTGCTGATTTAGACCTGAAGCCAGTACAGCACTGGATGTCATCCATGGCCTGCTGTAACCACTACATGGCTACCACCTATGTTCACTCAAGGCCTTAGGGCTCTATGACCAGCATGTGGTGGAGCCAGCCAGATTTTAATTCCTTCCTTTAGAGTGGCAAGTTCCCCCATGGCCCCTGTGGGTCCAGAGATGCTATCTGGGAGCCAGGGATTGGAGTAAAAAATGTTAGCAATTTACCTGATGTTATATTCTACTGTGGCTAAGCTGGCATTCAAACTACAAGACAAATTCCTTCTTGCTCTTCCCTCTACTCACTGGCAAAGAAACCGCTCTCCGTGTCCACCATCACTACCAGCTCACACAGGGCTTCTGCCTGGCCACCAGTGATGTTCACTTAAGGCCCAAGGGCTCTTCCGTCAGCTTGTGGTGAACACTGCAAGGCCCAGGTCTCACTCTTTAGGGCAGTTGCCCCTACCTTTGGTCCAGGGCAGATCCAGAATTGATTTCCAAGTGCCTAGGCTTGGACTTGAGGACCTCAAGTGTCTTCTTGTTGCTTTACCCCAGTGTGGCTGAGCTAGTACCTATGGTGTAAGACAAAGTCCTCTTTCCTTCTCCCTCTGCTTTTCTCAAAAAGGGAAATTTCACTATAGCCACCATAGGTGGGAATATGCTGGGACACACCTGAAGGCAGCATGTCTCAGAGTGCAAGACCCATGCTGCATGCTGTATTAACTGAGTATCATTGTTGGTTATCTGGGGCCCAGGAGTTTGTTTTTTTTGTTTGTTTGTTTTAGATGGAGTCTTGCTCTGTCGCCCAGGCTGGAGTGCAGTGGCATGATCTTGGCTCACTGCATCCCCCACCTCCTGGGTTCAAGTGATTTTTCTGCCTCAGCCTCTGGAGTAGCTGGGATTGCAGGCATGTGCCACCAAGCCCCACTAATTTTTTTTTTTTTTTTTTTTTTTGTATTTTTAATAGAGACGGTTTTCACCATGTTTGTCAGGCTGGTCTCAAACTCCTAACCTCATGATCCACCTGCCTCAGCCTCCCAAGCGCTGGGATTACAGGCATGAGCCACCACGCCCAGCCCAAGAACTCTTTAATTTTCATGCAATGAGTCCTGCCAGGACTGGGTCATTTCATTCAAGACAGCACATTTTCTTTTGGCCCAGGGAGTGTCAAGAAATGAGCTAGGGCATGGAATGGGGACCTTATGACTGTGTACCATGCCATATCCTACTATGGCTGTGCTGGTATCCAAGATGTCAGGCGAAGTCTGTTATACTTTTCACTCCTCTCCTCAAGCAGGAGGAAGGCGTCACTTTTGTTGTTGCCAGCTGCATGGCCTGAAGTTGGAGAAGGCATGGCGCAAGCATTCCCTTAGCCACCTTGGCTGGTGTCTCCCTAGGTCACATGCCATTCCAATCCACTGTCTCTAAGCCCAGGCCAGCCCTAGTAGTTGCCTGATTTCCTTCAATTATATTGCTCTTATTTTTTTATAAAGAATGTTATATTGCATTTAATTATTATCGTAAGGGGAGAAATGTGACAAATTCTATCCTAGAACATTTTATGGAGTTGGCTTTCCTTTTGCAAGGCTCTAAAACACCTTATTTTCCCACTAATTCTTATAAAACTGCCCCCATTAACATCAACCCTCAGATAACATGTAAGCAAGTAGCAAAGAGCTAAAAACACCAGAGTAAATAAAATCCACCTCAAGCCAAAAAACAACAACAAAAAAGAAATTGCAGTCCTTCAGTCCTAGACTGCCTCTTAAGTTTACTTAGAACCCTAGAGCACTTTGGCCAGTGGTGGAGAGGCCTGCTGAGAAACTCAAGTTCTGACTACTTTGATGGGCAATTTTCCTCTAGCGAGGTCTCATCCAAATGCTCTCTTCGTGCAAGGGTGTTGGCTGAGCCCATCACAGCTTTGGTCTCTGCTGTGACAGGGCAGCACTGAGTTCAATGTAAAGTCTCACAGTTGCTGTACTTTCCCTCTCCCAAGCCTATAGATTTCTCCATGCTGCATGGCTGCTACTAGGGGATGGGGGAGGGGTGGTGGAAGCACTCCCTTAGTTGTACCAGCTTGTGTCTCAGTAGATTGTGTGTCCCTCCAGTCCACTGGCTCTGAACCGATCTCAGCACTAGGACCTGCCTAGGAGTTGCAGTCCTTATGGCCTAGACTGCCCCTTAAGTTCCCTTAGGGTTCCAGAGCACTTTCGCCATGTGGGTGGCAAAGCTTGCCGGACTTCAGGCTCTGACCATTGGGATGGGCGATTTCCCTCTGGCTGCAGCTTGTCCAAATGCTCCCTTGGTGGGCAAGTGTCAGCTGGGTACAACCCAGTTCTGTTTTCTGCTGTGACAGGGCACACTGAATTCAATGTAAAGTTCCCCAGTTGCTGTGTTCTCCCTCTCCCAGTACACAGATTCTCTGTGCTGCATGGCCACTGTGGGGGAAGGGTATGGATGAGAAGAGTGGCATCAGCTATTTAAGACTGCCTCTCCACCGGGCGCGGTGGCTCACGCTTGTAATCCCAGCACTTTGGGAGGCCAAGGTGGGAAGATCATTTGAGGTCAGGAGTTTGAGACCAGCCTGGCCAACATGGTGAAACCCTGTCTCTACTAAAAGTACAAAAAAATTAGCCGGGCATGGTGGCGCATGCCTATAATCCCAGCTACTCTGGAGGCTGAGGCAGGATAATCGCTTGAACTGAGGAGGTGGAGGTTGCAGTGAGCTGAGATCGTGCCATTGCACTCCAGCCTGAGCAACAACAGCAAAACTCCATCTCAAAAAAAAAAAAAGACTGTCTTTCCTACTGCCTTTCAGTGCCTCTCTCAGCTATATGAAATTAAAACCAGGCACTGTGGGCCGGGCGTGGTGGCTCACGCCTGTAATCCCAGCACTTTGGGAGGCCGAGGCGGGCGAATCTCGAGGTCAGGAGATTGAGACCATCCTGGTTAACACGGTGAAACCCCGTCTCTACTTAAAATACAAAAAATTAGTCGAGTGTGGTGGCGGGTGCTTGTAGTCCCAGCTACCCGGGAGGCTGAGGCAGGAGAATGGCATGAACCCGGGAGGTGGAGCTTGCAGTGAGCCGAGATCGCGCCACTGCACTCCAGCCTGGGCGACAGAGCGAGACTCTGTCTCAAAAAACAAACAAACAAACCAAAAAAAAACCCACGCATTGTGAGTGCTCATGTGATTTTTGGTTCTTGTGATGGTGATTTTTGTGTGTAGTTAGTTGTTAAAATTGGGTGTTCTTGTGGGGCTTGGTTGGTAGGGGGAACAAACGGTGTAGGCTTCTATCCAGCCATCTTGCTCCACCTTCCTCTTGATCACATTTTAAAAGTTTCTGCTAAAATGTTAACTCCTCAGAGAAGATTTCTTTTATCACCCAGTCTACAAAAGCCCTCTTAGCTTCATTGATACATTCTAACACTTCATTATGATTTTTCTTCATAAACATTTGTAAGAAACTGACCTTATATGGACATTATAAATTTATTTGTTTGTTCATAGTCTATTTGAAATCTCTAGTATCTAGAACAGTAGCTGGTGCATAGTAGGTGCTCAATAAATTATTAATAAATTAATATTCTATAATTTAAAAAGTATTCCACAAGAATGTTAATTAAAATCAGCTTTAAAAATACCCTTTTGGTTTGGAGATCTGATCCAACATGCTTTTCTCATGGTAGAAATTAATTGAATAAAGTTTTATTTGTTTGTTTTTGAGATAGGGTCTTGTTGCCACCCAGGCTGGAGTACAGTGGCATGATTATAGCTCACTGCAGCCCTGAACTCCTGGGCTCAAGCAGTCCTCCTACCTCAGCTCCTAAGTAGCTAGGACTACAAGTGTGTGCCACCACACCCAGCTATTTTTAATTTTTTTGTGGGGGCACAGTCTCGCTGTTTTACCCAGACTGATCTGGAACTCTTGGCCTTAAGTGATCCTCCTGCCTCAACCTCCAAAAGTATTGCTATTACAGTTATGAACCACAGCACCTGGCCAAGTAAAATTTTTAGACATGTTTCTAAAACTTTTGTGTTATACATTTCAATTAGGATTGCATATTGTTCTTTAAACTGCTTGAACTCAAGAAGGCACAAACACAACACATTGTAGTTTTTTCCCCCAATCTTTTTCTTTCATCATGATCTGTTGGGTTTCCTTTCTTATCTTAGGCAGATCTCATAGTTTTCTCGTAATTTTCAATAATTAAGATATGCCAGTGTAGTCAGTTTAAACCTGCATTCCTCTATTTTTCCTCCCTACTTGAGCAGGTCAGGACTGGCTTCCACAAACCTGCAGGGAATTTCAAGCTCTTCTTTCATTTCACACCTCAGAGTAGGGGCAAAGCTATTTTTAAATTTCCCCTTTCCTCTCTTTTGTATTTGTACGTTTTTGGAATTGGATTTAATAAAAAAAATGGCAAGGTCAACTCCTGTACAAACAGACTCTCCTTCCTGATTGTTGCTACCCCTCTGGATTACACTGGTTAGCGAATGGAACCCTTGGGGAGCAGGCAATACAACTGTTGGCTTTCTCTTGGAGCACAATTGTTAGCTCTTCAGGGAAGTCTGTGTTCTTGTTTTATTTTTTCCTTATATTTTCAGAAGAGTTATTTAAAAACTTTAGTCACAGTAAAAATGTTTAAAACATACATGACCAGTGGTTGTTGAGTATTCTTATACTCTGCTTGATGGGCAAAAAGGGGTTTAACATTTCTGATGTCATATTGGCAATCAGCTTCAAAAGACTCATGAATATGTAGAGCCTTTGAGAAATTCTACTCCTGTAAATTTATGGGCAATCAGCTTTAAAAGACACATGAATGTTCTCACTCATAGGTGGGAACTGAACAATGAGAACACTTGGACACAGGAAGGGGAACATCACACACCAGGGCCTGTCGTGGGGTCGGGGGAAGGATAGCATTAGGAGATATACCTAATGTAAATGATGAGTTAATGGGTACAGCACACCAACATGGCACATGTATACATATGTAACAAACCTGCACATTGTGAGCATGTACCCTAGAACTTAAAATATAATAGTAAAAAATAAAAATAAAAATAAAACACTAAAAAAAAGACACATGAATGTGTACAGCATTTGACTGAGAAATTCTACCTCTGTAAAATTATTCCCCTCCAAAATAAGTCAGAAACATATGAAAATATGTATATATATAGATATTATTACTGTGTTTTTAATAGCAAACATTTGTAAATGAGGTATGAGGTATGAGGTATTGTCATTATACCTCATTTACAAATGTTTGCTATTAAAAACAGTAATAATATCTATATACGTACATAAATTGTACACTTACACAATGAAATACTATAAAGCTTTAAAAATGGTAACTGACATTTACTGAATATTCACTGTGTGCTAGGCATTCTTATAACTTCTTTACATATATTGACTCATTTAATCTTTGCTACAACCCTATAAGATAGATACTATTATAATAATCATTCTATATGTGAGGAAATTGAGGGTCAAGGTGTTTAATGATCTTGCACAAGATCACACAATTGGTCAATAAGACTCGGGTTCAACTTAAGTAGTCCTATTCCAGAGCTTATGTTCAAATACTATGAAGTACAACTTCTCCAATATAAGTAATAAGGTAATTGTATATTTATTTGTTAACATACACATATTTCAGATATAAAGTTGAGTAATAAAAAGAAACAGTATAATATGCATTGAATGAAACAAGTTTTGAATGATGTATAGATAGATATATAGATGTACCTGTTATGCATATTTACAAAAAATTCTTGAATGTATTGGAGTTATATAGCTCAAAATATTAATCCATTGTTATTTTTTAGGTAATACATAGTAGATTTTGGGTGATTATTTTTCTTTACACACATGCAATACTTGGACTCATCTTTATAAACATCTAATACTTGAGAAATAACACAACAGAAACCATTGAAATCCCTGCTCATCTCTATGTAAACTATGGAAAGGGTTTTCTATCTTTTCCCAGCCTAGCATGTTGCTGGTGGCTGTGTACCTCCTGATGTGGTAGGCACTGTGGCTCTATAGGAATTCAGCAGTGAGCTGGAGGAAGAGATTCAGGCTAATAGGGAGCTGAGAGTTGCTGTACGTGCACCTGGGAGCCTGCCGTGGGATACATGACACTATGTTCAAAACTCAGTTGCCCCAAGTAATTTTCATCGAACTTGTTTCTCAAAAAATAAACTTAAAATAAGCCATAGATTCCCTATTTCGCTTTTTTTTTTTTTTTTTTTTTTTTTTTGCTGGTCATATATTGGCTCTTAGCGTGCCTATTGGCATGTTGTTTTAGGTTCGAAGATAAAAAATAATAGTATTACCCAGTACTCTGTAATAAAATGTATTTTAAAATACACGTTTCCCCAATAATAAATACATACAAACTTGTTTAAGTTAGATGTTCGTATAGTCTTGAAATTTTTTGGGGGGGAAAGAAAATATCAGGAAACCATAATCTTGTAATAGTATTTGAACAATTTGACAAATAGATTTCAACATGAAGATTCAAAGGTCCATGTTCAAGAGTTCTCTAGATTTCATAGCAATTTGAACAAATCTATTGTCCCAAGTCATCTTATAAGGGCAAACTTTCCATTAAGCATACTGAGACTCCTCTTCAAAATCACCCCGGTAACTACTTTGCTTCCAAAATAATGACTAATTTAAGAATAGATTGTAAAAAGACAGCATGACTATTAGTAAAGGATTTTTCATTGGTGCTTTTTCATCACTAATGACAGTCAGATTGGGCCATTACTGATTTTGGGGTTCTGACCTCCCTGCAGTTGTCTTTTCAATTGCCCACTTCTCACATAATCAAGAGGGATTACACAAACTTCTCCAACCACAGCTGTGCTTGAAAGAGTAAAGACTCTAATTTCAATGTATGGAGGTGTTTTAGTTGAAGAAACTGCAATTGCAAAGTTATTTTGAATTTATTTGGCACCTTGGTAGGTCTTATTGCAGTTTACCCTTTTATTTTCCCATTTTAAAAATAATAGAAACACAGACCACACAACTTATGGAGAGTTCAAGCCACAGAAGTGAAAGGAAATATCTGCATTCAGTTCTCCAAAGACCTCTTGTTCAGGAAAGTGGGAAATCTTCTAGCCTGGAGTGAGAATAATTGATGTCCACAGGGGGGTTACAAAACAAGAGAAAGGAAAGTGTACTCAATAGGAATTGACTCAAGGATCTTTTTCATCCACCAATGAGCCACCCACAGTTTTTTCTTCAGAGGTTTCTTTTGGCATGCTCCCAGAGAGTGCTTTGAGCTTTCTCTCAGGCAATCTAATATATTGCCATTTCTGTGCCTAGTTTACAGCTTTTCCAAACAGAAACCTGAAAAAAAACTGCCAATGAACAACTGCTCAGCTTTATCAACCTTGTGGGTCTTTCCAGGATATGAGCAAACAACACTGAGGAAAGACATTTCACACCTTTCAGTTCCTAAGCCGCTATCTTTATACAAAGCCAACATATTGTGTACTCCTCAAGCTTTTGCATGAACACTGCAAGAACTCTGGCACCACCGTTATCGGCATTTTCCCAAATCCTTGTCCAGGGAAACAGTTATCCATTATCATAGGAACAAGAGTAAATTTATTTTTGCTGTTGAAAAGGAAAAAAATCATTCAACTTAAAGGATTAACAGATATTAAAATAATATTTGTGTAAGGTTAAGCCTACAGACTGGCAAACAGTGAGCTCTCTTGTACATTAATAATCTGGAGATAATACCTGCTATACTTCAAAGACTTTAAAGGAAGCCTCTCAGTAGCATGTGAATTAATATGAATGATCAAGATTTAATTCAATTTTGAGCTGAATGATCAGAGGCCAGTGTTCAATCATTGTACATTTTGTAGCAATTTGAAAATCTGTAATCCAAAAACATGCTTTAAAGGAAAACTTCTACTTAAGTTGCTCAGCTTGAACGAAGAACACTTTGTATTAAATTTAACAAAATTGGTCATCCCAAATAAAGAACTATGTCACATTTGATGAGTTACTGGAAAATATGGGGGTTAAGTTCATGGGGTAATCATTACAGATCACACACTACATTAAGCTTCATTTCGAAGTATTTGCCAAGCAATACTCTGGATAGTAATGCACAGAACAGACAAAAATAATCTATAAGTAACAGGATAGGAGGGGAATAAGAAGAAAGGTAGGATATCAGCTTAAGTCATCAGAAAGCAGAGCAGGAGATGAGGGCTTATATGAAGGAAGCTTATTTGGGGAGATGATCTGGGGAAGTAGGCATGTAGGACAGGGAATAATGAAACAGGGAAAAAAAAGCCAATTCAAAATGGTGTAGTTGTTAGTTTATCAATGCCGTGGTCAACTAGGCTTGATCCTCAACGGATGCTCTGAGGATCATATGGACTATATCACATGATTTTCTCCTTGTTCCTTGGCTTCTTCTTCTGCCAGGGACAAGAAATGGAAGGTATTATTGGCAAGCTTTCTTCCCTCTTGAAAAAAGATTGTCCTATGGGATGTTAATTTGCTCATAAGCAGTTGCACATGTATAATTGCTAGTGGTCCTATATTGTAGATCCAGAGAAGCTGTGGGGTGGCAAACAAAAGAAGTGTAGTGCTGCTGAAGTGAGGTACTTTCAGGCTACCTCTATGCAAAGATTCTTCCTGAAGCAATGGCTGGAGTAAAAAGTGACTGAGAAAATGTGAGGTGGGGCACAAGAAGTGTTTACCCCTTGGCCTGCTCATATCTGTTCGTGTTCTTCTATGTCTAATCAGTCACAGAATCTTCAGCATTATGACTAGCCAAAATCGCTATAAAAGACTTATGACAGGAAAGTTTGTGGAAAAATTTATGATCCCTGATATATGGTCTTGTGACTTTAGTTGCTAGTCATTATTTTTCTCCTCTATGATTTACTCCAGATTTCTGTCACTCACAACAAGCGCTTCAGTTAGTTTTCCCCACTGGGTTGCTTGCTGCTTTGGTTTTAATGTTTTCCCAAAATTTCATGTGTTGGCAACTTAATCCCCAAATTCATAAGTTGATAGTGTTTGGAGGTGGGGCCTTTGGTGGTTGTTGGGATTAGATAAGGTCATCAGGGTGGGGTCCCAGTGATGGGACTGGTGGCTTTATAAGCAGAGAGAGAACTGAGCCGGCATGCTCTCGCTTTCTCACCATGTGATGGTTTCCATTGTGTAATGATGCGGCAAGAAGACCCCGACCAGATGACAGTGCCATGTTCTTGGACTTCCCAGCCTCCAGAATTTCTGTCTTGGAGATCCAGAGAAGCTGTGGGGTGGCAAACAAAAGAAGTGTAGTGCTGCTGAAGTGAGGTACTTTCAGGCTACCTCTGTGCAAAGATTCTTCCTGAAGCAATGGCTGGAGGAAGCCTCCAGAATTGTAAGAAATAAATTTCATTTCTTTATAAACTACCCAGTCTCAGGTATTCTGTTATAACAACAGATAACAAAGATGTCTGCCTAGTGAAAAAACACAGACCTTCATCTGCAAGGCATCTGAGTCCTCATTTGTCTTCCCCTCATTAAGCCACAGTGTTATAATTTCCAAGTTGTAATTATCACTGGGTACCTAAGCATCAAATACCACCTCAGTGAATCCACAGGATTCCACAAGTACTCTTGCTCACTCTCACTGTGTTGCAGGAACTCTACTTCTTCATAGTAATTTAAATCTATCAATGTTGATAAATAGGAACTATATTCTTTTTCTATTTTTCCACTGGCACAGGTAGTAACAAATAAACAGGTGGTAGTTGCGCCTTCAAGTTGATGGAACTCTTACAGTGGAATTATTCTCAATGCAAAATTCTCTTTTTGGAAATCAGGACCCCTTATCTGGCAGAACCTAAGGTTTCAGGGATGAGAAGCACACCTTGTGCAACTGGTTCATTCTGAGTGATGGCATGAAGACCTACCACGCTTCTACACCTTGGTTTCTGGATTTATGTATTCTAGCTGTTGAGGATGCACTAATATATGTCAGTTGTTGATTGAATGTATATACTATATCCTGAAGAATATTCCTGAGTTCTGAAGGGTATTGTCCTCAAGCTTATACATACCTGAGCTTATAGTAGCCCATTACATTACTGTTTCAGAGTGGCATGATCAATAGTGGGGCAGGGGGATTCTGTCACTTTCCTATTCCTGTACTCCCCCCTACCCTGCCATAAAATGTTATAATTTGGTCTAAGGCAATATTGTAGGAGATTCTACACAGATCAGTCAGGCATTCTGTAAGCCCTTGGATGGTAGTTCTCATGGTGAGAGTCTATACACAGGGAAGGAAAACCCATGTTTGGAATAGACGTCATTTTAATATAGTTAAGACTCTGCCTTCTCCAGTATGAAAAAGCCCAAGCCAATCAACCTGGCAATCAATAGAGACCACTGCAGTTTCTCTTTATCATGTCACTCTGTTTATTTCTTTCAAGATACTTTCCACATTCTGAAATTATCTTACTTGTCCATTAATCCTAAGCAGAGCGCAAACTCCTTGAATTTACAAGTGTTCTCTCTCTTATATAATATTATATACTCAGAAGGCCTGGGATAGAGTATGAACTGGATAAATATTTCTCTTTGCACTCTGAATTGGTACTTAATCTTTGATAATTAATTCCTCAGGGTGCCACTCAGAGGAGAACTTGGATTTATTGAATTCTTTCCACATGCCAGGGAATATACATTATCTATGATGTAGGTGTTTTAATTCTCCCCATTTTATTTGAGGAACCAGTTGACAGTGAACTTACTTAGAGTCACACAACTATACAGCAGGGCTTCTGGATCCAAATTCAGGTTTGTCTGGCTCTGAAACTACTGCATCAGGATGCTTTACAGAATGATGGTTTGGCATCGATTCCTTGCTATTCTCTTTTGTGATGATGTATTATATTTCTGAAAATGTTCCAGACACAGCCAAAACTGAATAGATCATCTGTGCCAACAATTGTTTATTTCCTACTCTGGTGGATGGCACCACTCTCCACTCAGCAGGTCCAGTCAGATAACCAGGAATTATCTCTAACTTCTCTCTTTCTCACCTCCTCCCCAATCTTTCTTTTAATTGCTGTATCTGTTAAACGAAATATCAGGCACACTTACATTTTTGTGATGGGTGTATTCCATTTAGGTTTCTGCTCTTTGCACAATTTCTATTTCTGACAGAAAATTTGAATGTTATACCATCTGTTTAGAAACTGAATACCCACAATCCTATCAGCCACTTGCCAAGTCTTGTCAATTTTGCTTCCTAATATCTCCTAGTTCTGTTTTTTTTCTTTAGTCAACAATTCCTCAAGTTAGTTCATGTCCTTGTTGGTTTCCATCTAGCTGCTAAACCATAGTGGATATTTGCTATTTCTGTCTGTACAAAATATTTTCCTCTTTCTGCTTCTAGTACACCCACCTTCTTTTAGGTAACACTACATTTACAGGTGTTTTTGGGCTTCCCTATCACGGTACCTGATGGCCATGGAGGTGAGTACTAAGCTTGGCCAATTAGAATGTTTCATTCTTTTTTTTTTTTTTTTAAGACACGGTCTCACTCTGTCATGCAAGCTGTAATGCAGCAATGTGATAATAGCTCAGTAAAGCCTCGACCTCCTGAACTCAAGGGATCCTCCTTCTTCAGCCTCTTGAGTAGACAGGACTATAGGCATGATGTGCCACCACACCCAGCACCTGGCTGTTTTTTTTTTTTTTTTTTTTTTTTTTTGTAGAGACAGGGACTCATTATGTTGCCCTGGCTGGTCTCAAACTCCTGGCTTCAAATGATTCTCCCACCTTGGCCTCTCAAAGTGCTAGGATTATAGGTGTGAGTCATGTCCAGGTCATCTCTCTTTTTAACCCACGTTTTTCAAGCTCAAAGGACATGATTCTGAGAGTGCCAAGTTTCTCACCACATACGGGAACCTGACAGGGTGATGGTATGTTTTGAGCCTATTTATCCCATCTAGCTTCTGATTTGAGCTCATTCAATTGAAAAGCATCCAGTAAATGAACTTAGTTTCTTGCCCTGTCACTGGCCATGCCGACATACCTCACTCTGGCTTAACTTTCTTTATGCTTTCTACCCGTTAATTCATCCTCCATATTGCTTGCCAAGTGAAGAATCTAAAATGAAAATTTGCTCAAGTCACTGCTTGTTTAATTCTCCAATAATTTCCCTCAGTTTCTGGTAGTGCAATTCAGTTCAAACTCCTTGGTTTATTATATAAGACTGATGTTTCTACTTCCTTACCTGACCTCCCCACTCCCTGCTCTCTTTCCTTGCTCCGCAATCCAATTTTTCAAATGTATCAAGTTTTATACCTCCATACCATTTTATATGTTGCTATCATTGTCTGGAGAACCTATCTCTCTTTTTGATGTAGTTACTTGGTTCTTATCTTTCAAGTATCAAGGCATCCAGGAAATCTTTCTTCAATCCAAACAATGATCATATTAATTTGTAGTTACTGTTTTACTTGTCCGTTTTCCCTAGCAAAGTCTGAACTTTAGGAAGGCATATGGAATGGCTTATTTGTCTTTATGTATTCTGTGCCTATCACAATGCCCAGCATATAATAAGTGCTCTCAGTAAATGTTGCTTGAATGAATTAATGGGATTACTCCAACATGGAACCTTCTTGGATTTAGCTTTCTTACTCTCCTTGATTTGCACTAATTCCCTACAATGTATGCCAACTGTCAATCTTCTTTCTTATATCTTTGATAGCATGCCTTGATTATGAGCAGAGTCTTTGTTGAAATATATAAACCTTAACTGTATTGGGGCAAATTCTTAGGCAATTTAGTTAAGATATTAACTTCCAAAAAGAGAATTCAAAATGGAAACTGCATAAAGCAACATATAAAAACTTCTCTCCTTTTCCCCTTGAGAAAAATGTTTCTTAGTTTTTGAAAGATTTGGACAAAATAGGGTCCAAAGTCTACTTATGTCATAAATTTTTCCTTCCTGAAAAAATGATTTGACTTTGAAGTATACCAAAGTATTGTGATGATAATGGATCTTTCTGTATATAATTAAGTCAGATGTTATAGCAGAAGTTTATTGACGAGAGGCATAGATGTTGTAAAAGTTCTGATTCAGTTTTCTCACAAAGCTGACGCAAGTGATTTTTTTTTTGTTTGTTTTTTGACCAAGTCTTGCTCGGTCACCCAAGCTGGAATGCAGTGGCATGATCTCAGTTCACTGCAACCTCTGCCTCCTGGGCTCAAGCGATTCTCCTGCCTCAGCCTCCTGAGTAGCTGGGATTATAGGCATGCACCACCATGCCTGCTATTTTTGTATTTTTATTAGATATGTTGGTTTCACCATATTGGCCAGGGTGGTCTTGAATTCCTGACCTCAAGTGATTTGCCCGCCTCTACCTCCCAAATTGCTGGGATTACAGGCGTGAGCCACTGTGCCCAGTTCCGAGTAAAAAATTTGATGGTGAAAATAGAGACAAGAAAAAATATGAAAAAATTACTCATTTTTTTGTTTTTTAGTTTGGCATGATTAACTTTATTAAAGAGATGTATTTCTTCAAGGATAACTGATTCAAATTATTTAATATTAGCTTTTTTAAAATAAACATGTAATAATCTGCCCTTGTGACATTTGACCTCTTGACAGAAGAGATATCTAAAGTCTTTCATTAAAGAGAAGTGTCTGAAAGTGACTCTGGTCAAGATTCTCTGTGTTCAATTTTAGCTAAATTTCAATGTGTGTTTGTGATTGAGTCCGTGTGTGTGCGTGTGTGTGTATGTGAGTGTGTATGCATGAGTACATGTGTGCTAAGGGAAGGGAAATTTTTCCCCAAAGATGAGAACACGTGTGCTCAGAATCTTCCTGTAACAATCCTTTAAATTTACTAGCTTCCTCTGGATATATTTATTTTTTCCTAAGTCTTGGTCCCATGGAACTGTCTTATAATCTATAACTTGCAGTGGTAAGAATCCTTTTTGTTTAGGCACAATGTTCAGTTTATCTGTAATTTCTTTTCTAGGTTCCAGCTGAATCCTGAGCTGCCAAAGTTTCTTACAAACATTCTCTCATATTGCCTTTTTTATATTTTGGGTATGTAATATCTTAATCCACTATTTCAAGGTAACTGTTCTCCCATTCTTTTTCCTTTTTCCTTCAATTAGCCTTAAAATTTGATTAAACTATCTTCTCAAAGTTCCAAGTTTTTTTATATATATATATTTTTATTATACTTTAAGTTTTAGGGTACATATGCACAACGTGCAGGTTAGTTACATATGTATACATGTGCCATGTTGGTGTGCTGCACCCATCAACTCATCTTTTTTTTTTTTCAGAATGTCATTCTTCAGGACATGTAATCAGAACCCCTACCTTCATCTGGAATTATCTCTGCAAACCATCACTTCTTTCTATCTCACTAATCTCTCAATCACTCATTCTCTAATACCTCCACTTACCAGTCCTTTATTAATATCTCTACAACTTACTTATGGTTCAATTTCTCTGTTTCAGTGCAGACTGGAGAAGGCTTTCGTATTTCTGGTTGTATTTACCTCATAAGAATAAAATCTACCCATTTATTTTAACATTGGAAAGAGCAAGCCCATAACTGACAATTTTGAAAAAGATGTTTGAATTTGTGTTTTATGTTATGAAAGATAGTAGCCCATCATCTGTGCCCTGTAAAAATTATCTACATCTTGTATGTAGAAAACAAAGGATAAGAAATACTTTCCTTTATCCCTCACGAACGTATTTCCAGTGTTAACAAGAACGCCCAGACTAACATGCAGAATGGAGCCCTTCTACTCTATTTGACACTTTGTTGGCTTTTAGAACCAAAGTGTCTTCATCCAAAGAGAATGTCTATATTTCATCACATGCAATCCCCTATTTAATTAGACTAGCTCTTTAAAAACTTTTTTTTCTAAATAACATTCTTCCTTTGTGTTTTGACATTATAAATCAGAACAACTGTGTTCTTAGTTCTTCCTGCTGTTCAAAGGGGCAGTAAGTAGCAAGCTGTCCTCAAGGACTAGTTAGGACAGACAAAAGCATCATCTTATATCTATCATAGCCCAAGCATGATCCTGAAAATTGTATTGCAAATTAACTTTTTAAACTGATAATAAAAATGAAAATAAATTCAACAAACATTAAAGTTATTAAAATAATAGTTACTTTGAAATTTTATGTAATATTATATGTTGGTGGGTAGTTGTTATGGAAGTTTAGCATTCAAGGATTTCTCCCTGTTTTGGGAAGCGAGTATGATTAGATTCAAATTAGATTCAAGCCAAATTTAGTTAGGAATATTTTCATAAAGGCATTGTATTTCCCTGTTCTTATGTTCTTAGAATAGGGAAGGTAGCCATTAAAATGAGAACATTAGCTTCATTTTAAGTAGTAACTGTAATTAATATTTATTAAACACTCATAGTATATGAGGTCTATTATACTTCTTGCAGTTAGTAACAGGCACCATTAAGAAAACTGTTCATTAAGATTATCAGGTCTAAGCTGTTAACAATGATGCACAAAAAATTATCCTTATTATTTTAGCCAGTGGGTAATTTGTCTATCTGTGATAATTTGGTTTCTAAATTCAGAAACTATGTCACTAATGGAGAAGAGTAGATAAAAGTAAATGATATTCCTTCCAGTATGAAATTTCTCTTTACAATTTCTAATGTTCGTTGGGATATAAATTTCAACTGAATTTACTCTGCCCAGATTTTTTGAATAAATTTATGCAACCAATCAAGATAATGTTTGTTGCAGGAAACAGTGTCTCTTATCTGTTCATACTACTGGCATTTCACAGATAATTTCTAACTCAGGTCGCTGGTTGCTCAGAACCAGGTGAACGACATTGGGGAGTTGGAGCAATAATTTTCATAATAAAACTGCATGAAAGGAAAATGAAGGGCCTGATTGGGCCCCAGTGTTCCTGGTTAGTGAACCTCTGGTTTAGAGGCAAAGAGTGGCAATGAGCTCATGGTGGCTTCATTGCACCAGGCAAAGCCAGGGACCTTTGGCTATCATTGCTTAGGAAAGAACATCTTCTGTGGATTTCTTTCTACAACCATCTTGTTTGGGTATATCTTAACATTCAGATGGGTTGCTTGAAAATATTTACTTTACAATTGGAAATAAAACAATTTGATTTCATGGTCCCTCTTTGGAGGTCACATTTTGATGGTGTTAGGATTTGGTAACAGTTTTACAGTTACTTCTTCACAAAATGGTAGACCGTAGCAATCTCTCTCAGGGTAGTCCACGTGAGGAGGTGTTGGCCACAGCAGACAAAGCCATAGGCCCAGGATGACCTTGCAAGTTAGTCCCTGTTCCTGCTTCCTGCAGGAACACCTTCAAAGTCACCTTTTTATTTGTCTTTTAGGTCAATTCATATTTCCTGGGATTCTGTGTTCTGGGGCTGTTTTGTCTACCTTATCTTTACTACTTACCCTCGGCTTGACTACCATATTGTTTTCAGAGGAAGAAAAGACCTAAGCAATCATTATTCTGAAATTCCTTCTGGAATAGTCATTTCTTGTACTTTCTTATGCTTATTATTCAAATATGAGTTATATGAGGACATTGAGAATGCACATGGCCTTCAGATTTAAAGTGAAAGCTTATTCATTATAAGTCATTGTAGATGTTATAGTATTAAAAGTGCCATTTTGGGGGGGTGGGGTGATACATGCTGCATATACATGTTTTTCAAAGGAGATGTGCCTTAGCATGTGCCTTCCATGACTACTTATTCCAGTTCTAGCACATTGCCTCCTCCATACCCACTTGTCCAAATGCAGGTACTTGGTCTTTAGCTCCCCTGAGTAGGAAGATTTCTATATTGAGACAGACAAGGTTGTCCCCAACATAAAGATCAGAGACAGAGAGCCAGGAATTTCACTGTCCCTCAAGTTTTACTCTCCTTGGATTCCTGTCTTATTTCTTAATTTTTGAATAGTGTTTATTTCTTAATTATAATGATAATGTACTTTCACAATCACAGCAAAATAATCAAAATCAAGAAATTACAATATTACCATGAAATCTATAGACTATTTTAAAATTTGTTTAGTTGTTCCAATAATGTTCTTTTTGATCTCAGGATCCAATTCAAGATCATGCATTGTATTTAGTTGTCATGTCCTTGGCCTCTTTCAATAAGAAATAGTTTCTCAGTCTTTTATTAACTTTTAAAATCTTCGCATTTTTGAAGAGCATAGATCAATTACTTTGTAGAATGTCTATTTAGATTTGTCTGATGATTCCTCATGATTTATAAATTTTTGGCAGGAATGCCCCAGAAGTGATGCCATGCTCTCCTCAGTGAATCACATCACATATGTCAACTCTCCCATTAATGGTGCTGTTAACTCTGATTAACTTGGTGAAGATGAGGTTTATGAAGGCTCTCCAGTGAAAATTTAATTAACAAGTATGTTGTACTTATGAATTCATAAGAATATTTTGAGGAGATGCATTGAGACTATGTAATGTTGTATTCCTCATTACAATTTCACCGGTCAGTTTTAGCACCAAGGATGATTCTTGTCTGAGTCAATTATTACTATTGTGGTTCCCAAATTGTAGTTTTCTAATCTGATTATTCCTTGGCAATCTACTGTTTTTTTTTCTTTACAAATATTGTTTATTTTAATGAAGCTGGTACAATGTCTCCATTTAAAACCCATATCCCAGGCCAAAAAGTACAAATAAAAAACAGCAGTGTTCTGTTGTATTCATTTCTGCATGTATAGCTTTATTAATTGATAATGAAAATTAGTACTTTTCTGGGATCTTGTGACAAGACTTAAAAAAAATCTTAAAATGCCTTTTCTTCAGTGAAGCCATCTTTGGAGTAGTCATTACTCTCACCTTATCTGTCATCTTGACTTCAACCTGATATTCTTCTTCTTTTGGTCCAGACTCTCAAATTTTAAAAGTAGCTTCAAGTTAAGGAAAGGACATTTTTCCACAGTTCATTTCTCTGAAAAACTTCCATCTCCCACTGAAAGTCACAGTCCAGGCATGAAGCAATCACATGTTAGAACATCAGGGCCAATTGGAAAGTCATTATGAACACTTGCATTGGTCAATCTTATTTATCACCACAAGCCTGAAAATGCAATGTCCTGAAAAAGATGGCCTTTCTGTGCACACATAATTTTTAAAAAGGAGAGGGCACTATGAAGGGGACTGAGGCTTGATCACCAAAAATCAGCACAATGAAAACAAACAATAATTAATAATGAGCACTAGAACTACAATTGGCAATCTACTATAAGGTAGAGTTTTCCCTTCTTGCCAATTTACTTATTTTTATCTGTATGATTTATGGATTTTTATGCAAAGGGATATACTCCATTAATATAATTTATTTTGGATGTGCAAATTTTCCTACAGTTTGCAAGCAGGCTGGTTGCTTGTTTTATTTGACATGTCCTGATATTTTTTGAGCAATTCCTTACTTTGTAGTACAATAAGATGGCCCATTTCCATTTCATATTTTTCCATTCCTAGCTGTAACAGTCAGCTGTTTTTTCAGAGAGTCCTGGTTTCTTTTAATGAAGTATGAGATTTAGAAACCATTTTCTGAGTGCTAGGTGTGCTCATTATAATTAGTTGCATTATTGGAGGCTTTCTCTATCTATTGGAAGAGCTAAAAAATTTGTGTATGTATTCAAATACACTATCTATCTATCTATCTATCTATCTGTCTACCATCTATCTGTCTATCATGAGTTCACATTCCAATTCACCACCTTAGGCCTCTTTCTCCTTTCCCCTTGTAAAACTATTCTTCATTAATAAGAAACCTGACTCTTTTTATTCATAATATGTTTATGTATTTGTTTAACCTCTCTGTAGCTAACCAACTTCTAGTTGTATCTGCCTAAAACTGACCCACCATTAAAATGAAGGGGAAGGAAGAGGCAAGAAAAAGGAAAAAAGAATAGTTAGAAAGCTGGGTCCTGGACATGCCACATTCTCCCTCCCACCACCACTTTCCATAAAGAAGGTGGTAAAGGAGAAGGGGTAACTCTTTTGTTATGGCAGTTAGCATAGTATGTTACACATAGCAGACACTCAATATGTATTAATGGAATGAATAAAGGATATTTCTGGGGCAAAAATTAATTTTATCTGAGAATATGCCCTCCTTAAATATTTGAAATAAGGATTAATCTTCCAAACAAAATTATTTGGCATTAACTTATTTAAATAACAGGATGAGTTGGATAATCTGCTGAAGGCCTGGACTGAATCAGAGGTAGAGAAAATATCAGAATGCTAAACTGTTACCAGTTTGGTTATTAGTTTCTCTGCTTCCGTTTTTTTGTGACTACCATTTTAATATTTGCATTTGAATTTTGGGAAATATAAAAAATTTTCAATTTCAAAAATCTTCTTCAAACCTCCTTTTGAGAAAAGCTTTCCTATTTTCATCTAATTTTTGAAGAACAGAGGGTCAAAGTTAGACAGAATCCCTAGAAATCAGAATTGGTGGGCTCTAAACCATTGGTTGAGCCACTTCTGCAATGTTAAAACAGTGACAGTTTGTATTTACATGGTACTTTCTACTAGCTAATTGCTTTATTTTCAGTTTTCATAGAAATTAATTTCAAAACCTACATGAAATATATAGGGTGCTTGGATCAGTTACTGAAGGATAATAACGATTTTTCTTCACAGAAAGTCTTTAGAAAAAGTATCTTTCTTTCATTTTGAGATGGACTTTCCCGTCCTGAATCCAAGGGGCTATCTTTAGAAATTGTCTTACAGATAGATAGATTTTAAAATATTCGTTGTTAAAATGCTTTATTAATCTACAAAATTTTCAGCTGTCTTTTCTCACTTAATAGTGTCAGGCTTCAATTCCAGTGAGTATCAGAGGCTTTGAGAAGTCTAGTGCAGTTGCCAGGGGCAATAGTTTTAATTTTTATGAAACAATTTATCTTCCCCTGGACATAATTTATTTTAGCCATGGCCTAATTTCTTTGAAGACTTAGTCCCAAGTGTCTGTGATAATTTGTAAAACTTGATGAGGTAATCTGGAGTTTTCCACATGTCAGTGTAGGATTACTGCTTCTGATTTTGCAGACAGAAAACTGAGAGACATAATAAAGTGAAAGATTGCACTACAAGTCAGCAGAATGGCTAAACTAGGTCTCAGTCACTTAATTCGCTATGGCTATGTGATTAGAAGATCTCTACCTTGTTAATGTCTTTTTTCAGTCTGATTTCCATCCCCACGTGTGGTCTCTTTATTCCATACATGAAGCTTTATTTGTTTCAAAGGCATTCCTACACAGAGGAGAAGAAACACGCAGTTAGACTGATTGGTATTCTGCCTTGGGATTCATAAGGATGTTTGTTGAAGACTAATACTGTGAGCAGGGCTAATGATGTGGAATTCAAGATGAAGACTCAATTCTTGACCTATTGTTTAAAATTATATAGCTACCTGATACAAATTTGATGGTGAAAACTATTGGTCATGAGTGTTCATCTAATAGCTTTTAAAGCCAAATAATTTTGCATGGTAATCTCTTCACTAGTGACAAGAAACTCTGTGTTGCAGAGTCTTCCTTATCTGATTTTAATAACTTCTCCTCTAGTATTCTCCTAAGCCACCAGACATGTTGATTGATTTGTGAGTATTCAGAGTCAAAACTGATTTTAATGTTGATCCTGGTAAAATATTATCCAAAAAATAAAACTGACACTCCTCCTCACTTTCTTCTCAAACTATTTTAAATATTTTAAAGAGAAATAAAAATGATATCTATTTCTATTTTTAGAACATTATTTCTATCCCTGCTGCCCTCCATCATTGCTGATCACCCCAAACTGCAGGTTAACTTTGGGTTTCTTTGAATTCATGTTGCCTTTCTCTCTTAGTGTGCTCTGTGTGAATTGTAACAACCCAGTATGAACTCCCATCCTACCCCCCAATCAGTGACTCATTTAATATGCATAAACTAATAAAAGAATGGTCAAGTATAACATTTTGCATATCTGTTTGTAAGGAAAAAGATTGGAGATGCTGATTTGGAAACAGATTAGGGGAAAAAATATCCCTTTTCTTTATGCCCAGGAGCTCACATTGACCACTCTCCTGAAGGGGAAGAGATAAGACAACCTGAACACCGCTTAAGAAGTATATCTCTTAAAGGCCAGACATAGTGTTTCATGCCTGTAATTCTAGTGCTTTGGGAGGCAAGAGGATCACTTAAGGCCAAGAGTTTGAGACCATCCTTGACAACACAGCAAGACCCCATCTCTCCCAAAAAATAAATAAATAAATAAATAAATAAATAATAAAAAATAAAAAAAAAGTTACCTGGGTGTTTTGGTGCACACCTGTAGTTCCAGCTACTTGGAAGGATTGCTTGAGACTAGGAGTTTGAGGTTACAGTGAGCTATGGTCATGTCACTGCACTGTAACCTGGGCAGCAGAGTGAGACTTGTCAAAAAAAAGAAAAAAAAAGGAAAGAAAGATATCTATTAAGTAAGAGAACATTCTCACTGAAAAGAGATCTTCTATGGAGTGAGGAGATGTCTATTTGGAATGACCTGCCTGTTATCTTCACTTATTGTCTTTCAGCATTCCAAATAAATGTGGATGAATGATAATACTGTCGTCCATAGGACTCACAAAAGCATTGACTGGGTGGGGGCTTGCCCAGTAAAATCCAATTTGGTGCTCAGTTGAGTAGAGACTTGTAGCATGAAAAGCAACTTGCTAGTTTTAGGATCCATGCTAATTCTATCTGCTCTTCTCCTGATTTGACCGCTGCTGCCCTGCTGTGTTCTTGCTCTAGGCTGTGCAAAGAAACAGTTTTAGAGGAAATCATAAACATCTGATTTAATTAAAACCATTATTAACACCACTTTTCATCTCATTTCTTCAAGTGCCAAGGTATAGATTACACTTGAACAATGGTGATGTGATAAATACATAGGGAGAAAACACAATTCTTTTATGGCTTGTAAAAGATAGAGCAACACAAGAATAAGATGCCCTGTAGTAATTAAGCATTTCCTGGTAAGCAGTTTCCTTTAAAGTTGAGGTTTCCAGGGCTAGCAGCCAGGGTGGTACATTCAAGCCTTTTCACTCCAGTCAGAAAAGAAAAAAAAAAAAAAAAAAAAAAGGAGGGAAAAAAAACAATCCTAGTTCAACCATCTGATCCTATGCTGAGGTATCCAGTGCTGTTATTTAAAAGCCACAAGTCTCAGGGACTGTGTTATTTTCTGCTCCAGCTGTATAACTGGCTTTCATGTAGATACCCACATTAAATGCCAAGAAGAACCATATTAATTCTCTTCATTTGCTACTAACTCTTATACATTTACATTTAGTTTGAAGAATTCATAAAGTTTAGCCATATGCTGTTACTAATATTGGTAATCACTGGATAAAATGAATAAATTTTTGTTCACTTGTGGGTGTTTCTTGTGGCTAAATATATTCCTTGTTTTTCATGGGTAACTATCTTATTCTGGTTTGCTTGTTTTTTTTTTTTCTTTTTTCTTTTTTAGGTTTTAAAACTGAAATTTCCACACTCCAAAAATCCATTTAGTGGCAAACCAGGTTGGTTCGTAACCCTAGTTATGAATGACTTTCAATTCTACTATTTGATTCTTTCCTTTGGGAAATTTTCTTTTGAGAAATACCTCAAGTATAGTTAACACTTATTGAGCGTTTTAATATATGCTTAGTACTGTTTCAGTCCTTTAAATGAATTCACTTTTTTAATCCTTTCAAATCTCAATGCAGAGGGTTGATTTATACAGTTGCACAGGTATGTGCTGTACAACTTTAGGGAGCACCAATCACAGAGATGAGGTGGCCCTGATGAAAAAGGTAGGTATGATTATTATCCCTATTTTATAGATGACAAAAGCGAAGCATAGAAATATCAAATAACTTGCCTGTGATCAAACAGCTGTAAAGTAGTAAATGGAGTTTACCCTGGCAGTCTTCTTTGAGAGCCCACAATGGGGCTATATTTAATCACAATTGTAATAGTAATCTTTATTCACATTTGCAAGCACATTTATGTATATGATGTCTTTCTGTCTTTACTCCCTCAAAGCTGTCTTAGAATTGTTGCATTTGTGGTGCCTAACCTGGTAATTTTTCTCCAACTAAATTGCTCAAATATATCTTTCATTTTTCTTTTCTATTTTCCTATAATTACTGTTGAACAGAGTGGTGCCTAAAAATATGCATATCCTTCCTAGTTCGGTATGAAAATATTATTGTCTACAGACAACAGTGTCCAAAAGAACTTCCCACAATGATGGATATGTCCCAGAGCTGCACTGTCCAGCTCAGTTGACCCTAACCACGTGTGGCCCCTGAGCACTCGCAAAGTGTCTCGTATGATTGAAAAACTGAATTTTAAATTTTTTACAATTTTAATCAACTTTAGATTAAATTTAAATACCTGCATATGGCTAGCAGATACCATATTGGACAGCACAGTCTTTAACACATTTATTGTTTAAGCATATCTTAAAATTAATTATGAAAATTATACTAATTGATTCATAAGTTAGAAGTGCACCTGTCAGCTAGCTTCTATGGAATTAGACATAAAAGGAAAAAGAGATAAAGACTTTAATGAGGGAGAATCCATAATAAGGGAAAGGATGCTTTCATTCCTATATTACTCTTACCTAATAATGTTCCTAAGAGTGCAAAGAGGATCACAAAGTAGACTACTTTGGGGATCATAAAATTCATATTTAGAAATTTTCATGGGCACTGGACATAGGGCTTAGAGTCATTAAATTGAAGATGAATGTGAAAATCATGGCTTTTAGGAAAACCTTGCAAAAATTATCTCCAAAATATCAATTAGCCTTGGGTATTGTCTATGTCCTTCCACCATCTATGTTTATTCACAATTTTACATATAATGTGTGGAATGTAAATGCAATTTGTTTTCTACTATTTTAATACATTTTTGACAAAAGATATAACTGAGGTTTGTACTAAAACATACTTGGGAAATTTCTGCAAAACAAAATCTACCCCGAGTAATAAATGTTTGTCCTTTGTCCTTTGACTCCTTTGAATGATTGAGTGGAACAGTTGGAGATACCTAAATAGGGGTGGTTATTAAAACAAGCTGTATAGCTAATTTCTCAATTTCAGGCCTTTTCTTGGCCTTGCCTGACTATTTTTGTTGCACATCATTAATCTTGAAAAGCATACTCACAGGGAAGCCACCTTATGGAAGCAGCCCAACAGGAGCAGGTGTGTCCGTTATTGAGCAGCCCCTGAGCACTGCTGAGGCCTTTGCTGTCGGCCACTGCTTCAGGGCTCAGCCTCTCACCAGAGCCCAGTTGCATTTACCTTGCCAGTCAAAGCTTCCCTTTGCCTCCAGGAAAAAAAGATTTTTAAAGGCCCCTGTGCTGACTACTTCCTGAATCTCAGTTTGTAGTTGAGCCACCTGCAGTCATGGATGCCTTCTTCTCTAATTTCTCTTGTTCACTTAATAGTGATGCCATCAGGTAGGGTTGGAAGATAAAATATGGGATGGTCAGTTAAGCTTGAATTTCAGATAAACAACAAATAATTTTTAAAGTTAAGTATATCCTGCATAAAATTTGAGACATACTTATACTAAAAAGTTATTTGTTGTTTATCTTAAATTCAAATTTAACTGGGCATCCTGTGTTTTGATTTGCTAAATCTGGCAATGCTACATTAGGGCCGCTTTCCAAATCTTAGCAGTGAGGAAAGAGCTCATACAACTCAAACTTTGTGGGAAGATATCACAAAATAGTGTGGTTTATCTTTCAGGAATACCAAGTATGCTTTTCTTGGAGTGACTAAGACTTTGATAACAGGAATAATCACTGAATTTGGGTCTTGGCTATGACAAAACAGTGTTGATGGAACTAATAACTTATTAACTGGCTCTGGCTGGGTGCCCCATGGAGCTTCATTTAATCACCACAGAACAACAATTTAAACTGCAGAAGAAGGTCAGTGACTAATTCAGGCTCTAGAATTCTTTTTTCTTTTTTTCTCCTATGGAGATGTGAAGAGCAGAACTAAATGAAGTAGCCTCAGTTCTGAAAGTTGCTTGCGTCCAAGAATAAGACGTGATATTATTAATAATTTGCAGGAGATTTGTTGTTATAGCTAGCTGAATCTGCAGAAATTGGAGCAATATACTTAGAGGTATCAATAGAAAAAACAGTCTCACAATGATTTACAATGCACAGTGTAGAACTGAAAAAAAGAAGAGAATGCATACATTGCTATAATAAAGTTCTTATTAAATGGAGTCGATAATATAGGCACCAATGCCTTGTTCATTAAGCTGCTTATGACAAAAGGGACAGAATCAGGAAAGCAACATGACTTTGCAGTCCACTTAGCAACTTCTGTCTCTATCAGAGGTAATTCTAAACTTCAGGCAAAGCCACAACACTCAGTCCCAAACATAGTGCTTTTTATAGCCGTCTGAATTTGTTTCATCTCCCCTTTATTCTTGGATTAGTGGCTTTAAAATGGAAATGTTGGATTCATTTCAGTTATTAGGCTGATGCAAGCATTGTAATTCTTTCTTTTGAATTCTTAAATGTGTTGATTGTACTCTGGGAATTTGATGGTTCTTTTTAAAAATACTGTGTTTGTTCCATTTTTTCTGATGTAATTGCTTTTACTATTAATTCCCAACTCAATTATATTTGAACTTTTGTAGAGGAATCAAAGAGACACAAAAGGCATTCTAAATGATAAACTTCCATTTCTTCTTTCAAAATGCAAATAAAACTAGTTTGGAAGAAATTGGAGGGAAAGAAATTGCTTTAACGTGGAACTTATTTTGAGTCTGGAAGTCTTGGTTTTTTAAAAGAAATACTCTGGTGACCAAAACAAATGGTGGTGAGTTGGTGACACAATAATTGGCAGCCTCTGGTGTCCAAGGCCATTTGCTTAAATTATTTATGTCTCAAAACTGACAGGAATTTCATAAGAGCAAATATGGCAAGTCCAGTGGGTGTCATTTATCTGCTGCAATCACACATCTAATTGGTGGCAGGTCTCATCTGCCAGAGCTGATGCCTTAAAAACCCAGGGGAAGAATTTATTTCAAGACAGTCCCACACCCATTACGGTTTGATTAGTCTTTCACCAGCTCGATTCCATTCATTGCCAAAAGAAGGTTGACACAAAGAAGAAAATTCTTCTAATGTTGTCTGCTTTAAAATAACTCAGTAACAGGTATTATTACTGAAACATCTCCTTAGACTTTGAAATGATCTTTTAACCCCCTTTTCTTAAAAAATACTCTAAAAATTACCTGAAACTAACTGAATTATGATTTTTTATTGTACAGTGGTGTCATATGTGGCTATTATAGTCTGGCAGCCTCCTAGGATGGGTTTGCAGTTATGTCTCTGGGACTCAGATGGTCCTTGATGTCTTCTCCCATCCCTCATTAACTTGATTTTCTCCCTCTGTGGTGCCTTCTGGCAAGGCTGGTAGAGATGGGATGTAGTTCCATTGTATTTGCCTTTGGAGCTGGAATAGGAAATGAGCAAAATTAAATTGCCTCAAGACAATTTATATAGTCTTCATTATGTACAGATGACTGGCTCCTTTTACTCATTTTCTTGTGAACTTTGGAGAAATGTTCACGGAATCTATGATCCTTAAAATTTATCTTATAAATTTTAAGAAATAGGTTTTTAATGCTTGAAGAGAGCAACAAACTTATAAAATATTCATTGCAGTTTGTATTTATTTATTTTTGCCTTGGGCATTACAATAAACTTTAAATCAATGACATAATACTCTTCAGACTTAAAAACACTTTATATTCCATATTTTTATATATTTTATTCATCAAAACTCTATGAAAGTAAGCTGTTCAGAGTAGCATGGTCTTTGTTCACAATTAAATTGTTAAAGTTATAATCAATTTATGCCAATTGAAAGTTTTTTCCTTTGGACATCCAGTAGGTAAAATGAATTAGTGGTTGTCAGTGTCATTTATGGTAAAAAGAGGACCTTCCCCAAATAGTTTCTGAAAAATAAATACGGTCCTATTCACAAGTAAAAGTTATGAGGAAACACATTCAACTTTTATCTCATTGGCAGGGATTTGGGAGACTAGAGAACTTAACTATAGTTCAAGGGAGTGTTAGCTCATACAAGGGACAATCTTTTTTTTAATTTATTTTTTATTTATTTTATTTTATTTTTGAGATGGAGTCACGCTCTGTCGCCTAGGCTAGAGTGCAGTGGCGTGATCTTGGCTCACTGCAAGCTCTGCCAAAGGCCAATCTTAAGAAGAAAGAATAGTCAAATGGTCCCTAGAAGAGAAACATTTAGTTTCAAAAATATTCTACTAGGGGCAAATAAATTAATAAAATACATAAGTAAGTAAGTAAGTAAAAGAGACCTGTTTGTCATTGTAACTTGTTTTTCTATTTCTTTGAATTATCTTTTCTTAAATCTGTGATATGTAGTTTCTTCTCAGGCTGAACACAAATATAAAACTTCTTATTGTTACAGACCCAGACACTAAAGGCAGTTGCACTAGCAGGGGCAAAGCAAAAAGATTTCTTCTCCCCAAAGGGGGCCTTTTAACCTTTATTAAGTGGGTTATCTTTTCAGTGGTACCAGGCTTTCCTCGATCTTCTTAGATTGTGCGGCACTCATTTCTCCAGGTTGGCTGAGGAAATTGCTTCTCCTGCCACCTTGGACTACATCCACTTTAAATGTTTGTGGACTTAGTGTGACAGTGGAAGCCTCTCCATAAATCATTTTGAGATTTGCTCAGACTTTTAAGAGTGCCTCTGGTCCAGGCACATGTGAAAAGGTTTAAGTCATGCAAATATCATGAATAAATGAGTTGTATTCATCTCTAACTCCTGTGTTTACAAAGATGGCCTGGGCAGCTGGAAAAGCAGTCAAACCTCACTCAACACTTGACATTAAGTTTAACCTCTGCCTAAGGAAATAAGCACTTAAAATCTGCTGAATCACTCGATTCGCACATGTCTTTCCATGGGAACCTTAGACTAGGGGTTTTCTGATATACCCTTTGACCGGGTGTGCTTGCAGTGAGAAAAACTCTTATTATTCTTTCACTGCTCAGCTTGAGGTTTTGGAATATAGCTCCTTCTTTTAAACATACTAAGATACTTGAAATTTTAAAGACTTCCTTTCTTAGCCATTCTTGCCTTCTAATTCACCTCCCAGGGTCCTGTGAACAGCTGATTTCTCTGTTTGGTTCAGAGAACAGCAAGAGATGACACTCTGTCACATCCAGATCAGAAAAGACAGGCAGGTGAAATGCCTGGGACCACTTCTATCCAGCTGATGACTAGTCTGAAAACATCAGGCTTCTCAAAGCTACAGAAAATGTTTCCTCATTAAAGTATTTTTAAAGGAATATCTTTAATTGCATTGTATCTAGTCAGTCAATGAATGAGCTTTGTCTCAGCACCTGTAGATAAAGTATTAGCGAATGAGGACCTGGGAGATTGGACATGGTCTCTGCCATCAACAAACATGCAATACCATAATAATAAACATCCAAGGGAAATAGGTGTATGCGGAAAAACATAACTACTAAGCAGGCAGAACGTTTACTATTAAAAGAGAGAGTTGATGTTAGTAGGGAAAACTTCCAAGAACAGCTTTAATGCTTAAGAGTGAACATTAGTTTAAATATGACAGAAAACAGTTATGAATATTCAATTCGTCCCTCCATGAACTACACTCAGCACAAAACTGATTAATTGCATAACTACATTACCTTTTATGTGTGTGAGATACACTGAAGAAATTAATAGCTTTCATTACGGAAAAAATATACATCTTCTCCCAAGGGGTTGTGTTATAGCCTTCCTCAATGTGTCCTGTTTGCTCTGGCAGGCTCAAGAGTCTCTGGGCAGAATTTTTTTTTTTTTTTTTTTTGGAGTGGGGAGGAGCAATAGTCCCTCTCTTTTCCTCATATTAGATTGTAGCTCATTCAGGAAGTGTGAAATCATGGTATAGCTGAATTGTCGACAGAGGTGCTACTACACAGCATTAATGTCTGTTATCAGCATACAGTGAAGAAAGTTGGTTGAGAAAGAGTTTTCTTATTACCTTGGTGTGGAGGTGTTAATGTGTATTCTGTTAACTAAAGATAATATTAAACTCGTTACCCTTTTTTGTTTCTGTAGGGGACAAAGCATGGTTAAATGACTATTACAAGCATATAATTGAAGATTATAAGGAAGAGAACAATTCAGATGTTCTGAAAGGGTGATACATTTCTTTAATCTACTGTGAATTTTATGGATTGTAGAGTCAAGTCTTTGTACTATATTGTGTTGTGAAAGCTTACAGAGGATAAGACTAATTTAAATTTTAATTGTATATCATTTCAAGATATTAGATTAAGCTATCAATGACAACTAAGAACAACAATCATAATAAGCTTTTATTGAGCCCTGTGCTAAATTCCTTAGATTTATTTTGAATAGAAAAAAAAAAGAATTAGTAGTTATTTTTATAGCCATCTTTTATGAACAGCCTATGAATAATACTAAAAGAGAGTGGTGAAATAAGAGTTCTTTCTTCAGTTGCTTAGTAAGATGGCATATGCAATCTTTAACACTCAATGTAGTCCTAAATTGGAGTCTCTTTTTCTAGTTGGATTTCACATATCAGACAAGTTGATAAAAATGCCTTTGAAGCTTTCAGATAAGGAGTCTGAAGCTGAGACAAGCAAAAATGTTTTTTTTTGAGTAGCACATAGCCAATTCAGGTAAAATCAGTTTTGTTCATACTAGCACATAAATAAAAATAGGTCATAACATTTTCTTAGGAATGTATAGAGACTTTCAAAGTACTCTGCACCAATTTCACATATTTTCCACATGCAATTTTTTTAGAAGAAAAAAATTATTCTAACTATTTACTAAATAGGAAAAGTCATGGGCTCTAAAGCAATTTTCCTAAAAGCAATTTACTGAAGTTTTCCACAAGCCAATTCACTAAATTACCAATTCAATAACAAGTAATTGGAATATAATACTAAGAATAATATGCTCATAGCCATTGAACACATATTTAAAATGTTTCTTAAAATATATTTTATAAATTAGTACATTTGATGAATTTGTCATTCTGCAAATTGATTTTTTAGTGAATTGGCCTGCTTTCAGACTAATAGATTCATTCCATTCTATGCTAAATAACACATTTAATGTACACATACTATGTGCCAGGGATTGGTTGCTTAATACTGAATGAGGTAGTCCTTGCCATTAGAAAAATTACAGTTTGGTGGAAGAGGTAGTCAAGAACACCATCACAGAGCAGAGTGCCATGGTAGGAGAGTTATAGGAACACAGTGGGAGACCTTAGGGGAGAAGTAGCTTATTTCATCTGGTTATTGGCCACAGGAGGCTTCTGTTTTTTTTTTTTTGGTTGAGATGGAGTCTCGCTCTGTTGCCCAGGCTGGAATGCAGTGGCTCACTTGGCTCACCGAAAGCTCTGCCTCCCGGGCCCACGCCATTCTTGGCCACAGGAGGATTCGAAAAGAAGCTGTTTTAGCTGAGATTTAGAGGCTAAAAGTGATTTCTCCAGGAAGTAAGCAAGTGATCAGAATGTAGGTCAAAAAATGAGAATGTGCTAAGACAGTCTTTTTCAAACTGATATCTGTCCTGCCTATCTTCCAGGGATCCTCTGAAGCACTATACAAGGTTATGGTGTAATTATTATTGTGATCCAGACTATTCGGTTTATATGTACATGCATAATTATCATAGCTAATACTTTACGTAGTACTTACAATACAATGTGCCAGGTACACATTAAGTCATATACGAATTCATAGTTATAATGTCTTATAACTGTCAGAGTAATTTTATGAGTTAGATAATAGTATTATCCCCCCTTTATAGTTGAGAACACTGAGAACTGAAACCAGGTGGCACTGAACAGGATTGAAGTTCAGGCTATGGCTGCACTTAATCTCAATGTTTACTGTATTCCAGGAGACTCTTTGGGATTCTTGGGTCATGTAGATTTCTTTGTCCCTACCTATTTTAGACATCTTTTAAATACAATAAAGAGATCACAAACTATTGGATTTTGGGATGTTTTTAATATCCTTCCCATATCACTTCTGTGATGGGTCACTTCTCTCTGATGTATGTATGCCTGCCTCTAAGAATCGGTCTTCTTATTCATATTATTGTTTCTTCTGATTACTCAGGGCCCAAGATTAATTAACTAGACTATTAGAATTATGTCTAAAATAATAGAAGTGATCATGGAAAAAGCCCAAGGTGTATCCTGTGAGTGAAGTACTGGAGTATTTGTACATGGACTTGTTAACATTCATATTGATTTTGCTGTTTTTCTTTGCGGTTGTTCTGGATAGCCAGAGTTAGCAGCTATCCATGGTGACCACAAAGCCTAGATTTCAAGTAGTTGGTCTCATATTTAGAAATAATTTCAGTCCATATGTTCCAATTTTGATCACAAGCTTTTGTTCCTATACATATAAGGAACTTCCAGAGAAGCATTATTGAATTACGTGTTATCAACAAGAAAGTCAGGCCCCTGGGTTGTAAATCATACAGGTTTTTCTAAAATTACTTGTACTCTTGAGTTTATTAATGTGAAGAACAAATTTCCAAAAGGAATGTAGGAATTGGAGAAGAAAAGACTCATTTGGTTGGTTGTCCAGCCTTTCTTCTGACTGTGCCAAGTGTAAGTTCTGGTCTGGTTTTGAATAACTCAATCAGGAAAGTTTCCTAGGTCTCACTTTCAGGAGAGTCATGGCCTAATGATGGTCACATTCAGGAATGCCTTCCTGACTTTCAGCACAGACATCACTCATGACTCTGGTAATGCTAACCCAGGACTGCAATATATCTTGCTTTTATGGGTCTTTGTGTATCAGATGAAATACCAGATAATTATGTAAAATACCTTGGATGGATCCCAGAACAAAAGTTTTCAAATGGCAAACAGATTAATCATACACTAAAGGAAGGCATAGGACCCACTTGTATGCTATTAGATAAAATGGACATCCCTGAGGAATATCTTACTCTGAAAAAAATGCCTCGAGCAAGAGAAAAATCAGCAAAAACTGAAGAACAGTCCAAAAATTTCTGTTTTCTCCAAATTCTAGATGTTCTTCCTTTCCCCTCTCTAGTCTTCCTTCCCCAACCTTGCAGGAGTTAGGCAAGGTGTCTTTGTAACAAATGTTTGCCTGCACACATATATACTCTAAGCATTTGCTTACTCATGCATATTGCACTTTTGCACTCAGCTCTTTAATGTTGTTCCCAAAGTCCTATGTTCAAGACTTTTTTCCATGTCCAAAGCATCTGTGATCTTATATTTTATTTTGATGCTACACAAACTGGGCTAGGAAAACTGCCCAGAAGCTGTCTTTAGTATTCTAGTGGCTTTCTAGATCTGTCTAAAGTGGACAGACACTGGGTACTGTTCCTTTTGGGTCTTTATATAAGATCGTTCTTTTTTTCCAAGAACACTCAAGGAGCTATACTCCTAAAGCCTGTACAACTTGAATTAATTCAAGGATATAAGCAGGTAAACAGACTTAAAACCCATGTAACAATTAGAATAAGGAAAAAATAGCCCTTCTATCTTGAACAAACATCTATGAAATGCATGGTCCTTAATGAGGTTGATTAACCACTTCCTAATTTTTTTAATCTTTAATATTTTGGGTCCCGGCTATAATGTTCAAATTTTAAAATCCAGAGCCAGATATGCTTCTGGTGGCACCCCTATCATATCTACTTACTAACGCTTTAGAGTTTAAAAAGAATATATTGAGACCACTTTGACATGCTGTATCTGTGTTCTTGGTCTATTAGCTGACTGTAAGAAGACTTGGAGATGGCATGTTGTAAAATATGGAGCACTTTTTACTTCTGTTCTTGATTAACATCTGGCAGGGGAAATTCTCAGCACTATTTTGCCTTCTTTTTTTAGCAAGCAACAAGAATCTAAAACACCAGAGAAAGGTCTGCATGCATTTTCTTTGAAGGCAAAGGGGCTAGCATCTGTAAGTGACTTCTTTGTGTAATTAAAAATAAAAAAAAAAGGAAGTGAGGGAAAGGAGCTTCTGTTCTTTAGATTTTCTGCAATTGACCCAGGCCACCATGTTCACCAGGATATGGGTTCTGTGAATGCAGACTTAAGCCAAAGAACCAACTATCTGAAGTCATTTTTAACTCAATAATTCATTTTTGAAACTAAGTAGAATATTGTATGGAGGCCCAATTAATATACAGATCATCATGAAGGAAAGATGAAACCTAATCAACTTTTCATCACATACAAATGACTTATTAATAATCTTAGTCATATCAATAATAATGATAAAAACAGCAAATATTAAATATTTATAATATGTGAGTCACTATCATAAGTACATTAAACGTATAATCTCATATATTACTCAAAGAACTCCATGAGGTAAGTACTATTTATTCTGGTTTTATCCTGGCTTGTTCATTTATTTTTAAAGATAAATTTTAATCGATGTAATTTAAGTGCAGTAAATTGCCCATATTCGATGAGTCTTTAGAGGGATATATTTTTGTGAATCCGCAACCATAACAATACGGAGAACAATTCCATCACCTGTAAAATTGTCCCGTGTCCCTCTGTAGTCCCTCTTTCTTCTGTCCCTGGCCCAAGACAATCACGGATCTGCTGTCTGTCACTATAGATTGGTTTGCATTTTCTATAATGTTATACAAATTTTTACAAATATAAATGGAACAATACTTGAATGAAAGAGTCTGGCTTCTTTCATTCAACATAATGATTTTGAGATTTATCCATACTTTTATATGTATTAGCAGTTAATTAATTATGATGAGTATGGATATGCCATACTTTATGTATTCATTCATCTGTTGATGATCATTTGGGATTTTTGCAGTATTTGGCTTTTGTCCAATTTTTTTCTTTTATTTTTAATTGACATGTAATAATTATACATATTTATGGGATACAAAGTAGTATTTTGATACATGTATACAATGTGTAATAAGTAAATTAGGGTAATTAGCATATCTATCACCTCAGACATTTATCATTTCTTTGTGTTGTGAACATTCAAAATCCTCTCTTCTAGCTTTTTGAAAATATACTATATTCACCTTACAGTGCTACAGAACACTAGAACCTATTCCTCCCAAAGTTGTAATTTTATATCCATTAGCATATGTGTGTGTGTGTGTGTCCCTCTCTCTCTCTTTCTCTGTCTCTGTCTCTCTCTTCCTCCCAGTTCCCTTTAGTTTCCACATATTAGGGAGTTCATGTGGTATTTGTCTTTTTGTGCCTAGCTTATTTCACTTAACATAGTATTCTCCAGGCTCTTTGTTGCCATGAATGACAGAATTTCATTTTTATGGCTAAATAATATTCCATTGTGTATATATACCACATTTTCTTTATCCATTCATCCATTTATGAACACTTAGGTTGATTTCATATTTTGATTAATGTGAATAGCACTGCAATAAACATGGGAGTGCTGATATCTCTTTGATATACTTAATTCTTTTCTTTTGAATGTATACCAAGAAGTGGGATTGCTGGATCATATGGTAGTTTTATTTTGAGGAATCTCCTAACATATATTTAGGGAACCTCTATATTCTTCTGCATAGTGGCTATAGTCTTTTATATTCCTATCAATAGTTCATGAGGATTCTCTTTTCTCTGAATGCTCATCGGCATCTGTTATTTTCTGTCTCTTTGATAATAGCCATTTTAACTGGGGTAAGATGATATCTCATTGTGATTTTTATTTTCATTTCCCTGAAGATTAATGATGTTGAGTATTTTTTCATGTATCTGTTGGCCATTTGTGTGTCTTCTTTTGAGAGATGTCTGTTCAGATTTTTTGCCATTTTAAAATTGGATTATTATTATTATTTTTGCTATTGAGTTGCATGAGTTCCTGATATATTCTGGTTATTAATTGCTTTTCAGATGGACAGTTTGTAAATATTTTATCCTATTCTGTGGGTTGTCTCTTCACTTTGTTAATTGTTTCCTTCTGCTGTGCAGAAGCTTTTTAGCTTGACATATTCCTATTTGTCTATTTTCATTTTCGTTGCCTGGGTTTTTGAAGTTTTATTCAAAAAAGTCTTTGCTTAGTCCAATGTCCTGAAGCATTTCCCCAATGTTTTATTCTAGTAGTTTCATAGTTTCAGGTCTTACATGTAAGTCTTTAATCTGTTTTGATTTGATTCTTGTGTATAGTGAGAGGTAGGGTTCTAGTTTCATTCTTCTGCCTATGGATATCTAGTTTTCCCAGCATCATTTATTGAAGAGACTGTCCTTTCCCCATTGTACGTTCTTGGTGCCTTTGTTAATAATGAGTTGACTGTAAATATGTGGATTTACTTCTGGATTTTCTATTCTGTTTCATTGGTCAATGTGTTTGTGTTTATACCAATACCATGCTGTTTTGGTTACTATAGCTTTAGTAGGTTTTGAAGTCAGGCAGTGTGATGCCTCAAGCTTTGTTCTTTTTGCTCAAGATTGCATTGGCTATTTGGGGTCTTTTGTGGTTCCATGTGAATTTTAGGATTGTTTTTCTCTATTTCTATTAAGAATGTCTGTGATATTTTGATAGGAATTGCATTAAATCTGTAGATTGCTTTAGGTACTACACTCATTTTAACAATATTAATTCTTCCAATCTATGAGTATGGGATTTCTTTCTTTTTCTTTTTTTTTTGTTTTTTGAGACAGAGTCTCACTCTGTCACCTAGGCTGGAGTGCAGTGGCACAATCTCAGCTTACTGCAACCTCCGCCTCCTGGGTTCAAGCCATTCTCCTGCCTCAGCCTCCTAAGTAGCTGGGATTACAGGCACACACCACCATGCCTGGCTAATTTTTGTATTTTTAGTGGAGATGGGGTTTCAACATGTTGGCCAGGCTAGTCTTGAACTCCTAACCTCAAGTGATCCATACAGGCATGAGCCACCATGCCTAGCCTGAGCTTGGGATTTCTTTCCATTTTTTGTGTCCTCTTCAATTTTTCAACAGTACTTTGTAGTTGGTTTTTTTTTTGGGGGGGGGGTGGTAAATATCTTTCACCTACTTGGTTAAATTTATTCCTAGGTATTTTTTTTTCTGTAGATATTGTAAATGGCATTGCTTTCTTGATTTCTTTTTCAGCTAGTTCACTATTGGTGTATGGAAATGCTACTGATTTTTGTATGCTGATTTAGTATCCTGAAACTTCACTAAAATTATTTTTGAGTTCTAAAAGTTTTTGGTGGTTCTTTAGAGTTTCTATATATAAGATTATATCATCTGCGAAGAGGGACAATTTGGCTTTCTCTTTTTAAATTTCTTTCTCTTTTGTAATTGCTCTGGTTATGATTTTCAGTCCCATGATGAATACGAGTTGTGAAAGGGGCCATCCTTGTGACACTTCTTAGAGGAAATGCTTTCTGTTTTTCCCCACTCAGTATGTTAGCTACGGGTTCATCATATATGTCTTTTATTGTGTTTAGGTATGTTCCTTCTATACCTAATTTGTTGAGAGTATTTATCATGGAGGGATATTGAATTTTATCAATTGTTTTTCTTCTGTAGTTGTTGAGATTATCCTATGGCTTTTGTCCATTCTGTTGACATGATGTATTACATTTACTGATTTGTGTATGTTAAGTGATCCTTGTATTTCTGTGATAAATCCCACTTGATCACAGTGTATTATTTTGTTTTATTTATTCATTTATTGAGACAAGTTTTCACCCTGTTGCCCAGGCTGGAGTGTGGTGACATGATCATGGCTTACTGCAGCCTCAACCTCCGGGGCTCAAGTGATTCTCCCACCTTAGCCTCCTGAGTAGCTGAAACTACAGGCATGTGCCAACATGCCCAGCTAGCTTTTAATTTTTTTGTAGAGACAAGGTGATATGGTTGGCTGTGTCCCCACCAAATCTCATGTTGAATTCCCATGTGTTGTGGGAGTGACCTCGTGGGAGGTAATTCAATCATGAGGCAGGTCTTTCCCGTGCTGTTCTTGTGATAGGGAATAAGTTTCACTAGATCTGATAGTTATAAAAAGGGGAGTTTCCCTTCACAAGTGTGCCTCTCTCTTTGCCCGCTGCCATCACAATCATCCACCATGACTGTGAGGCTTCCCCAGCCACGTGGAACTGTAAATCCAATTAAATTTCTTTCTTTTGTAAATTGCCAGTCTTGGGTATGTCTTATCAGCAGCATGAAAACAGACTAATACACAAGGTCTGTTTATGTTGCCCAGGCTAGTCTTGGACTCCTGGGCTCAAGAGATCTTCCTGCCTCTGCCACCAGAAGTACTGGGATTACATGAGTGAGCAACTGTGTCCAGCCTTCTGTTTTCTTTTGTATTTATTTATAATTTTATCTTATTAATCCTTTTTTAATTTTTATTTTTGCTTTCCTTGGGTTTACTTTATTGCTTCTCTTGTAGCTTTTTGAATTCAAAGCTTAGTCATTTATTTTTATTCTCTCTTATTATGTCACATATGCACTTAAGGTTGCATATTTTCTTCTGAATTGTTCTTTGGCCATATTTTAATATGGGCTTTTAATATACAGCATTCTTATTTGTGCTCATTTCTAATGTGATGATAATTGCAGTTTTGGTTTACATCTTCATCTCAGTTTCCTTTAAAGCAGTGCCTAATACAAGAGCATGGTTGTGGGTCATTTATTTAGAATGGTGACCCTAGGTATCAAGTGTGAGGAAGACGAGGATGAACAGGGAAGAAAGAATGCCAAGAGTATAATATATTATCAATAAGGGCAACAGGTGCTAAATTTTGTGCAGTCTTTTGAGAAGCCTTTCAAGGTATGACTTAGAACTGTCCACCTGGTGATAAGATGGCTAAACACTTATCCATTAGATCCAAGTTTTCAATTGCTCAGTGGTGCTTATATGAGTCTTAAGTCCCTTATACTTCATGGTTGAACATACCTAAGCATAGAACAGGTTCCTATGAGGATGCCATTTCATAGCATCAGAGAAGTTCCAGGGCAGGAAGAGAGAGTGGGGTGTGACCCAATGTCATGGTCCCCTCAGGTGCATATGCACAAATATACCCAAAGCTTGTGTGGAACTGATTACCACAGCTGTGGCAGCATTAGGGAGAGTGCCCAGAGGATATGAGGATGTATGAGGTGTTTGATACAATTTCCTTTTTAATTGAAGTACTACTTAAGTGAGTACTTTTAAATGTCCATGTTCATAGGTTTATTTTTGCCCTCTTTTTGCTGTTTGTTTCATATTTGCTCAATTAAATTTTTTTCAGGGTAAATTCTGTATTTTCTTTTCTTTTCCTTTTTTTTTTTTTTTTTTAGATGTCTTGCTCTGTCACCCAGACTGGAGAGCAGTGGCACTATCTCGTCTCACTGCAACCTCTTGTCTCTCAGGTTCCAGCGATTCTTGTTTTTCAGCCTTTGAGTAGCTGGGATTACCCATCATGATGCCTAGCTAATTTCTGTATTTTTAGTAGAGATGGAGTTTTACCATGTTGGCCAGGCTGGTCTCGAACTCCTGACCTCAAGTAATCCACCCACCTCAGCCTTCCAAAGGGCTGGGATTACAGGCGTGAGCCACTGCGCCTGGCCTGTATTTTCTATAGATTATGTCTTTTCAAAACATCCAGACCACTTAACATGGGGGAGACATCTTCTTGAGGAGAAGGACTTATCTACTAGAAGCAAATATAGAACCCAAAATTATTTACCCTCAGAACTAGTAATTGCTAATAGGCAGGGTACTTCTCAAATCTAATCTAATAAACCATTATGGCCAATGATACAGAGAAATGTACAAAGGACAATGGGAGGGGAGGGGAGTGAGAATATGAAACTAGACTGGGTAGTTTAGGAAGCAGTCAGAAACGACATGACTTTTGATTGGGACCTTTATGAGTGGGTAAAATTTTCCTGGAATAAGATGTGTAATGAACACAGGCACAGATATTTGAATGAACTCTGTGTGTACAGAGAAGGGATGGTGGCTACTTCATTAAGGAAACCAGCTAATCTGATCTGTTCGCTGTGGGTTCCAGAATTTTTCTCATAATTTCCAGGTGAGGGTCTGCCCTACCTAGTCTAATCATCTTTCCAAGATAAAAATCTAAAATAACTTTACAATATGTAGTTTATGAACGGAGCAGAGGATTAATGAAAATAATTGAAGACAATGTCAAATGAGAACTAGAGCACTTTATTATATAGTCTAACTACATATCATACATATGAAATACATATATACATGCATTGGATAGGTACACATATAGTACATACAACACTTTCACACTGTAAAATGTGGAAAAAATTCTCAGTGGTATGAGTAGTAAACTGAATTTTATAAGCATGATTCAGCACAGCAAAAAGCTCTCTTTGAGCCTTACTATATTTATTTGAGAGGCTTGAAGGGAGAGGCTTATCTAGGTGTGAGGTGTTTGGAACCTGTTCTATACTTGGGTATGTTCAACTTTGAAGTGCAAGCTTTTCTCTATTGTATCTTGAAAGAATAAGCTGAAGGTTAGCTCAAAGGTAGGAAAAGGTACAAGCAGGCAATATAACTGACAGGACTGTAGTATGTACTAAAGGAGAACATGCAGAACAAGTGACTCTGCTTAGTGAAAAAAATTCCCTTTTACATTCTCAGTTAAATATTTAAAAGTGATGATGAAAACTAGGTTCCCCATAATAGAAAAGATTTCTTTACTTGTCAAGAAAAAAAAAGAACTGAGAAAACATCATCTGTTTTTAGGATCTTTTAATGAATGGCCACTTAGAAGTGATGAGTTAAGATATTTCGCTATTATACCATAATTTTCCATAATAGAACACACTAATGTACACTATTTCAGTCTCTTAAATTCATTTTTACTCTCTCTCCTTGCAACATTTTCTCTAATAACAAAAGTCTATAAAGACAAATTGTACTTGTACTAAATGTAATAATAAATGCTCCGTAGACAGAAAAAATTGAGGTGAACTGTCCATAAAAGATCTGCACATCATCGTGAAGATTCTTTTAGAGATTTAATTATCTTGATAGGGTAATAATACTCTTTTGAAAAAAAGACTTACATAATGTGAAATATTTTTGCATATTGCTTTTTTGGGAGGAGGGGATGTATTTGTTCTGGCTGAAATATCAGATGCTAATAGGCCATATTAAAATTAACCATGAGAACATGTCTACAAACTTCCATAATTCTCATACTTTTCATTTCCATTCATAAGAAACGACCCAAATTATTTTTGTTTTCTGTCCTGGAATTAAATGCATGGGCCACCCTTAAAGGCAATGCATCTGCAACAAACTTTCTCTTTCTCTAATAATTGTTTTTTAGAATCCTTAAGTACCCATAATTTTGGCTTGGTAGAAAATACTTGTACTACAAATTGTCAGAGCCTGTATTAAGGGATAATTGCCTTTAATAGAGCAGGGAAGACATTCTCGTGGTAAAGAATACTTTATACTAAAAGAATTAAAGCAATTATCTGGCTACTCCAGACAAAATAATCTTTTATTTTGTCAATATCTGGCAAATTTGAAGTGCTTTTTTTTGTCTTAAGTTCTCCAAATAGTTTCTTCACTCTTCTACTGCTCTTATGTGTGTGAATATACTGCCTTAATCATCCTAGTGTAGTTAGATAAAAAGAGTCCTCCTTGCATTATTAAATCTATCCTCCTAGGACATATTCAATTTAACATGTAATTTGTTAAAAAATGAATTACTTCACATAATATTGTGTAATAAAATTGTAATACAATTTTCTGAGTTAGGGTAAAAGGACTGTTTACTCTGTAAGTAGAACTTAGATTTTCTGTCATCAAATCTGCCAATCTGCCACAAATAGTCTCACTGTACAATTGCTTTCCATCCCCACAAAGGAAGCTGAAAGTAATTTCAAAAAAGTAACAGTAGCTCTCCTTTTCCCCTTTCCCCTTCCTATTCTTCTTCTGTTCTTGTCCTATTAAACAATTCAATAGCAAAGCCATTAGGTGGGGCAGGGTGAGGTAGTTGTCTGTGCAGTACAACTGCCCCTGTGGGGTTGTGGTTGTGGGGAGAATAGTCATGCTGGATGGGAGCAAGATGTGGGAGCCTGAGGAGGGTGATCAGGACATCTACAGAGTGTGGTGTGTTCAACCCGGAGCTTGGTGCGGAGGGCGTGGGCGCGTGGGATCAGCTGCACAGCGCCTGAGGCTAACCATAGTAAGGAGGATGTCCATCTAAGGGATGCTCTCAGGGTAGAGCAGTGGAGCCCAAAAAGGGTGAAAGGGCTCCCACGCAAGGGAGGAGGTGGTGGTTATGATGAGCAATTTAATACATATTGGGGGACTGAGTGAATAAATGTGTATTAAAGACAACATGAGTCAAATTCCTGAGGGAAGTTACGAATACAAAAAGGGAGAAAACGAGAACAAATCTTATGGTGTTAGATTGGGATTGGAGGTATTGGTGTAAATACATGGTTTTAAATATATAGATAAATAGATATAGAAATAAACATAGATGTTTGTGAACACACACACAAACGCAGACACATACACACTTAGCTCTGTTAACTAAGGCAATTTGGGAGCAATGACTCCCCAGTGGTCGCTGGCACATCTAGTGTCCAGATCTTGATTTCAAAATACCATTCTCCACTGAAGGAAAGGCTTATTCCAGGGCAGCGGTAGGGACACGACAAGATGATGCTGGAACATCTCGTACCATAGAGCAAGGAAATGCTTGCCGATTGGCAGGGACATATCAAAAGGACGCAGGCTCCAGCTGGAAGTTGTTACTGCTGACCAAATTTAAGATAAATTGAACATCAATAAAAATAAAGATAATAGTGGATTGTAAGCCATTGAATAAAAATGGAAAGCATGAGTCTATGCTGATATAAACAATTAATGAATAAATTGAAAACGTGATGAGAAATGGGATATTTTCATAGTTTAAAAGAACTTTCTCACAAAATTATTTACTAATTACAAAGGGGAAAAGAGAGCATTATTTCTGTGATATTCCTGCCAAAGGTGTATAATCGGAAGTTAATTGTTAGGAGAAAACTTTAAAAAAAATCCCATTTGAGGAAACTTTTATAAAATAACAGGACTATAATCTTCCAAAATGTAAGCATTATGAAAGTCAAGATAAGACTGTGGAACAATGGTAGTGAAGGACATTAAAAAGTCAATATAACTAAGTGTAATGTGTGATTTTTAAAAAAATGTAAAAGCAGTTATTAAGACAATTGGCAAAACATGAATAGGATGTGAAGATGAGATGTCAGAAATATATTAGTGTTAATTTTCTGATTTTGATGGTCGTGTTGTCATTATCTAGCAGGAGAATGTCCTGGTTTATGGTAACCGTCCACTCGAGTATTCGAGGGTAGATGGGCATCTGATCAGTGATTTACTGTCAAATCATCCTGAACAAAGGTGGTTTCTTTTGTAATTATTTGCAACTTTTCTGTAAGTTTGAGAGTATTTCAAGATAAACATCCTAAAAAAGTACCTCTAATCACTACATTGTTTATGGTTTATTATTTTATGCTCAATTATTTTAGGAAAAAAGATACTGAGATTCTGAAGTTTACTCTTCTCTTTTTCCTTTGAGCTTTGACTTGGCTTTTCAAATGTTACTTTATTACGTAAAACAACATCCTAGGAGATGCTTTCTGTACCTTATTAGCAGTTTATATTGTCTAAATCAAATTATTACCGACTAGCTAAACTATTTCAAATAGGCTTGTGAAGGGCATATGAACATTTCACTTCCAGGTTTTTGCCTATTAAATTAAAAAGAAAAACTTTCCTGAAGGTCCTATGCTTCATGTAATTTTAAGAAGTCCTATCATGCTAACCCTCAACTAATCCTTTAAAGCATTTTTATATCTGAGAATTCTTGAACTGCAGCTAATTACCATCAGTCATCTATTTGGTGTTGAACCTGAATAAGAACTTGTTATCATCTGAACACCCTGACTTGTTTTTCTTTCCAAATTTTAATTCACAAAATGACAATTTTTGAAGTCAACATTATTTGAAAAATTTTCATGAGGGAGATTCCAAGGAAGAAGAGGAAAACAAGCTGCAAAGACAAATTTACTTAAATTAGTGATATTCCCTAGGAAGCTGATGTGAAATGTGAAGTCATTTTCGTAAGTCTTTGCTCATCATACCATCTGAACAGATCTAACTATGGAATGGGTCTCTTTTAGGTCATGTTCCATAGAACATCCTGCTTCATTACATTGTAGATAAACATAGTTTATTTGTGTGCACAAATCATTTTCAGACTTTTGGTTAGCAGGGTGTATAACTGTTATGAAAATTAATAACAACAAAAATCTCCAAAAGTATTTTTGAGAATTAACATACTTGTGATGCTACATGAGTAGAACAAGCCCCATTGATTTGTGGATCATATTAACAATATATACTTCTAAAACATTCTGGCTTACCTGAAAATAATTATAATTGGTTTCCTTTTGTGAGTTGTTAGACCATTTCCTTATTTATTACATTGTATTTGTTGAATATTGATTGTATACAAGACAGTATATAACCAGACGGTATGCATATCCAGTTCATGGGCAGTATTTTCTCTAGTTTACATGTAAAAAATGCATGCACATTTTACCTGTTCATTACAAAATTAATTACAATATAAATTAGTTTGTTGAAATAGCGAAATCTGTAAAATTTTCATTACTCTCTTAGGCAAAGATCAAGGATAATTAACGATTGGCTGAAAATTGTGAAATGCTTGTTGGGCACTAACTACATCTGTTTTTCTTATTCTCTCCTAAAAGCCTGAACAGTTAGATGCGATGAAGAACAGTGCCATCTTATTCAGCCTTCTCAGTTGTTTTAGTTCTGAGGAAGCTAAGAACATATTGATCTCGAAGAGGATGGTGGCTTTATTAGAATAGAATGGGAATTTTAATTTGTTTGTATTTTGTATCACTCCCACCATCTGTTTTCCATGTTCCCTCCTCCCTACTCAAAGCTCCTGGTAACCATCATTTTACTCTCTATTGCTTTTTTCTTTCTTTCCTTTTTTGTTGATAAATAATCATTGTACATATTTATGGAGTGCATGTGATATTTGATACATGCATACAATATGAAATGATTAAATCAGGGTAATTAGGATAACCATCATCTCAAGCATTTTTCATTTCTTTGTGTTGGGAACATTTCAAATCTTCTAGCTTTTTTGAAATATGCAATAACTTAGTGTTAACTGTAGTCACTCCACTATGCCATTAAACACTAGAACTTCTGCCTTCTATTTAACTGTGTTTGTCCTCATCATAACCAGCCTCTCTTCACCTCTCTCCAACCCTCACCTTCCCAGCTTCTGGTAAGTGTCATTCTAGTCTTTACCTCTGTAAGATCAACTTTTAGCTCCCATATATCAATGTTACTCCCTATTTTTATGAGATCAACTTATTTAGATTCCACAGCAAGATCATGTGGTATTTGTCTTTCTGTGCCTGGCTTATTTCACTTAACATAATGTCCTTAAGGTTCATTCATGTTTTAATAAGAATATTTAAAAAGTTTGTCTTTTCTAATTCCTCTACTCACATTCCCTTCCCATAGTTGGTTTTGAAATAGCAACCATGGTCGTATTAGCACGTTCTTGAAGACTTTGTGATTATTGGTTAGTAGAGTTTCTTCTACCCATGCCAGGGAAAACAAAGGGCCAAGAAACTTAGATCCGGGAAAAGAAAGACTGGGTTACTGTTGAAGCTACACACGCAGTTTCTATATTTCGATATGAATTTGGTAGCACAATAAATAGCAAATGAAACATTTGTCCTTATATCAAAGCTGAACTGTGGCAGTTGCCATAGTTTTCAACATAATCCAAATTGATGTTAACATTCTTATAGTGGAAGCAAAGATTCAAAAATTATTTCATTTACTCAACACTGCCAGACATGTGCAGATGACTGGGGATATGATGGTGATCTAGTCAGATGTGGTTCCTGCCCTTGCGGAGCTTATAGTTTTGTAGTGGAAATGAAGAGTAAACAGATAAAAGCCAAGCAAGCAAAATGTATGCATTGTGATATTATGTAAAAAATGGCAGAAATAAAGAGGTAGCTATAACCCAGAAGAAATAAAAAGCACAGACAATACACTATTAAGAATGAGCTGTGGAGGCCAGGCTCAGTGGCTCACGCCTTAATCCCAGAAGTTTGGGAGGCCGAGGTGGGTGGATCACCTGAAGTCAGCAGTTCAAGACAGCCTGGCCAACATGGCGAAACCCCCGCCTCTACTAAAAATGCCAAAATTAGCCGGGCGTGGTGGTGCGTGCCTGTAGTCCCAGCTACTCAGGAGGCTGAGGCAGGAGATCCTTTGAACCCAGGAGGTGGAGTTTGCCGTAAGCCAAGATCATGCCACTGCACTCCAGCCTGGGGGACAAGAGTAAGACTCCACCTCAAAGAAGAAAAAAAAAAAAAAAAGGAATGAGCAGCTGTGGAAAGAATGGTAGAGAATGTAGTATTTTCTTGGGCACCTGTTAGAGCTCCAGACAGGTAGGTGGGATTAGGTTCATCGTCAGGGAACAGAGATTACAAACTGGGGAGGGGCACATGGCAGTGAAAATAAGCTTTGTCCTCTGTATTTTGATAGAGAGGCAGAAGAGCCTTTGATGAAGTGGTTGTTACCTGAAGATTTAAAAAGGTGCAAGCAGCCTCTGTTACTTAAAACTCTTCATTAGCTTTCCTTGCCATTAGAATATGTTCCAAGTTTCTTACCATGGCTTTCCAGACCCTGGATGGTCAGACTCCTATTTCCTCTTGTGTCTCTCTCTTGTTTCTTATGCTTCAGGAACATTAGATGTTGGATACGTCACCAGTGATTCCATGCTCTTTCCTGCTGCAGGCTCTTTGTACATCCTGTGCCTGCAATCTGAAATCTCTTCCTTTCTTTTTACATGACTGTCTTCTTATCATCTTTTAGGCCTCAGTTAAACATCACAAGCTCTGGGAGGCCTTGCCTAATCTCGCTATGAAAGTAGGGTCTCCCTGGCCTCTCATGGCTTTATTTTCTATTGTAGCTTTTTGCTTGTTTATTCCATAGAAATAACTTTTATAACTTGCAATTATTTTCTTTCTCTTATATATACTATTTGTTTTTTGCTCATTAATCTACTCCAACGGAACATAAGATTCTTTTTTTTTTTTTTTTTTTTTTGAGACAGAGTCTCACTCTGTCGCCCAGGCTGGAGTGCAGTGGGCACAATCTCGGCTCACTGCAAGGTCCGCCTCTCAGGTTCACGCCATTCTCCTGCCTCAGCCTCCTGAGTAGCTGGGATTACAGGCACTCACCACCATGCCCTGCTAATTTTCTGTATTTTTAGTAGAGACGTGGTTTCACCGTGTTAGCCAGGATGGTCTCGATCTCCTGACCTTGTGATCCGCCTGCCTCAGTCTCCCAGTGCTGGGATTACAGGCGTGAGCCACTGCGCCCGGCCAGAACATAAGATTCTTGAAGGCAAGGCCCATTTTGTTCTCCAGGCAGTATCTGTCACAGAGTATGCACCAACAGAGGAGAGTTAAATGAGTGAAAGCAGCTAGATGGTAGTGCCGTCATGGTTTCTACACCTAAAACTGAAACTCCCTGCCACAATCATGCTGGCAAGCTTATTTTATTTTATTTTTTATTTTATTTTTTACCAGAGGCTCAGAAAGGAAGAGGGAATGTGGGGTGTGTGGGGGGGTGGGAGGTGGGGGGGCGGGCGGGGTGATGAGGAGAAGCCGTTAAACATATCCAAAAGTACAGTTCATAGTAGGAATAAGTTCTAGTATTCAATATTGTAGTAGGAAACTTATAAAGTTAACAATAATTTATTGTATATTTCAAAATAGCTAGAAGAATTGTAATGTTCCCAACTCACAAAAAATAAATATTTGAAGTGATAAATATCCCAATTATCCTGATTTGCTCATTATACATTGTATATGTATATCAAAATATCACATGTAACCCCAAAATATGTACAAATACAATATATCAGTTAAAAAAAAAGAATTGTGGTTGTTAAGGGCTGAGGGGAAGGGAGGAATGAGAAGTTAGCATTTAATGGATACAGAGTTTCAGTATTGCAAGGTGAAAAAGTTCTGGAGATGAGCTGTGCAACAGTATGAATGTGCTTAACACTACTGAACTGTACACTTAGAAATGATTAAGACAGTACATTTTATGTTATGCTTTTTTATCACAATTTAAAGTTTAAAAAATATTAAAAATATAAAAAACAGTTCTTGGATTATCAACATCAAGTGCATCATTTATTTTTATAGTAGAAAGAAATTTACAAGTCCCATTTTGGCAAGTTCGAGATAACTCACCAATATTTTCATCTGAGCAAGTTTATCCTTATGGTGCATTTGTTAGACTGTGGTTTTAAAAAACATTTAAAGATCTATTCATTCACCTGGGAACTTTCTATTTAATAGGAAGAAGTGAATTTGATAACAAGAAAATAAAGCAGCAATCATCAGTGACACAAAGAATTGTTCAAAGAGGCAAAAGAAGGCATGTTATATATGGCAGATATTTAGATATTTAAAATCCACATGATGACAGAGTCACTATAGCCAAATACTATTTATTCTCAACATCTCAACATCTCCACAGTGAAATCTAATCAACACAAATTGTTTATGTCATGATAACTTTTTGATCTTTTTGTGCAATGTCATTGAAAATGTTTCCAGTTGCATTTTTTCTTCACAAATACATTGGCATCTTTTATTAGATGATATCATATAAGGTTAGCTCCCATGAAGAATTCTGCTGTTAACCTTGCCCTGCCTTTGAACTACATCTGAAATAAAGCTCTTTGAAATATGTTGATATTCCTTGCTAGTTGGATTCTGAAGGAAACAGAAAATATCTCTGTGGGGGGAGAGAGTAACTGCTTTTTAAAATTTTGTGGTGAATGTAAAGAGAGATATTCAAAAATTGTATTTCTATTTCCATCCCTGTACTCTATAGTTTATTAGTATGAATAATCACTATTATAATTTAGTTCTTATACAGGAGAAATGATTTCATTTTAATATATTTATCATTCAGTCTTCTATGTTTTCCTATTAACAATTTTAAAAATGCCAACCAAATCATGACCAATATATTTTAATAAAATAATACTATCAATGTTATGTAAAATTTATTCATTAGGCTTATAGAAACTAAACAATGAGAAATATATATAGAAGTGGAAGGAAAGTTGTTAATAAATGTAAATAACTTTTTAGGATAAATTGTAAGGACCTTGGCTTTAAGTTTCATCCAAATGAGGGATGCCTCTGTCAAGATTAAACAGTTGGGTTACAAACATCTTTGAACTCATACTCATGCCTTTAATATTTTTCTTACCTAGTAAATTATTGTGTGGAACACGTATACCTGGCTACACGGTCACTCCCAAAACTCAGTGAAGTACTGGCAGTTTATAAATGTCCAACTACAAACTATAGAGTTAGGTCAAGTCATTTGAGGGTTAGGCCCCTAAAAATAAGCCCTCTTGGTGATTCTGAAACCAGTGATCCATGGTCCACTTTAAGAAATCTTGTGGTAGGTGTTATTTTTGAAACAAGGAAATGGATCCCAAATCTTTTTGCAGTGCAATAAAGGTCCCTGGGAGTTGGACCTATGGATTTAGAAAAGCTGCTTTCAGAGAACTCTGTAGTTCCAATTATGACTTTGATTCAGTTATGCTTCTTCCCCAGAAGATGTCTCTAGGATATAAGTAAGACTGCAGCTTCCCGTATATTGTCAGGGCCATAGCTGTCAATTGGCTTTGGGGAGTAACTGAAGGGCCTGACTTAGAGGACCTAAATTCTGAACAGATTAGTATATCCTCTCTGATCTAAGGTAAGAGCTAGTTTTACCAAATGTCATAGAAAACTATCTGCATGCTAAAATTAAAATAGCTTCTTAAAGACATTCTGATTGCAGACATTGAAATCATGAGTAAATTCATCAAGGTAGAAATGTTTGCTTTCTCTGTCTCTGTTTCTGTTTGTGTCTGTTTCTGGTGCCCAGTTTTGCTGGTGCCCTTAAAGCCTGCTTACTCTGCTAATGAGTTAATCTAGCCTTGGACTGACTGAACATCTTGTTTGTTCTGGTGTCCGACCTATTCATTCAAGATGGATAGGAGTTGTGGTATATGCATCAATGATCATAGAAGGCAACAGAAAAGGGAAAGTCCAAGGATATGTCCTAGGGAAGTGCTGGTCATCCCTCCTGGGGTACAGTTTGGGATGTGAGCTGGATGAAGCCAGTCTGGAGACTCAGGCTTCCCATTTGCCCACTTTTATCAGAGAGTAAAACAATGAAAGAGAAAGATAGGAATACACATTATCACTATTTTCTTTTTCTTTTCCTTTGAGAAATTGTAGTTCACTTTTTAAATATGAGAAACCAATTGAGAAAAGTGAAGACTGAGAATAAAAGGCATTAACAAAAGGAATGTTTATAAGATTGTTTCAATTACATCTGACAGCCTTCTGGATAAAAATAAAACCATCATCCTATTCTCATTTTGGACCCAGTTCACCATTTGTTTTGTGTGTAAATTTCAATAGCAACTTTCTTTTTCTCCCAAATCACAAATGTATATTTTCACTATTCCTCAGGAATATTTGAGTTTAAGCAAAGTGTTAAATGAGGTGTTGAAATTATAAAAGAACACAGCCTTTTGAATTCCCGTTTAAAATTATCTCCACTGAAGTACAGATTCTTTTCTACAATTGACTGCAGCGAAAAGGAAAGAAAAGGACTGTTTTGTTTGTCTGGCAATATTGGCTATGAAGCTGGGAGTTTTAAAGGAAAGGAAGTAATAGACCCTCAGCAGAATTTTTACTGCTAGAGGATGCCCCAATAGAGTGTTTCTTCTTTCTTTTTAAGCACAAAAAGCTGAGATTTAACTGCATTATAAACGTTTCATTAACATATCTACTAAGTAACAAGCATCCAGGTACTTTGTTTTCTTCTTACCCTAATATGTCAGAGAGTCAGCTGAAATTAAAGGAAAAAAAAGATTTCGAGATGAAGGAGGGAATCAGCAAGTTAATATTCCTAGAGAAATAGAAAGAGACCATCAAAAATGAAAAGAAAGGGCTTGCTTTCTTTTGTTCTTTTCTCATAGGGAGGAACCTGCTACAGAAATGAGATTGGTTCTTTTGTGGAATCTTTAGCAGTCTCAAAAAGGATAAATGGAGCAATGGGGACTAATGCTTCACTGCCTCAATCTAAATCCGGCACATTAGGGTAGAAATGAAAGAAAATCTTCTAGATGAACAAGAGTCAGACTTTGGCATAAACACATGGCTTAGAAAGGAGAAATTGAGGCCTGTGTCTTTTTCTTAGTCACTTCCAGAATGATCTAGGCCAGATGTACAATGTCCTGCCCCCCAAAAAGGAAGTCTCTTTGGAGGGGTGTGTTCACTTCTGTTCTTATACAACAGAAATGGATTTAGTTCTTCCCACATACAATTTTCTCCAGTCAAGGTATTAGTAGCTTTGAAAAGCAAATTTAAATAATTCTGAAGGATGCTGCAAGAGCAATGTTCTCTTTTTAAGTCTCATCTGTGTTCTTTACGGATCTTCATTGTTTAGCTGGTTAAAAGCTCAGGTTATTCAGCAAGAATGTTCTATTGTCAGAGATATTTACTGATCATGCCCCCTGCCCCCTCCAGAATCTATGAAGCCTAAATCTGTTAATCATATTCTGGATTACCTCAGTAAAATAATCCTCCATCTGCATTGAGAGAGTACTGCACCCTTGCCACCAGGCTTTGCCATTTAGTGCATAACACTGAGCAGACAGCAATGATTCCTGCAGGGACAAGCTTATGACCTCATAAAAACGAAAGGATGCAGTGAGGCCTTTCCTGGGACTGCTGGGAAAGACTGTTGTGTTTTTCTGCTGGTCTTGGTTGAGGCTGGCTATAAGGCTGGAACATCTGGAGATGGTCTGAAATCACAACAGGAAAGGCTGTGTGAGAATACAGCCAACACAGAGACAGCTGGGTAAGATGGAGGGAGGAACACTGTATGTTGATGGCACTGTTGGAGTTACTTGTTAAATTCCTTCGGGAGCTAGCCCTAGCCCTGCTCCTGGATGCTTCAATGATAGGAACTGGTACATTTCCTTTTTTTTTTAAACTTAGTTTTGGCTGAGCTTTCTGTCACTTGCCAAAGAATGAAGCCTAATAGATACAACTGAGTTCTAATCCCAGTTGAGTTACTTTGTACTTTGTGACTTTGGACAAGTAATTTATCTTCTCTCAAATATTGCTTTAAAAAGCTATACTAAAATTATCTACCTGATAAGTGTGTTTGGAAGATTAAGTAAGCCTGTGCTTATCAAGTGCTTAATATAGTAAATGCTCAATAAATATTAGCTGTTATTATCGTGCAAAAATTAAATGAAAACACAACTCTAATATCCAGGATGAAAATATCTCCAAAGAGCTTTAAAATCGGAATGTCCTTCTTTTGTCAATGTTACACGATTTCTCGTAATGCTGAAGTGTCATTCTAGTTCAAATCTCACTCTCGTTCTTTATATTTGATGGAAAGTCATACATCTGTTAGGCTCAATAACTGCTATTTCATTAATTCCCAGATCACCCCATTTCATGTGATGCTGAACTTAATGGAAGTATGTGGTAACAAAGAAATGCACTAATAGAGAGCATCTTGAGAAACTATGAGATTTTTTTTTTTTTTTTTTTCAAAATAACAGGATTAGAGCAGAGCAATAAGAACACGATGATAGCAAAAATCAAGGTTCACTGATTAGGGTACATTCTGAAAAGATAAATTTCTATCTTTTCTCCTCTCAACAGAGAATGTAAACTAATGAACAAAAATCAAGTGGTATAGGTGTCTTTACTCAGTTGTCAATCCCGTATTGTCCATCTCTACATTCATTGCTTCTTTTCAATCCTCTATGTCAATGCCCTGGATTAGGTCCTGAAAATTGTTTTTTGCCGTAGATTTCTAACTACTTTCCTTGTATATAATCATTTCTAGTCTCATTTATTGCATTTCCCTCTTCCTTACCATCATTTTCTCCTTTCTCTTCTCTCTCTCTCTTTTTTTGTTTTTTTTTGTTTTTTGTTTTGCTTTTATTGCCGAGGCTGGAGTGCAATGGCGCGATCTTGGCTCACTGCAACCTCTGCCTCCTGGGTTCAAGCAATTCTCCTGCTTCAGCCTCCCCAGGAGCTGGGATTATAGGCACCTGCCACCACAGCTGGCTAATTTTTTTGTATCTTTAGTAGAGACGGGGCTTCACCATGTTGGCCAGGCTGGTCTTGAACTCCTGACTTCAGGTGATCCACCCACCTTGGCCTCCCAAAGTGCTGGGATACAGGTGTGAGCCACCGTGCCCAGCCCTCTTTTTTCTTTTAATGTATTGCTGTCACTGATGTTTTCTGAAGAACAGTTTTGCCAACACTGCTCCACTTCCAAGGGAGGCAGGCCACATTACCTTCAGAAGTGGCTCCCAAAGTTTGGATCTCATGAATCAGTGAAACAAAAATAAATTAGAGAGCCCAATACAGTGTTACCAATTTTTATTTGCAAAATAATGACATTAGAACCACCCCCCATCCCCAAACTGCCATCTACTTTTACCACAATTTCATAAAAGCAACTGCGTTTTATTCTAAATACAGGAAACACATACTCTCAAAATAAAGAAGGGCTTTAGATGAATTTTGTTTCATGAAAAAAAAAGTATCTTACCAAGTGTCCTTGTTTTTCTCATGTCTTGTGAATCCAGTGAAAACTTAGACTTAAACCATCACTGGCACTGGCCCCTGGCAATCTTTCGGGAACCACAGATCTATAAAATAAAATGACAATTCTGAACATAGCACTTGAGACCCAATCTGTCTGGCCTAAAGGAAACTTTAGTTCAAATATGCATTTTGAAAATTCCATCTTCCATGCTTTGCCCATTCTCTTCCTTTCTGACCCCTCACTTCTCAACCTAATCTTATTGAGAACTATGTTAACTGTTGTCCTCCTCCCTGTGACAGTAATTCCCCATTCATAATTAATTTTTCCTTTTGTTCTGTGCTCCATTATACCTAAAACTTTAATACCTGTCACATTCTACTTGTCGTGTGTTACAGTATTATTACCTATGCACAATTTACTTTATGGGAGGGTACAATGTATTATACCTTTTAATATGCTTATGAGAGTGCCTTGCATGAAACAAATGCATAGTAAATATCTGTAGAATTCAGGTAGAATTCAGGGATCTCATTTATAGGAAATACAGTTTTTAGAAGATCTAAAGATAACACTCACAGTGTCTCCTTCAGTATCAATGGTTTAGTAACTGAAAAAATTTCTTTGCCAAAGGAACAAGATAATACAGGGATGAAGAAGCCAGACATCTGATCCCAAAGAGCCAACAGAAAGGAATGGAGAGAGAAATGGTCATCCCCTCAAAGGAAGGACAAGTTTGGAATTCTGTGGTTATTTCTGCCTGGTTGGGACTGAATGATGTGAGCTGATGGTCACCAAGGAAATCTTTACAGGGAGGTAGGTGGCCAGATTTACCCTAACTGACTTGCAGGCTGACATTCCTAAGTAGTACAGTTTGCTGATTAGAAGAAATGCGAAGGTAAGGGTAGAAGGTGGACAGGAAGACAAGCAAAAGTCAAGCCATAGGGAATGGGATTAAAACAAAACAAAGCACAAAAACTTTTCTGAAATTCATTTGATGGCAATATATTTATTTTAAAGGGAAAAGTTCTTTGGCAGTCAGACTGGGACAGGATTAACAGGGAAAAGGTGTGTGAATGATTGTCTTCTCTTAAACGTGATATTCCTTGACTCTGCTCTGGTTCACAAGGAAGAGTGTATGAGATGAAATAAGAAGAAAAAAATGTGCGAGCCCACCTACCAAAATGAAATAAATTCAGAGCTAACATGATTTTTTCCTGTGGCACAAAAGAATATCTTTTCCAATTGCCATTAATTTGAAATCCTGGTAGACTTGCAGGAAGGTCTGTCTATCTGCCATCCATCTCTCCATCAAAAATTTACCTATTTTTTTTTTTGATAAATAACTTGCACTTTCAGCCAACTTGTCAACCTCACACTGAAATTATTATTTTTTAAAATTAAATTTAATTTTACTTTAAATTCTGGGATACATGTACAGAACATGCAGGTTTATTACCTAGGTATACATGTGCCACGGTGGCTTGCTACACCTATCAACCCGTCATCTAGGTTTTAAGCCCCACATGCATTGGATAGTTGTCCTAATGCTCTCCCTCCCTTTGCTCCCACCCCCCTACAGGCCCCAGTGTGTGATATTCCCCTCCCTGTGTCCATGTGTTCTCATTGTTCAACTCACACTTATGAGTGAGAACATGCAGTGTTTGGTTTTCTGTTCCTGCTCACACTGAAATTCCGTGAGACCAGAAAGCTGCCAGGATATTCCTTTGTGCAAAAGGTTTTTTATTGTGGATTAATCTCATTTGGCATCTGCTAATTGAGATTGTGGCTGTCTGGAAGGTCCTAAGTTAGTTGTATGGATGCTTAGAGGTGTCTCTACCTGACCAGCCTGTTACTGTAGAAAATAAAAAGAGTAAATTTGAGACAATCCATAGCATTTATCTTGATTCTCCATTGTGTGAGCAAAAGGCTGTGTAATAGTAATGTTTACAGGCTATGGTTTCAAATACTGCAGTAAACTTCATTGTGCTGGTAAAAATATCAACAGTGACTATCACAATTAGTTGAGTAGTTGAGTAGTCAATTATGAACCATTTCATAGACAATTGAAATTTTTACAGAGCACAAATATTTATGGAGATCTCAGAACTTTGTTTCTAGATATCTTCCTTTCTATTGAATGAAGAAGTGGGTATCATATACATACTTACTCCTAGACTCCTGTTTTCCTCATAGATCATTCAATAACTAGGCTTAATTTAAAAAGAAGTGCAAACTACATTTCTGGAAAATGCTACAACTGATAGTTTCTTATCTCTGTTATTTGAAATTTGTGTGCTAATCTCTAAGTGTGTGAATATGCGTAGATTATAACGTGATTAAATTAATATTTCTTCCCCCATCATAATAAGTGAGACTAGGAAGTTACCAAGTCATGGAACTATGCATTGCACTAGGGTGTAGCCCAGTTACAAACCTTGTAAATCAAATCTAACGTGGGTTTCGGCATCAGACAAAACTCCAGATCTAAATTCTGACTCTACCACTTACTAGCTGTGTAATCTTGGTTAAAGGGACATAAGCTTCGGCAAGCTGTTTTTCTTTGATAAAATCAGGAGTATTAAACCTTCCTCATAAGGATAGCTTGGGGATAAAATGGGGCAACATGTGTACAACAGCGAATCCAGTAGGTGCTCAGTGCAGCTCTCTCTCAGTGTAACTTCTTTTCATTCCCCTTTCACATTCACAGTTGCCTGTGACTGTGCTCCACCCAGCATCCATCTGTGATTCTCTTTCGGTCCTTATTTACTTTTTCACTGTTATTCTTTGCTGACTCTAGTCTTTCTTTTCCATGTCTCCAGCCTTTATTATTTGTATTCTGTGCAGCAAACTGTACCTAGCTTAAATAAGGTAAAACATGCCACACATTTAGAGCAATTCCTGGCACATACTAAACACTTAATGATTGCTAGACAATTATATTACTTGATGAATTTCATCGCTTCTCCCAAATCTACCCAAACACTATTTTCTCTTTCATGAAAAAAAAAAATGATTCTGCAAAAGGACTGGAGGATACAAAACAAATTATTTTAAATTAGGCATGATATGAGCACATTACTAGTGAGCAGTACTGCTTTGGATTTTTTATAATTTTGAGGAATTATCATATTTTAAGAAATGGGTAATGAGATTTTTTTGCTTATCAATTGAATAAACATTCATTAAGCTACTACTATGTACTAGGAATAGAGAAAATTATCTATGTTCATGTCTACTTTTAAGAGATGGAATAGGAACAACCTGCCCCACCCGACAAATACACAGAGTCCACCTCTTTCTGTATTCATGTTTTTGCATGAAAGCTGAGCATACCCCAGGCAGGGTAAAGATATCAATAATGTAGCTGATTAATTTGTCTAGAATCTAATCAGAACTGTTCTCCCAATGACTCAGGCAGGGACACATTGTTTTGTTTGAATTTTTGCTTAGTTCTCTGAATAAGCAGCCCTCTGAGATCTTTTGTTGTTTATCTAATTAGCTAAATTGATATGGGTAGTGAAGAATCTCACTTATTTAATCTATTTGTCCAGATGAGGTCTGTAGTACTTGAGATACAGCAGTTTTTTTAAAGGGGGAAATTTTGGAATTGAGAAGTATCTAGGTATTAGCATTTTAGTGAACTTGGAATGATTTTCTTCTGGAAATACACTCGGTTAACTATAAACTTGTATGAGATGTTAGAGAATATGAAATGTAGGAGACAAGGGTGGTGCTGATACATAATCAGTGCAGTAATTAAGAGCTTAGGGACTAGCCAGCCAGACCAGTTTTCCTACCATCCTTATTTGGTCACCTCACCAGAATTTGGCTTCCTCATTTGCAAAATTGGAGCAGTAATGGATCCTACTAAATGAGGTTGATATAAGGATTATATGGAATAATAGAGATATGGCAGGCCTTAAGTGCTCAATTATTATAGGCTATTATTATTATTATTACGACCTGAAAATAGGCAAAACAGTGTCAACCTCATGTAAAGAAAATCAAACCAATGTGCTTATGACCTCTTATAAACTCAAACCTCATAGGCTAATAATAATACACGATTCGGTATTCTTTTGATTTAATAGTGCAAACAAAAACTATGATTCCTTTTTATGCTGGAATCGTGTCAGTGGTAGAAATAGTTTATTTTTCTAAAATTCTTCATTTGAGAGTGTACTAAAATGATTTTTTTAATATAGGTCATATAGAGTGTTAAATACTTAATAATAATGTATTTTTTCTTTTTTTAGAGACAGAGTCTTGCTCTGTTGCCCAGGCTGGAGTGCAGTGTTGCAATTATGGTTCACTTCAGCCTTGACCTCCTGGGCTCAAGCAATCCTCTTGCCTCAGCCTCCTAAGTAGCTAGGACTACAGGTGTGTTCTGCCATACCTGACTACTTTATTTTTTTACTTTTTATAGAGATAGGGTCTTTCTATGTTGGCCAGGCAAGTCTCACACTCCTGGACTCAAGCAATCCTCCCACTCCAGCTTCCTAAAGTGTTGGGATGACAGGTATGAGCCACCACACCTGACCAATAATGTATTTGTTATTCTGAAGAATATTTACCTATTCTGACAATAGAATATTCTTTACAAATTCATTGAAAATAACTTTTCAAGAGTGGCGTGAAGTAATACAGTAAGTTTATGAACAATGAAGCATGTGAAGAACGTGTGGAGAATCAAGGCTGTTGGAGCAACAGTTATGTTGCCTTAAAGAGCAATGAGATTATAACTAGAGAGGAAGGTATGATAGCATGTAACCCTGATACAAAAGTCAAAACTGCAAAGGTTCAGAGTGTGGTATATAGATGTCTATACTTTAGAAGAAATGATCTAACAACATTTCTGGAATACCATGCACCTGGGGAAGTTCAACTGTTTTATTTCATAACTTAGCAATATTTAATGTTAGTAAAATTAAAAAGTACAAAGCCAGTAAAAGAGAAAAAATCGAAAGCTCATCTTTTCCATTTTCTCAATCACAATATTTGTGGTTGATGGTTAATCTCATACTACAAAAACCAGCCTTTGACTCTACCAAGTCAAGTGGCAGGATTTGTGGTTTATGCCTGCCTTGGACTTGTGGAAATGTTTTCATAGAATTTTATTAGAAAATGCCCTTTCCTAAGAAACAAATTAATTAAGGAACAACCAGACAAATAAACTGCCATCCTTGAGACTGGAAAATACTGCAGTGAGCGGCCTTCCCTAAGTGAAGGCCTGGATAAAGCCCTGAAGACTAATGAATTACTTAGTCTCTCTCACTCTGAAGACCTGGACTTTGATTAGTGTCTGGGGCTGTTGTGAAGAGACTGAGTTTATGGCCTCTTCTCTTTCTCTGAGCCTTATAAGAGGCAAGAAATACTGGTTGGTGGTATTTCTCACAAATTGACTATATCTCCTCCAATTGCCACAACTACAATTGACACCAAGCAATTTAGAGGAGAAACAAATTTAACCTTCAAATATTTCAAGGTGCTTTTAAAACTACATAATGTAGATCTAGATACCACAATGACTGACAATGTATTATCAGTATCACCATAGGAACCAGAAGTGTTTTATATTGTCCTAAAAGGATCTGACACATTTTTCATAAGACAAACCCCCAGTGATACCACCTGCTGGTAAGCGGTTTCAGTTCTTTGGTGTTTGTTGTCTTTAGCAGTCCTTGATCTTCATATTTTAAGATTTATTTCTCTGGTTAGAGGAGGAAAGACCTTTTCAATTGTTCCATAGTTTCACTGTTTATCTCAGCCTTACACACGACATTTGAGGTGCATGCTGTTTTGTCTGGCTTCTGGTATCACGCTCCAGTTCATGACCCTGTGAATACTCACAGCCTAGCTAAAATGCTGCCAGTGAGTCAGTGACACTTAGGGATGGGTCTGGCACAGGGCAGGTTAGAATTGAAAGCAAGTCCTGTTGTACACATAACTGTTCCCTTTGTGCTGAATCCTGGCATTTGAGACTTGTACAATATTTGAAACCTTCTTAGACTTTCAGGGTAAGAAGCCCAACGGCCTGTATTTCCTGGATGCCATGATTGAGAATTCCAAAATGCATATTCACTTCAGTCCTATACCCCCACAACCAAACTTGCAAGATCAGCCATGCTTTCCTGTAAATTTAAAGAATCTTGTTACAAAAGGCAAATATTTTTCTTTGGGTAAGTCAATAAGCATCACAAATCTGAGCAAATATCAGTTCATAATTCTTTTGGTGCTAAATTCTATGTGCTCTAAAGCTCTTTCTTGTGCTTGGATAGGGAGGTTAACATTTCTGTTCAGGCATTTTTTAAAAAAGTGACTTAAGGCAATAAAATTCACTAGGCTGAGGTTTGATGAGGCTAACTAATTAGTCAACAGCCACTATGCAGTCTGACTTATGATTCCTGCTTCTAACACTGCTAATAGACTTCCAGGGTGAATAGTGTGGCAAATGTCCCCCTGATGTGGGAAGTGACTCTGAGGTCAGAATTATTCAGACTATTTTGGTTAGTGACACTAGTCTCTCTCTTTTGTCTTCCCTAACCGTTTGTTTTGAAAAATCCCAAGCCTGCAGATATGTTGAAAGAATAGCACAATAAACACCCACATACCCTTCATCTAGATTCACCAATTGCTAATATTTTATAACATTTATATGCTATCTATCTATTATCTATCTATCCATGTAATAAAGCTTCTCTCCAATTTCCCTTTTATTGAGCCATTTGAAAGCAAATTGCAACATGATGTCACTCTGCCTCTTAATATTTCAGTATTTATTGCCTAAGAATAAAGACATTTTCCTACATTACCACAATACCATTTTAACTTCTAAGAATTTAAAAGTGTCACAATATTCTATAATATCTAATATAAAGTGCATATTGAGTTTTCAATTGTCCCCCAAATATTTTTCAAATTATAATAAATTGTCCCTCAAATGAAAGCTTTTTAAAAAAAAAAAAACCAACAAGTTTCATGTATTGCATTTGCTTGTGATATCCATTTAGTTTTCTTTAGTCTCTTTACTCTTCTTTAATTTAGAACAACTTGTTTGTCTTGTATGACAGGAACTCTTAAAGAAATTAAATGTTTTATTTTTATGAATATATGGGCACAAGTGTAGTTGTGCTACATGCATATGTTGCTTAGTGGCGAAATCTAAGCTTTTAGTGTACCCATTATCTGAATAGTGTACATTGTACCCAGTAGATGGTATTTCATCCCTCATCCCACTTCCACCCTCCCTCCTTTTGGAGTCTCCAATGTCTTTTATTCTACTCTGTATGTCTGTGTGTACCCATTGTTTAGCTCCCACTTATAAGTGAGAACATGTGGCTTTTTTCTGTTTGTGAGTCATTTCGCTTAGTATAATGACCTTCAGTTCCATCCATGTTGTTGCAAAAGACAGGATTTCATTCTTTTTTATGGCTGCATAGTATTCCATGGAATGTCTGTGTGTGTCTATATGTAATATATATAATCACATTATTCCATGATATGTGTGTGTATATATAATAGATATAATTTATAATAATATTATTAATAATATATTATTATAACCACACTATTCCATGTGTGTGTTTGTGTGTGTGTATGTGTGTATATTCCACACACCATGGAATAATGTGATTATATATATTATATATACACACACATATGTGTGTATATATACATAAATGTATATATATACACACATGGTGTGTATGTGTGTGTATGTGTATATATATATGTATACATATCACATTTTAACCCAGTAATCCATTGATGAACACGTAGACTGATTCCGTGAGTTTGCTATTGTGAATATTGCTGCAATAAACATACAAGTGTAGAAATTATATAATTTTTTTTTCCTCTGGGTAGATACCCAGTGGTGGGATTACTGGGTAGAATGGTAGTGCTATTTTTAGTTTTTGAGAAATCATTGTACTGTTTTCTATAGAGGTTGAATTAATTTACATTTCCACCAACAGTATATAACTGCTCTCTTTTCTTCACATCCTCACCATCTGTTGTTTTTTGACTTTTTAGTAATAGCCATTCTGACTGGTGTGAGATAGTATCTCATTGTGGTTTTAATTTGCATTTCTCTGGTGATTAGTGATGTGGAGCATTTGTTCATATGTTTGTTGGCTGCTTGTTTGCTTCCTTTTGAAAAATGTCTGTTCATGTCCTTTGCCCTCTTTTTCATGGGGTTATTTGTTTTTTTTGTATTGAGTTGTTTGAGTTCCTTGTAGAGTCTAGATATTAGTTCTTGGTTGAATGCACAGTTTGTAAATATTTTCTCCCATTCTGTAGGTTGTCTGTTTACTCTGTTAATTATTTCTTTTGCTATGTAGAAGCTTTTTAGTTTAAGTTTCATTTGTCTATTTTTGTTTCAAAAAGTTTAAGTTCCATTTGTCTATTTTTTTTTTTGAGGACTTAGTCATAAATTCTTTGCAAATACTAATGTCCAGAAGAGGTTTTCCTCTGGGACTTTTATAGTTTCAGGTCTTACAATTAAGACTTTAACATATTTTCAGTCAATTAGTGTATATGGTGTGAGATGGGGTCCAGCTTCATTCTTCTGCACATAGCTCTCCAATTATCCCAGCACTGTTTATTGAACAGGATGTCCTTTCCCCATTGTATATTTTTGTTGTCTTTGTCAAAGATCAGTTGGTTATAGGTATATGGCTTTATTTCTGGGTTTTCTATTCTGTTCCATTGATCTGTTTCTGATAGGAACATTTTGAATAGTCTAGTCCAATTGTCTTGCCAAAAGTCCTACAATTTGGACTTTTAAGGTTGTTTCCTCATAATTCAATTATAAACATTTTATTGACAAGAATACTCTATAGTTAGTGTTCTGTACATTTCATTTCATCATATGTAGAGGCACATAATATTGAGCTTAATTGCTTGGTTAAGATACTTGTATTAGTCTGTTCTCACACTGCTACTAAAAACGTACACAAGACTAGGTAATTTATAAAGGAAAGATGTTAATAGATTCACAGTTCCACATGGCCTGAGAGGCTTCACAATCATGGTGGAAGACAAAAGAGGAGCAAAGTCATGTCTTACATGTTGGCAGGCAAGAGAACTTGTGCAGATGAACTCTCATTTATAAAACCATCAAATCTGGTGAGACTTATTCACTACAATGGGAACAGTATGGGGAACTGCCCCCACGATTCAATTATCTCCACCTGGCCTTGCCCTTGACACGTGGGGATTATTACAATTCAAGGTGAGATCTGGGTGGGAACAGAGCCAAACCATATCATTCCATCCCTGGCCCCTCCCAAATCTCATGTCCTCTCATTTCAATCACGCCTTCCTAATAGTCCCCCAAAGTCTTAACTCATTCAGCATTAACTCAGGAGTCCACAGTTGAAAGTCTCATCTGAGATAAGGCAAGTCATTTCTGCCTATGAGCCTGGAAAATCAAAAACAAGTTAGTTAATTCCTAGATACAATGGGAGTACAGGCATTGGGTAAATAGACTTATTCCAAATTGGAGAAATTGGCCAAAACAAAGGGGCTACAGGCCCGTGCAAGTCTGAAATCCAACAAGGCAGTAATTAAAGCTCCGAAATAATGTCCTTTGCCTCCCTGTCTCACATCCAGGTCACACTAATGCAAGAGGTGGGTTCCCACAGTCCCAGGCAGCTCTGCTCCTGTGACTTTGCAGGGTACAGCCCCCCTCCTGGATGCATTCATGGGCTGGCATTGAGTGTCTACAGCTTTTCCAGGCACATGGTGTAAGCTGTCAGTGGATCTCCCATTCCGGGGTCTGGAGGATGGTGGCCCTCTTCTCAAAGCTCCACTTGGCAGTGCTCCAGTGGGGACTCTGTGTTGGGGCTCCATCCCCACATTTCCCTTCCATACTACCCTAGCAGAGGTTCTCCATGAGGGCCCTGCCCCTGCAGCAAACTTCTGCCTGGACATCTAGTTCATTTCCATATATCCTGTGAAATCTAGGTGGAGGTTCCCAAACCTCAATTCTTGACTTCTGTGTACCCACAGGCTCAATACCACATAGAAGCTGCCAGGGCTTGGGACTTGCACTCTCCAAAGCCATGGCCCAAACTATACATTGGCCTCTTTTAGCCATGGCTGGAGTGGCTGGGACACAGGGCACCATGTCTCTAGGCTACACACAGCAGGGGCCACGAAACCATTTCCTCATAGGCCTCAGGGCCTGTGATGGTCATGGAAGGGGCTGCTGCAAAGGTGTCTGACATGCCCTGGAGACACTTTCCCCATTTTCTTGGGGATTAACACTTGGCTCCTTGTTACTTATACAAATTTCTGCAGCAGGAGGCTTGAGTTTCTCCCCAGAAAATGGGTTTTTCTTTCCTATTGCATTGTCAGGCTGCAAATTTTCCAAAGCTTTATGCTTTGCTTCCTCTTGAACTCTTTGCTACTTAAAAATTTTTTCCACCCAACACCCTAAATCATCTCTCTCAAGTTCAAAGTTCCACAGATTCTAGGGCAGGGGCAAAATGCCACCAACCTCTTTGCTAAAGCATAACAAGAGTCACCTTTGCTCCAGTTCCCAAAAAGCTCCTCATCTCCATCTGAGACCACCTCAGCCTGAACCTTATTGTCCATATCTCTACTAGCATTTTGGTCAAAACCATTCAACAAGTCTCTAGGAAGTTCCAAACTTTCCCACATTTTCCTGTTTTCATCTGAGCCCTCCAAACTGTTCTAATCTGTGACTTTTACCCAATACTAAAGCCACTTCCACATTTTCAGGTATCTTTACGGTGGTGCCCCACTAGCAGGTACCAATTTACTGTATGAGTCTGTTCTCATGCTCCTAATAAAGACATACCAGAGACTGGGTAATTTATAAAGGAAAGAGGTTTAATAGACACACAGTTACACATGACTGGGGAGACCTCACAATCATGGCAGAAGGCAAACAAGGAGCAAAGTCACATCTTACATGGCGGCAGGCAAGAGAGCATGTGTAGGGGAACTCTCTTTTATAAAACCGTCAGATCTTGTGAGACTTATTCACTATCATAAGAACAGCATGAGAAAAACCCACCCCCGATTCAATTATGTCCACTTGGCCCTGCCCTTGACACGTGGGGATTGTTACTATTCAAGATGAGATTTGGGTGGGGACACAGCCAAACAATATTGGTAGTTTCTGAAAGATTTCTCTTTAATAAAGGTACTGTTTCTCTTTTGTAAATTAGTAAGTACTCTGTCAGAATTCTTTGTTATCATGTAAATAAGTGAATATCCTGTTACCCAACAACCTGTCATCCAATGATTTTAACACTGGTGAATGATCCTTATTTATATCAATTAGTATATTGTCTATTGCCAGCTGATTCTCTTCCTAGTTTTTATGTCTTCTATTAATTCACTAAAATATAGCAATAGTCGAAGTTTCTGAGTCTGTACCCATCCCGCCCTTCTATTACTGACTTGCTCAAATTTTACTTTTCTCAAATTGACCATGATTAGAACCATCATTTTTCAATATTCAGTGAAGGTTAATCTCCGTACTTATATTGGGAGCCCATTCTTAATGAAGCCAATGAGCAGAGCACATATCATAATTGCTGCTTTCCATTTACCTCCCTTCCCTAATAAACATCATATATTTATGTTATTTCATTTTAATGGGAAATAAAATATATCATTTATATCCCTTTCCAGTTTCCAGAGCAGTTTATTAAAAGCATCCTGGGATTGCACAATAAGCTGCTATCCTTTTGCAACTACTTGTCTAAGTCAGTATTATCCTGGTACTGAAAAATCAAGCAAAATTCAACTATAAGTTGGATGTTGAGACAGATATGACTGCAAATTCCATCTAGAAACTTCATATCAAGTCATTATGTTCATTGAAAGAGGCTCACGTAAATCACAATTTCCCTTTCCCAACAGGAGTACTGCTTGTTGTTGCAAAAGTGACATAAGGAGATATAACTAAGCCTGACCTGGCATGTCATTTAACCTAACCCACATTTATTATAATAAAAATGCAGTTTTTACTTGAATGAGAAGGTAACAGCCTGATTTTGAACAAGATTGTACAGAAATATAATCTCCTTGTTCAGTGCCATATTCAAATGGATATGTGTTAGTCAGGTTTTTTTTTTTTGCATCACTATAAAGAAATAGCTGCAACTGGGTAATTTACAAATAAAAGAGGTTTAATTGCTCATGGTTCTGCAGGCTATACAGGAAGTATGGTGCTGTCATCTGCTTGGCTTCTGGTGAGACCTCAGGGAGTTTTACTCATGTCAGAAGGAGAAGCAGAAGCAGGCAAGTCACATGGAATTAGAAGGAGCAAGAGAGAGAGCGGGGAGTTCCCAGACTTTTTTAAACAACCAGATCTCATGTGAACTGAGCAAGAAGTGGTTTATCACCAAGGGGATGGTGCTAAGCCATTCATGAGGGATCTGCCCCCATGATCCAGTCATCTCCTACCAGGCTCCACCTTCAACATTGGGAATCACATTTCAACATGAGACTTAGAGGGGATACACTCAAATCATATCAGGATATAAAGAGAATACAGGAAAGCTCCACAAAAAACTACTGTACTAGACAGCACAAATCAAAGCATTAGGGATTTTCTATGTGTTAAAAGCCAAAGACCTATGATGACCCACAGGCCTCCATTCCTTTTATGGCTTTGTCTCTTTCTATCTCCCTCTCCCTTCAGTGGAGGGTGGTCTGACTGCTGCTCCCAGTCTCCTGGTCCAGGGCCTTTGCACTAACTATTTCTCTGGCTTGCTCCCCACATCCTTTAAGTCTTACTGAACTGCCACCTTTTCGGACAGACCTACTCTAAACTTTTGTTTCATTTTGTAGCTCCTGCTTAATTTTCCTCCACTGCCTTTATAAACAGTTAATATATATAGTATTTATTTTGTTTCCTTTTTGCTACACCCACTAGAATGTGAATCTCATGGGGGAGGGCAGGAATTTTTGTCTGTGTCATTTGTTCCTGAACCCCGAGTTCTCAACATGTAATAATCACTTCATGAATGTTTGTTGAATGACTAAACATAATACTTCTGAATAAAGAGATACACATTATACATATAAAATATTTAGCACATAGTTTAAAAAGTGAAATTCATATAAAATATTTGCAGATACTTTGAAAGGCTTTGTAGAACTCTAGAGTTTCACAAGCCCAGTTTGAAATCAATTGTTGAAGTATTTATTATTGCTCATATTTCTAGCAGTGGAGAGTTGTGTAGGAAGCCCACTGAATAGTGGTGAAAAAATTGAACTGTTGGCATCCACCCAAACTGCTCCCTTGAACAAAAGATGTCATAAAATATATTGCTGAAATGTACCAATATTCTCACTTACCTGTTTTATTCAGTTCCAAATGTAAATAAAAAAGTTAAAACCACTTTATTTTTCCCTCTAATATAATTTAAAATTGCACCATTAAGAAACTAATGTAATTGTTCCTTTTCTAAGCTTCATATAGATGACTAGATACAGATTGTTAGAATTGGAAGGGCCCTCAATGATCATCAAATACAAATGATGCATTTCCAGGTGAGAAAACTGAAGCCTCAAGAAGTTGTATCTTGGCTTAAGTCATCTAGCTTGATTAGTAGAAATTAACCAGGATGGAAGCCTGTTCTTCTACAGCCCAGTTGAGTTTTTTCTTCAATCCATGCATGGCATGACATACTCTATTTTAATATTATATAACATAGGATTGTTTAAGAATAGATGAAGATCTCACTGGTGTGGGAAGGGATGGCTTAGAGATAGGATTGCACTAAGAGGACACACTCAGGTGTCTTCCTGAGCTAGAAGGACAGTCCTCCATCCAGTTTATCCAGATGAATCAGAGAATACAACTCAAACACTGATTTCATCACCATCGCATTTAGGTTCATGTAAGAATTTGGCATTCTTTAAGAGAGAAGTGTTGCCAAGGAAGAGAGAAGCAAGCAAATCTTGTAATAAAAATTAGACTTAAAGAGGGAAATATGCAACTTTCTTTTTGTTGCACCAAATAAAGCAATACTAATAAGATAGAATTAATGGCATGATGGCAGATAAGCTCTCTAAATTCCCCTAGTAAAATATTTGTGCCATGGAATAGAGCTTCAGAGCAGGTAAAAATGTGCAGGAGACCTGAATATGATTTAGTTTAAGTAGAGTTTGAAGACTCAATACTCTTTGTTTTCCAGATTCTCATTTGTATTCTTCAAAACAGGTAGGAGAAGAAATATAAAACATAATTTCTCCTCAATGGAAAAAATCACTATGAAATTTTAGTAGGGAAGAAAACGTTTAAAAATGTTAAGGAACATTCAGATCCAGAAGCTTATTTAATGTTATAGTTCCTATATCTGGATATCCAAATATTTTGGAAAAAGGCTAAAATAAGCACTTCAAATGAAGTGTAAGCTTGTGAAGATCCAATCCTCTTCATTTATTGTCCTGGAACAAGCCTCTCTGGAGTGTGAAGGTAAGCCTCAGACCATGAGGATGATTGGAGGATGTGATCATAGCCACATTTGTGTAGTACATTCCCTGCACTTGGTCTCTCCATGTCATTAGCCAATGTCCTGTCCCATTAAAAAATGCATTTTTTGCTCCTATATACTTAAATTCAAAGTTTTCATATTTGTTCATTTTAAATACTATTTCCATTTTAACTTCCTATCTTTCAATTTCATTTCTAGGAAATTAAAACAAAATAATACACAAAATTATACTAGCGATATAAATTAAGTGACAATATAGAAGAATATGGAGTAAACCAAACACCTCCTCCTGGATTCATTCTCTGCCAAACCTCTGCATTTTCGCTTCTTTCTCAGAGAAGCAACCATCTGTAATAGTTTTGTTTTTTTTTCCTTTCAGTGATTGAATTATGAAATGGAAGGGAGAAGTGAGGAAATATTAAGACAGACTTTAAGACTCTAGAGGTAGATGCTCCGTATTCCCACTGGAACTCTCATACTGCTGTTGGAAGTGTAAAATTATACAACTGCTTTGAAAAACCATATAACATAATTTACTAAAGTTGACTAAGTCATGGACTATGAAATGTTTGGGATCAGGAATGAGACGAGAATGCTTGCACTCACTGCTTCTATTCAACATTGTACTATAGTTCTAGTCAGAGCAATAAGATTAAAAAACGAAGAAATAACAAGAAGGATTGGAAAACAGTAAATAAAACTCTCAGTATCAGCAGATCATACATTTCTGTATGTAGAAAATCTCAAGTATCTAAAGAGATGGTCAATATAAAAATCAATCTTATTTCTTTATACCAAACAACATTTTTGAGAGAATTGTAGATGATTTAAATAAGTGGAAAGATGTACATATTCATTGCTGGAAAGCTTTTTTTTTTAATTATACTTTAAGTTCTAGGGTACATGTGCACAATCTGCAGGCTTGTTATATATGTATACATGTGCCATGTTGGTGTGCTGCACCCATTAACTTGTCATTACATTAGGTATATCTCCAAATGCTATCCCTCCCCCCTCCCCCCACCCCACGACAGGCCCCAGTGTGTGATGTTCCCCTTCCTGTGTCCAAATGCTCTCATTGTTCAATTCCCACCTATGAGTGAGAATATGCAGTGTTTGGTTGTTTGTCCTTGCGATAGTTTGCTGAGAATGATGGTTTCCAGCTTCATCCATGTCCCTACAAAGGACATGAACTCATCCTTTTTTATGGCTGCATAGTATTCCATGGTGTATATGTGCCACATTTTCTTAATCCAGTCTATCATTGTTGGACATTTGGGTTGGTTCCAAATCTTTGCTATTGTGAATAGTGACACAATAAACATATGTATGCATGTGTCTTTATAGCAGCATGATTTATAATCCTTTGGGTATATACTCAGTAATGGGATGGCTGGGTCAAATGGTATTTCTAGTTCTAGATCCTTGAAGAATTGCCACACTGTCTTCCACAATGGTCGAACTAGTTTACAGTCCCACCAACAGTGTAAAAGTGTTCCTATTTCTCCACATCCTCTCCAGCACCTGTTGTTTCCTGACTTTTTAATGATCTCCATTCTAACTGGTGTGAGATGGTATCTCATTGTGGTTTTGATTTGCATTTCTCTGATGGGCAGTGATGATGAGCATTTTTTCACATGTCTTTTGGCTGCATAAATGTCTTCTTTTGAGAAGTGTCTGTTCATATCCTTTGCTCACTTTTTGATGGGGTTGTTCGTTTTTTTCATTTAAAGATGTCAGTTCCTCCTATATTGGTCTCCAGATTCAATGCAATTCAAGTCAAAACCTCAGCAGTTTTACT